>NC_000004.12:6651998-6958495 GCF_000001405.40 Homo sapiens
TACGATACCTGACACACGTTACACAGCAACCCAGAAAGAATGGATAAAACAGTCAGCATGGGCCCACCGCGGTAGCTCACGCCTGTAATCCCAGCACTTTGGGAGGCCGAGGCGGGCGGATCACGAGGTCAGCAGATCAAGACCATCCTGGCCAACGTGGTGAAACTCCGTCTCTACTAAGATACAAAAAATTAGCTGGGCATGGTGGCACATGCCTGTAGTCCCAGCTACTTGGGAGGCTGAGGCAGGGGAATCGCTTGAACCCGGGAGGTGGAAATTGCAGTGAGCCAAGATCTCACCAGGCTGGTGACACAGCAAGACTCAAAAAAAAAAAAAAAAAAAAAAAACCACCACCAACAACAAAAACAGTCACCATGTAGGGCTAGGACAAATGGCTATACATGTGGGGGAAACTGCAATTAGATCCCTGCCACAAACATCACAAAAAAATTATTTTCAGATGGAGTAACCCACAGATATAAAAAACTAATTATCTAACTAAATACTTTAGAGAACTTAAAGGAAAATTTGTATGGCTTCAGAGCATGAAAGGCTTTCTTTACAAGACAAAAAGCAAAAAGCAGAAAAGACTGATATTTTGTCTTCACCAAAACTAAAATCTTAACTTATACATGAATGCTGATGGCAGCATATACTAGTCAAAAGGCAGAAACAACCCAAATGGCCACCAACAGAATCAACTGATGAATGAATAAACATTCATTCATAAACTGCGGAATAGCCATACAAAGAAATATTATTCAGCCATAAAAATTAACAAAGTATAGCCAGGCACAGTGGCTCACGCCTGTAATCCCAGCACTTTGGGAGGCTGAGGCAGCAGATCACCTGATGTCAGGAGTTCAAGACCATCCTGGCCAACATGGAGAAACCCCGTCTCTACTTAAAATACAAAAATTAGCTGGTGTGGTGGGGCATGCCTGTAGTCCCAGGTACTCAGGAGGCTGAGGCACGAGAATCGCTTGAACCTGGGAGGCGGAGGTTGCAGTGAGCCAAGATCATACCACTGCACTCCAGCCTGGGTGACACAGTCAGACTTTGTCTAAAAAAAAAAAAAAAGAAAGAAAGAAAGAAAGAAAAAGAAAAGGCCATCTTCAAGCCAGGGAGAGAGGCCTCAGGAGAAGCCAACCCTGCTGGCACCATGATCTTGAACTTTCAGGCTCCAGAATCATGAGAAAGTAGATTTTTGTTGTTTTAAACACCCAGTCTGTGGTATTCTGTTACGGCAGCCCTAGCAGACTAACACATATGATATGTACAGACAGGTAAATCCACAGAGACAGAAAGGAGATGAGTATTGGCCATTGGGTAAGGGGAGGCAGGATGTGGAGTGATTATTATATGAGTACTGGGTTTTGTTTTGTTTTGTTTTTTTGAGATGGAGTCTCACTCTGTCGCCCAGGCTGGAGTGCAATGATGCAATCTTGGCTCCCTGCAACCTCCGCCTCCCAGGTTCAAGCGATTCTCCTGCCTCAGCCTCCCAAGTAGCTGGAATTATAGGCACCCGCCACCACGACTGGCTGATTTTTGTATTTTAAGTAGAGACGGGGTTTCACCACGTTGGCCAGTCTGGTCCTGAACTCCTGACCTTGTGATCGGCCCACCTCGGCCTCTAAAAGTGCTGGGATTACAGGCGTGAGCCACCGCACCTGGCCTTGAGTACTGGGTATTTTTATAGAAAGATGAGAAAGTTTTGAAACTAGAGAGAGCTAGTGGTTACACAATATTGTGAATACACTAAATACCACTTAATTGTACACTTTAAAGTGGGTAATTATGTTACATTAATTTCACCTCAATTTTTAAAGAAGCCAGAACAGTCCAATTCATGGGACAGAAAGTAGAATGGTGGATGCCAGGGGCTGGGGGAGGGAGGATTGGGGAATTAATGTTTAATGGGGACAAAGTTTCAGTTTGGGAGGATGAAAAAGTTCTTGAGGCAGATGGTGGTGATGGTTGCACAGTTTGAATGGACTTACTGCCACTGAACTGTACCCTTAAATGGTTAAATGGTAAATCTACTATGCATATTTTACTATAATAAATTTATTTTACTTTTTTGCAGTCAATTTTTAAGCTAAAATATGGTGCTAATCAAAGGAACCATCATCAAAGTGAAAAGTTGAGCTGCATTCTGTGCTATCTTCTCGATTTTTCTATAAACCTAAAACTGTTCTAAAAAATAAAGTCCATTTAAAAGAAAATAGTCAAGCTTCAATTGGGAGAAGATATTTGCAACACACACTCTAGAGGAAATATTAAAGAGAATCCACCAAAATGTATAAAAAGATAGGGTTAGAAAAAAAGCCCACATTGCCAAGTCAATCCTAAGCCAAAAGAACAAAGCTGGAGGCATCACGCTACCTGACTTCAAACTACACTACAAAGCTACAGTAACCAAAACAGCATGGTACTGGTACCAAAACAGAGATACAGACCAATGGAACAGAACAGAGCCCTCAGAAATAACACCACACATCTACAACCATCTGATCGTTGACAAACCTGACAAAAACAAGAAATGGCGAAAGGATTCCCTATTTAATAAATGGTGCTGGGAAAACTGGCTAGCCATATGGAGAAAGCTGAAACTGGATCCCTCCCTTACACCTTATACAAAAATTAATTCAAGATGTATTAAAGACTTAAATGTTAGACCTAAAACCATAAAAACCCTAGAAGAAAACCTAGGCAATACCATTCAGGACATAGGCATAGGCAAGGACTTCATGTCTAAAACACCAAAAGCAATGGCAACTAAAGCCAAAATTGACAAATGGGATCTAATTAAACTAAAGAGCTTCTGCACAGCAAAAGAAACTACCATCAGAGTGGACAGGCAACCTACAGGATGGGAAAAAATTTTTGCAATCTACTCATCTGACAAAGAGCTAATATCCAGAATCTACAAAGAAATCAAACAAATTTACAAGAAAAAAACAAACAACCCCATCAAAAAGTGGGCGAAGGATATGAACAGACACTTCTCAAAAGAAGACATTTATGCAGCCAACAGACACATGAAAAAATGCTCATCATCACTGGCCATCAGAGAAATGCAAATCAAAACCACAATGAGATACCATCTCACACCGGTTAGAATGGCGATCATTAAAAAGTCAGGAAACAACAGGTGCTGGAGAGGATGTGGAGAAATAGGAACACCTTTACACTGTTGGTGGGTCTATAAACTAGTTCAACCATTGTGGAAGACAGTGTGGCTATTTCTCAAGGATCTAGAACTAGAAATATCATTTGACCCAGCAATCCCATTACTGGGTATATACCCAAAGGATTATAAATCATGCTGCTATAAAGACATATGCACACATACGTTTATTGCAGCACTATTCACAACAGCAAAGACTTGGAATCAACCCAAATGTCCATCAATGATAGACTGGATTAAGAAAATGTGGCACATATACACCATGGAATACTATGCAGCCATAAAAAAGGATGAGTTCATGTCCTTTGTAGGGACATGGATGAAACTGGAAACCATCATTCTCAACAAACTATCACAAGGACAAAAAACCAAACACCGCATGTTCTCACTTATAGGTGGGAATTGAACAATGAGAACACTTGGACACAGGAAGGGGAACATCACACACTGGGGCCTATTGTGGGGTTGGTGGGGAGAGGGGAGGGATAGCATTAGGTGATATACCTAATGTAAATGACGAGTTAATGGGTGCAGCACACCAACATCGCACGTGTATACATATGTAACAAACCTGCAAGTTGTGATCACATACCCTAGAACTTAAAGTATAAAAAAAAAAAAAGAAGATAGGGTTAGAATTAGGGTTAGGAGAACCCAGAGGAGAATAATAAGGTGGGGGCACGGCTTTGAGGGTCTTCATTCATTTTTATCCATCCTTAGACTTTCTGCAGACTAAGCTTCAAGTTTTCAACTGCTGCTACAACAAATTATCACAAATTAACAGCTCAAAATAACACACATTTATCATCATAGTCCTGAAGGTCAGAAGTCACGAATGGCTTAGAAGGTTTCTCTGCTCTAGGTCTCACAAGGCCAAAATCAAGGTGTTGGCTGGCTGGGCTCCTATCAGGAGGCTCCAGAGAGAAACCGCTTCTAAGTGCATTCAGGTTGCTGGCAGAATCCAGTTCCTTGTGGTTGCAGGCTGGGCTTCAGCTGGGGGCCACATTTAGCTCCTGGAGGCCTCCCTCCTGTCCTTTCATGTGGCCACCTGTGTCTCAAAACCAGCAGTGGTTTGTCAAATCCTCCTCATTGTCCAACCCCCCGCCCCGCCCCGCCCCAGCCACAAAGCTGTGAAGCTAGGGTCCAAACCCCCCACATCTCAGAGTCAGCACAGGCAGGACCAGTCATCTCCTGCTTGGAATAGCACGGATTTCTTCTGCCAAATCTCTCTTCTGCCTTCGTTTTCTATCTCTGACTCCAGCCTAGGAGCGTTTTTCACTTTAAGGACTCAGGATTAGGCTGGGCCTACCTGGATAATCCAGGCTATTCATTCTCCTTAAGACCCTTAACTTTAATTACATGAGCAAAATCCATTTTGCCATGTAATATGATATATTCGTAATTACAAAATATGTCATATAATTTATAACACAATCACAGGTTCCAGGGATTAGGATGTGGACTTCTATGGGGGTCACTCTGCCTGCCACACCTCCCTAGAGGTGATGGTACCCAACTCCACTAAGTTCAGGTGGTGGCACAGGCCAAGAGAGCTACCCTCAGGCTGATTGGCCCTCAGTCCCCCAGCCAGCAGGTTGTGAAGCCAGGGTCCGAATATTGGATGTAGTTCCCACACGACTCTGAATGCACTGTGTAGTCTAATGACTGTCATAGTAGCGATGCCACCTGCCTCTGCCTGGTGTTTTGGCAACTGTACAATGCACTGTCATGCCTTTTTTTCTCACTTCTCTCACAGTCACAGGGGCCTACCAGCTCCATTTCACCCCTAGAGAACTGAGTTTCCAATCAGGGGCACTTGTGCAAGCAGGGTCTCCCCAGTCTTTACCATTAGCCCGTTTGTGGGCCACAGACCAGGAATATAAACGTATCTTTTTTTTTTTTTTTTTAGACAAAGTCTCAGGCTAGTCACCCAGACTGGAGTGCAATGGCTGGATCTCAGCTCACTGCAACCTCCGCCTCCCGGGTTCAAGCGATTCTCCTGCCTCAGCCTCCCGAGTAGCTGGGACTACAGGCATGCGCCACCACCCCCAGCTAATTTGTGTACGTTTAGTAGAGACGGGGTTTCACCATGCTGGCCAGGCTAGTCTCAAACTCCGGACTTCAGGTGATCCGCCCACCTCGGCGTCCCAAAGTGCTGGGATTACAGGCCTGAGCCACCGTGCCCGGCCTTAACATATCTTCTACCCCCTCCAGACAGCATTCTTTAGGGTAAACAAAATGTACCGAGCCCCTGCTGGGCAGCCAACCCTGGCGGAGACGTGCGGACAGATTCTACCTTCAAAGAGCTGTCCTGGGAAATGCCACTGTTTGGTAACAATTTTGTTTCCAAAAACCTCGCCTGGCCTGTGTCGGGCCGGCGGAGACAAGCCAGCGGTTCCCTGGCGAGGCGGGGACGGTTTGAGGTGCAGCCGTGGGTTTCGTGGCCCTGGGTCACGGTATTCGGTGCAACCTTCCGTTTCTGGTGCAAAAATCACTCGCAACTGAGTGTTAAAACCCCAACCCTGGAATCCCTCTCAGACTCCACCCCAGAGCCCGCGCAGGCGAGGGCGCGTGGGGGAAGGGGGACGAGAGCGCGCCATGGCGCCTGCACGATACGGGACCCCGCCCGAAACCCCCGTGGGCGCGTGGCAACCTGGAGCTGCCGTGAAAGGAGCTTCGAGGAGGCCCCGCGGCGGCTGGCAGCGGGAAGGCCATTTGGGTGTGGCCTTCGCTGTTTCAGGGCTGAAAGTTTTAGAGTAAAATTTTATCTAAACTAAAAAGGAACTTCAAGAACTTGTCGCGGGTGACAGCGAGGTGTCCGCGCACGGCTGGTGGGTGCCCGGCTGGCCCGGGGCGGGAAGGGGCGGCGGCGCTGTGGCCTTGCGTTACCGTGAGGAGGGCCTTGAGTGGGTTGTCCTGGTCCTTGGCCTTTTGAACAAAGCATTGAACAAAACGCACAAACAAAGTAACAAAGGAATGAAACGCAGGAACAGAAGCAGGGAAAGCAGCAATTTCTTAAAGCGAGAAAGCACCCACAGGGTGGGAGCGGGCCCGAGCAAGCAGCTCAAGGGCCAGTTAGAAAGTTTTCTGGGCTTTAAGTACTTCATTTGAGGTTCTTACCAGCTACCTCTTATGTGGATGAAGGTTTTGGTTTGTGGCTAAAGGCTGGGGTGAACTGGCGCCCTATGCGGATGAAGGGACGGTCCCTGCATGGCTCTTGGCCACTCCAAGGCACGCTCCCTTTCCATCTGGGAGGAGGCTTGTAGGGAGAGTAGCCTTTGATGCTTTACTACTCCCAATGGGGAGATGGTGCTTTTCCTTTTGGTTTGGGAAGTTTGAGTTAATCAGCCTCAGATTCTCTGCCCCAGACCTTGGTGTTTTCCCTTGATTCAGCTTTAGGAAGTCAGCAGGAATCTGCCTTAAGTTCCCTACCTCCAGACCCTGTTCTCCTGCCTGACGTGGACACGGACCAGGCGAGAGCCCGCAAAGACCCAGGTGGCCCGGCGCCCCGCGTGGGCGGCGAGGACCTGGCCTCCCTGGAGTGCGAGCGTGCCCGGGCGCACTAGCGGGCCCGCAGGGAGCTGCTGGAGATCCAGAGCCTGCTCGACGCCATCAAGAGCGAGATGGAGGCGGAGGAGCAGGGCGCCCGGGCCCCAGCACCCAGCCCGCGCGCGGAGGCGGAGGATCTGGTGGCCAGGCTGTGCGCCGAGGCGGAGAGGAAGGCCGCGGAGGCGGCGCGGATGGGCAGGCGGATCGTGGAGCTGCACCAGCGGATCGCCGGCTGCGAGTGCTGCCGAGCCGGCGGGGCAGCGCGGGGTGGAGCTGAGACCGGCGGGGAGTTTCCCGCGTGGAAGGCGCTGGGCAGGCAGGGAGGGGTGCGTAGAGCCGTGCCACGCTCTCCGCCAAGGTATACTCTTTTTACGTAGGTAAAAGAAAATAATTTCATTTCTTAAAAAGAAAAAAAAAAGGAGAAACAGAAACCCAAAGACCTTTAGCAGTAGAACAATAAAGGGCATAGAGCTGCCATGTCGCTAAGGGGGTTAAACCATTTCTTCTATGCCGTAAAGCTAAATATCAGGCGGAGAACAAAATTTAAAAGTGTGTGAGTCGGGCGCTGTGTCTCATGCCTGTAATCCCAGCACTTTGGGAGGCTGAGGCAGGAGGATCACTTGAGCTCAGGAGTTCGACATCAGCCTTGACAACATAGTGAGACCTCTCTCTACCAAAAATAAAAAACAATTAGCCAGATGTGGTGGCACACACCTGTGGTCCCAGCTCCTTGGGAGGCTGAGGCAGGAGAATTGCTTGAACCCGGGAAGTCAAGGCTTCAGTGAGCTGTGTTCAGGTCACCGCACTCCAGCCTGGGCAGATTGAGTCACCGTCTGTAATTTAAAAAAAAAACAAAATACAGGCCGGGCGGGGTGGCTCATGCCTGTAATCCCAACACTTTGGAAGGCTGAGGCTGGTGGATCATCTGAGGCGAGGAGTTCAAGACCAGCTTGGCCAACATGGCGAAACCCCATCTCTACTAAAAATATAAAAATTAGCTGGGTGCGGTGGCGGGCGCCTGTAATCCCAACTACTTAGGAGGCTGAGGCAGGAGAATCGCTTGAACCCGGGAGACGGAGGTTGCAGTGAGCTGAGATCGTACCTGTGCACTCTGGCCTAGGTGACAGAGTGAGACTCTATCTCAAAAAAAAAAAAAAAATGTGTGAAACGTAAGGCCATTACTGAACATTTCTAAATTTTGCTGGGAATTTGGAGTGTTTTGCTTGCCCTTTTCTGCCAGAGGTGGCATTCTGCTGGCAGAATTGCAGTTTTCACCCCAGGACAGTGAATTCTGACTCAGAGTGTCAAAGATAAGGAAAGCCAGGAGACTAGTCAAAATGGTAAGGACAGATTTTATTCAGTAATGACTTGCAACAGGGAAGAGAGTCCAGCGTGAACTAAACTGAGCTTTGCCAAAGCAAAAGGCAGGAGACTTTTTCAAGGTTGGAGTGTGCTAGGGGAAAAGCACTGAAGGGTGAAAAAACAGGTTTGATCCACCTCTCTAGGCCATCTGGGTTTGCTAGTTAGTGCTTATCCAGAGGAGAAACAAAGTTCTCCTTTCTTAAATGGGAGAAGTGGTGTGTTGGAGCAAAGCTTCCACTGAAGATAGGTCCTCATCCTCCCACTGGGACTGGGAGGAAGAAGGAGGTTATCTCCTTACATGTTTGAGTTTCAAGGAGCCAAGGGAGAAAAGAAGAAGGAGGAGGCGGAGGAGGAGGAGGAGAAAGAAGAAGAAGGAGGAGGAGGAGAAGGAGGAGGCAGAGGAGGTGGAGGAGGAGGAGGAGAAAGAAGAAAGAGGAGAAGGAGGAGGAGAAGGAGGAGTAGGCAGAGGAGGAGGAGGAGGAGAAGGAGGAGGCGGAGGAGGAGTAAGCAGAGGAGGAGGCAGAGGAGGAGGAGGAGAAGGAGGAGGCGGAGGAGGAGTAGGCAGAGGAGGAGGAGGAGAAAGAAGAAGAAGGAGGAGAAGGATGAGGAGGAGGAGAAGGAGGAGGAGAAAGAAGGAGGAGGAGAAGGAGAAGGAAGAGAAGGAGAAGGAGGAGAAGGAAGAGAAGGAGGAGGAGGAGAAGGAGGAGGAGGAGATAGAAGAAGAAGGAGGAGGAGGAGGAGAAAGAATTTTTTTTTTTTTTGAGACGGAGTCTCACCCTGTTGCTAGGCTGGAGTGCAGTGGCGCAATCTCTGCTCATTGCAACCTCCTCCTCCTGGGTTCAAGCGATTCTCCTGCCTCAGTCTCCCGAGTAGGTGGGACCACAGGCATGCACCATCACGCCCAGCTAATTTTTGCCTTTTTAGTAGAGATGGGTTTTCACCATGTTAGCCAGCATGGTCTTGATCTCTTGACCTCATGATCCACCCACCTCGGCCTCCCAAAGTGCTGGGACTACAGGTGTGAGCCACCACGCCCAGCCGAAGAAGAAGAAATTTTCATCACGATTGTCTATTGATGAGATGGTTGGTCTTATTTTTTGTTTTTGGAATTTCTCAATAGTTTTAACTTTTCCTGCTTCTGTGCATTTTGCTATGTCACATGGGACCTAATCACTGTTGGACACTTTGGGACAAGCAGGAAACTTGTGTCAGTCCTCAAACCACAGAGTTGTTGAAGGAGCTCCACCTGTTCCATTGGAAGATGCCCCTGGGAAATGAGGTGGAAGACAGTTTTGTATGCAGTTTAGAACTTTCTCTGTGAGAACAGATGAGATTTTTCCTCTTAAGTTAAATCATGTCATTTGGTGCACATTGTGTGACTTCGCAGGTCAGTTTGGACAACTAGCTACGTCTAATTTGACTTGAAACCTACATATGATGGAGTGCTTTCTTGTGTTTTGTCTGTGGTTTGACTTAGGGTCAGCTTCCTTGAAGGATCTCCCTAGTGCATTTCAGGCCCTGTGGGGCGTAGAAGAAGAGAAGTCTGAAAAGGGCCTTGAAGATCTCTGGGAAGCAATCGTGGTGCTGGCGCTTTGGTCTTCCTTCACGGGGTCATAACCTACCTGGTTAGGCCCATTTGAATAGACCCCACAGGGATTTGAGGTTAAAATACCATATGTGGCTGGGTGTGGTGGCTCATGCCTGTAATCCCAGCACTTTGGGAGACCAAGGTGGGAGAATTCCTTGAGTCTAGGAGTTTGAGACCAGCTGGAGAAACATGGTGAGACCCCCCACTCTACAAAAAAAAAAAAAAAAATTAGCCAGGCATGGTGGCACTCACCTGTATCCCAGCTACTCAGGAGGCTGAGGCAGGAGGATCGCTTGTGCCTGGGAGGTTGAGGCTGCAATGAGCTGAGATCATGTCACTGCACTCCAGCCTGTGGGTGACAGAGCAAGACCTTGTCTCAGAAAACAAAACAACAAAACAAAAACAGCACACCCACATGTAATAATGGTTGTTGCTTGTAAAAATGTAAAACCTAAAAACCTATTTTTATCCAAATGAACCAAAGCCCTTAAACTTCACCAGGAAAAAGAAAATAAAACATGTTTCTGAAGATCACAGTGTCTGTCTCATTGTCCTCAAATGCAGTAAACTGCGGGTTATAATGCATTCAGTGAAGCTGCAATTGGAAGAACAGATAATCCCCAGGCATGGAAATGAGGTTGGAGTAAGAGAGAAACTGGCACACTTCAGGCCCTAGGTACCTGTGTTCAAAAGCACTGGCTACACGATGCGCCCAGACCCTGGAGGAGGAATACAGACATGAGACCTGGTGGTAAAGACAACAAAATAATTCAAAGACAGCGTGCCAGGTGTCACACATGCAGGCAGTAACTCTATTGAGGGGCATCTTATATGCCAGCTATTGTTCTAAAATAGAACAGTGTTACCGCCCTGATGAAGCTTACATTTTAGAGCAGGGAACCTTCAGAAAACATATAAATATGTCCTGTGGTGACATGTTTGGTGGGTAACAAAAGGCACTGTACTGCTGGTAGACATGTAAGATGTAGGAGGAAGGTGGAGTAAGGATGAGGTGGCCCAGACTGCAGCTGAATCTCCGGTCCACTGCCGACTGACTCACTTTGTAATGTTTCGCAAGTCTCTTCACCTCACTTTACCCCTTCTATAAAATGGGTATACTCAAGAGTAGCTACCTCATGGGGATATCAGGAAAATTAAATGAGTTGATATTATGTCAGTGGGCCACAGTTGGCTGATCCCTGGGTAGATTTCTGTTGCAGCAAAGCATTCTCTGAAATGTCATTTAGTTAGGAAGGTTATTAGTGAGTGCTCTTAGGATCCACCCCTGTGGGAGGGAAGGAAAAGAACCAGGATGGGGCGAAGGAGAAGTCTAGCTATGATGAAGGTTCAGCAGACGCTTCAGCCAACTCTCTAGGGAGTTCTGAAGACGGTGTGACAGGCAGCCTCTAAGATGGGCCTCAGCAATCCCTGCCACCTGGCATTCAGGTCTTTGTAGAATCTCTGTTTTGAGAGTGGGCCAGAGTTATTGACTTGCTTCTAGTGGAGAATTCTGCAGAAGCGGTGGGATGTCCTGGCTTCCACCGTGTACGCCCTCTCTCCCTCTCAGCATTGCTCAGCCCGGGTATAGCAGACACCGTGCTGTGAAGCAACCCAGTGTAAAGGCTGTGCGGTTTGGGACCAAGGACTGGCAACAATCACAGGCTTGATTTTCGAAAAGGTCGCCCCTCACCATCCCAGTTGAGCTTTCAAACTACAGTAGCCCAGCCAACATCTTGACTGCAACCTCCAGAGACCTTGAGCCAGAGGCACCCAGCTAAGCCCTGCGCAGCTCCCTGACCCATGGAAACTGTAAGGTAATAAATGTTTGTTTTAAGCTTTTAAGTTTTGCGAAAATGTGTTATGCAGCAATGGGTAACTAGGACGGTTTGATGGCTCTTCAGAGCCCTCCCCACGTTGGGGTGAGAGGACTGGGCTTTCTACCTCTGCAGAGATCAATCACCAAATGCAGCTGCCCCAGGAAGGATGGGGTGACAATCTCTGAAGATGGCTGCTGGCTTGGGGCTGTCTCAGCAGCTGGAATAAGACCTTCATTCCTAAAGGGCAGTCTGAGCCATGTGTCCTCCATAGCTGCCAACGTTCTGAGGCTCTAGACTGTCGCCTGCTCAAGTTCACCAAGGTTTGTAGACACCGTTAGAGCCAAGGCTAGCTTGAACGCTCCTATGCTTGGGTTACCTGCTTATTCTTTTTCCTATTTGGCCTCTAAGGAGTCCGTATTTTTTTCTTCCAGCTCAAGTCCCGGAAAGCAGCCGCGCGTGGGACAGTCGCCCTGGCCGCTGGCCGCCGGGCCCCACGGCGCCGTCCGTCCCCGGCCCCAAGCCTCCCTGAGCCTGCGGCCGGGGTTCCCTCCTGGCCGACCCTGGGCCTGGAGCGAGGGGGCGCGGACATGCGGAAGGGGACCGCGAGGCGGGTGCGCCCGGGACCCTGGGTTCCGGGTCCTGCGTGCCGTGCTCGTCCAGAGCCGGGAATGTTCGCCTCCGGGTGGGGCCCTGAAGCCATAGCGGGGGTCGCCCCCCTGTCGCCTCCTGAGGGCGCGCGCCTCGTGACAGGGGCCTTGACCTGGTAAAGCCAGAGCTCGGGGAGCTCCGCCGTCTCCTGGCACCCAGGTCTCCTCGCCAAGCCTCCGCGGGCCTCCTCCCTGCCCTTCTCCCGGGCCGATCCTACTTTCTTTAAAATTCTTGCCGGGCGCGGTGGCTCATGCCTGTAATCCCAACACTTTGGGAGGCGGAGGCGGGCGGATCACGAGGTCAGGATATCGAGACCGTCCTGGCTAAGATGGTGAAACCCCGTCTCTACTAAAAATACAAAAAAATAGCCGGGCGTGGTGGCGGGCACCTGTAGTCCCCGCTCCTCAGGAGGCTGAGGCAGGAGAATGGCGTGAACCTGGGTGGCCGAGCTTGCAGTGAGCCGAGATCGCGCCACTGCACTCCAGCCTGGGTGACAGAGCGAGACTCCGTCTCAAAAAAAAAAAAAAAAAAATTCTTTGTGGGTGATGCAGGTTCAGGAACCGCTGCACACCGAGCGCTTCCCGCGCCGCCTAGAGGTGATGGGAACAGCTCCTGAGGAAGGTGGCTCAGCCTCGGCCTGCAGCTCCTCCCAGGCCTCCCGCTCCCTGCGCCCAGCGGCTCTGGCCCGGCCGCGCACGCTCACACGAGCATTCACACGCACACTCATCATGCCCACTCACACACACTCATGCTCACACTCACGCTCGCACGCACACATTTACACACTCATGCTCACACACATACACAGGTTCACACATGCTCACATACATCCGTTCACATTCATGCTCACATGTACACTCATGCGCTCACACGCTCACACTCATACACGCTCACATAGTCATGGTCACACTCACACATACGCACACCCACTCACTCATGCTCACACATACACCCGCTGACACTCATGCTCACATGCATATGCACTCACATGTGCACTCACATGCTCAGTCATACACGCTTACACACATGCTCACACAATGTCACACACATACACACATTTACACTCGCTCACACTTATACCCACATGTATGCACATGCACACTCACACTCATCCACACCCACAATACATGCTCACACCCGTTCTTACTCATGTTCTCACACACACCACTTACATTTATGCTCACACCCATACACTCACATGTGCACTCATGCTCACATTCATACAGGCTCACAATACACAAGCTCACACTCATGCTCACTCCCACACATACATATGCTCACACTCGCTCACATGCTCACATGCGCATTCACATGCTCTCAGACACCTGCTCACACCACTCACACATGCTCACACTCACACGTGCACTCATGCTCACTCATACACATACATGCATTCGCATACACACACTCGCTCACACACCACTCATGCTCACACACACGCATACTCACACTCACTGGGTGATAGTGCAGTCTCCTCCCAGGCCTCCTTCCCGCTCTCCGCGGTGCTTTTTTTTTTTTTTTGGAGACGGAGTCTCGCTCTGTTGCCCAGGCTGGAGTGCAGTGGCGCGATCTCGGCTCACTGCAAGCTCCGCCTCCCGGGTTCACGCCATTCTCCTGCCTCAGCCTCCTAAGTAGCTGGGACTACAGGCGCCCGCCACCACGCCCGGCTAATTTTTTGTATTTTTTAGTAGAGACGGGGTTTCACCATCTTAGCCAGGATGGTCTCGATCCCCTGACCTCGTGGTCCACCCGCCTCGGCCTCCCAAAGTGCTGGGATTACAGGCGTGAGCCCGCGGTGCTTTTATCACAGTTCAGAAGCCTCAGCCACTTGACTGCAGCTCAACCCCACAGTCCCAGGCTGTTCCCCTTGCCGGGAGCCGCTGCTGGCGCGCCTGAGGGTTCAGCGTGGGTAGGTAGGTGCAGCCCACCCCCAGGGTGTGCCCTGAGGGTTCACCGGGGGTGGGTAGGAGCAGCCCATTACCACAGTGCAGCCTCACTCTGTGCGACCTTCACAGGCCAGGGATGCTGCAAATTTGGTCTTCTGAGTCCACCCCAGAGGGCATTCTGAGTCCCCCTCTCCGCTGCCCACCCCAGTTTGTCGCCATGTTGGCTCCTTGCCTCTCCTGCACCTCGGCTCTTCCTTTAGGTTCTGGCCCCTCTCGTCACCTCAGGCCCGAAACCTTTGGAAGCCTTAGTTCCTCCACAACGTCTTAACAAACTCACCCTCCTTCACCAAAGGGGAAGACGGGGTGGATGAGGGGATAAGAAAACCCTGTCTCATGGCAAGAACTTTTAAATATACTGAACGTGAAGCGGAAGCAGCCAGCCTGGGTGAAGACAGGGGATTTGTGGTCATGCCTTTGGTCTCATTTTTTTTTTTTTTTTTTTTAAGACGGAGTCTAGCTCTTTCGCCCAGGCCGGAGTGCAGTGGCGCTATCTCCGCTCACTGCAAGCTCCGCCTCCCGGGTTCACGCCATTCTCCTGCCTCAGCCTCCCGAGTAGCTGGGACTATAAGCGCCCACCACCGCGCCCGGCTCATTTTTTGTATTTTTAGTAGAGACGGGGTTTCACCGTGTTAGCCAGGATGGTCTCGATCTCCTGACCTCGTGATCCGCCTGCCTCGGCCTCCCAAAGTGCTGGGATTGCAGGCGTGAGCCACGTTTTCCTGATAGCACCACCCTAGGCTTACCTCTGTCCAGAAACCATTTCTTTTTCTTTTTTTTTTTTTTTTTTTGAGACGGAGTTTCGCTCTTGTTGCCCAGGCTGGAATGCAATGGCGCCATCTCGGCTCACCGCAACCTCCGCCTCCCGGCTTCCAGCGATTCTCCTGCCTCAGTCTCCCGAGTAGCTGGGATTACAGGCATGTGCCACCACACCCGGCTAATTTTGTATTTTTAGTAGAGACGGGGTTTCTCCATGTTGATCAGGCTGGTCTCGAACTCCCGACCTCAGGTGATCCTACTGCCTCGGCCTCCCAAAGTGCTGGGATTACAGGCGTGAGCCACCGCGCCCAGCCTCAGAAACCATTTCTTAACGTTAGCATTCCTTGCCATCCTGAGAGGCTGGGAGGGAGAAACAGTGGTGATTACAAACCCACAAGCCCCAGATCCTTCAGAGTTAAGAGTTCCGCTTGCATTTTACTCTAAGCAACCAGAGGTCAGGCAACTCTTCAGCAGTGCCTGGAATCCGTTTCATAAGTACATGCTGTCTCTTCCACGTTTCTGCAGAGTTTAGGTATTGCTAAACTCTGCTTCTGTGTAACAGGGACCCCTTTCCTCCTGTTACTGTGTCCCCTCAAAATCCATGTTGAAATCCTACCCGCAATGTGATGGGGTTAGGAAGAAGCTTTTGGGGGTGGCAAGGTCATGAGGGTGGAGCCCTCATGCATGGGATTAGTACCCTTATCAAAGGGACCCCAGAGAGCTCCCTCGCCCCTCCTGCCATGTGAAAACACAGAGAAAGGGCTCTCCCTCCCCAAACACTGAATCTGCCAGCGCCTTCATCTTGGACTTTCAGCCTCCAGCGCTGTGAGGAACCTTTGTTTCTAAGCCCCCCAGGCTATGACATTCTGTTACAGCAGCCTGGTGGGCTGCAGCACCTCCAGATGCCTCACTCTTCTTTAGGTCTCCACTGAGAGCCTTCTCAAAGCCAATAGGCTTCCTTTGTCTCTTCAGCATCCTTCGGCAGCACTCCATTTCCAGATACGGATATCTCTTTCAGTGATCTTTTTTTTTTTTTTTTTGTGAGATGGAGTTTGGCTCTTGTTATCCAGGCTGGAGTGCAATGGCACGATCTCAGCTCACTGCAACCTCTGCCTCCCAGGTTCAAGCGATTCTTCTGCCTCAGCCTCCCGAGTAGCTGGGATTACAGGCACCCCACACCACGCCCAGCTAATTTTTGTATTTTTAGTAGAGACGGGGTTTCTCCACGTTGGCCAGGCTGGTCTTGAACTCCTGACCTCAAGTGATCCACCTGCCTCAGCCCCCCAAAGTGCTGGGGCGCCCGACCAGAGATCTTTTTACATAGTCTCCACAGCATGGCAATTTCAGGGGAGCCAGACTTCGTATATGGTGGCTTTGGCGTCCAAATGTACAAAACCCAGGAGAGTAAGCATCGGAAGTCCCATAGCATCTCTTTGCCATATCACCTTCACAAAGTCCCGCCAGGGTCAAAGGGAGGAGACACAGACTCCACCTCTTGATGGGCATGGCAAGGTTCTGGAAGAGCAGGTGCAACTGTTAGCAATTGCATTGTGGCCGTTTCTTGAAAATACAACGTGCAAGACACCACGTTTTACTGCCCCGCCCGGCTAGCAGTGGACGTGGAGACAGCTTTGTTGTTGTGGCCGTGATGCGTCCCACACTCCAGTGGCTCGCG
The DNA here is from genome assembly GCF_000001405.40 of Homo sapiens. NCBI lineage: Eukaryota > Metazoa > Chordata > Mammalia > Primates > Hominidae > Homo > Homo sapiens. The sequence continues at coordinate 6,668,530 of NC_000004.12, forward strand.
CTTCCTGTACCAGACACTCCATTATGGCAGCTGCCTTTGGTGGAAGAATTTAGCATGACTCAGAATTGTGTCGAGCCCAGAATCTTACCAAACCCAGAATCAACATTGTTTCAGATAAATAAATAGTAAATTCTTTTGTTATTCCTAGACTATTCATGTAATGTGGGTTAAGTCATACACAATGTGGTCTGACCAGTTATTATGTGTAATGAGTGTTAAATGGAGTGTGGAACTTACCCAGATTTTCTGAATTAATTCTGATAGAAATAAATTCCACTTTCTATGTCTTTGCACAGTCGTTTGTGTAAAAGAGACCATCCTGTGCCATAATTAAGCACTTGAGGGAAGGCTTCTCCCAAACGGGCTGAAAGTTCACAGATGTGAATTACAGATGATCGGCATGAACTAAATGGCATCAGAGAAGGTGAAATTAAGGACTTTTTTTTCCTTTTGTCCTGGTTACCTCTGTCCACATCCCCTCTTCTCAGAGCCTGATGTGGCCTACAGCTGGCAGTAGTCTTGTAATCTTGATTGTAAAATGTACAAGCTGGCCAGGCGCAGTGGCTCACACCTGTAATCCCAGCACTTTGGGAGGCCGAGGCAGGCAGATTGCTTGAGCTCAGTTCAAGACCAACCTGGGTAACATAGTGAAACCACACCTCTACAAAAAAATACAAAAAAATTAGCCAGGTATTGTGGTATGTGCCTGTAGTCCCAGCTACTCGGGAGGCTGAGTTGCGAGGATCACCTGGGCCAGGGAGGTCGAGGCTGCAGTGAGCCGTGATCGCACCACTGCATTCCAGCCTGGGCAGCAGAGCAAGACTCTGCCTCAAAAGAAGAAAAATAGGACACAGAAGACACTTGGGTTTGGGTTGCAAAAGGGGTGAGGAGGGGTTTTGGAGATACAAAAGGAGTAAATATTGTTTCCTGAAGAGGATGCTTCAAGCCACAGTTTCTAAAGAGAAAATCCAGAACGTCTGGGCCTCCAAGCAAGATCCCTTCACCTGAGAGTGAGCAAATGAAGACATGGGGAAAAGAAGAGACTGGCATTTTAATGTATCCGGGATTATAATCCCACCTACGGCCATCAACTGGCTTTTGCTGCATGAGCCACCCTAAATCTCCGTGACAACAATAAACATTCCTCATGGTCTGCAGTTTGGCTGGGAGTTGGATGATCCAGGCTGGGCTCAGTAATGGTCTGCGGGCCACCTGGTCTAGGCTAGGCCTGTCTAGAGCAGCTTGGTTCTGTGTTTCTCTCACCATCTTCCCAAGACCGGTGCCCGTTCTTCTCATAGCGAAGGCAGAGACGCAGAGGAAAGCGAGTCCAACCGCGAAAGCCTCTTTCAAACCTGTGCTTGTGTCCTCTCTGTGAACCTCTCATTGGCCAAAGCAAGACATGAGGCAGAGAACATGGATGAATGAAGGGGTGGGGAATTGGGGTCATTTATACTACCTACCATCATCTGTGCCCACTGCCCCCATTATTCATGGAAAAATTGCCCACCCCCATCTAAGGACCCCCTTCCTACTTTCTTCCAATCATGGCCTCAAGCAAGAAGTCTAGCATCTTGTGAGCCACATCAGGTCCTAATATGGCTTTTATTGGTCTAGAAGCTTATGCACTTTTTGAAAAGACAAGTTATTGTCCACTTAGACCCAACATTCAGTGATGAGACAGGGACAGGATAAGGCCCATTGGTAAGGGAAGAATGAAGGGGTGAAATAGCAGTCACATAGCTATTTTGAAACTCGGTGGAGTAAACATTGCCAGGTCCTCTACTTTAAAGCTAGGGAATGTAAGGCTTTGGTTCTGCAACCTGGAAGTGGCTCAGCAGCACAGGAGTTGGCAAACATTTTCTGTAAAGATCTAAACAGTAAATATGTTAGGCTTTGTGGGCCACATACAGTCTCTATCACATATTCCTATTTCTCCTTTTCTTTTTTAAAGATATGAAAGTCTTTCTTAGTTCAGGAGCTGCAGTTTGCCATTGGTCCCCACACACTGGCCTGCACTGACACATCCTTCTTTTTCCATCACACTTCTGAAAAGGGCATTTTAAAATGCGCCAGTTTGGGCTACTGAGCCTGCTTTCTGCCGGTGGAAAGATTGGGAGTCTAGAAGTCCTTTGACACTTTGAACTGTCGCTTGGATAAGCTAGAGCATTTTTGCTAATATGTTCACCTCGAAACTTTTGTGGGTTTCCATGTATTTTATTCCATTCCACTCATACCAAGAGACAATTCTTTTTGAGGTGTGTTTAGCTCTCTAGACTTAATTACTGCTGTGTTTGTCACATTGGCTGCAGTGAGATCGTGACATTAGGATTCCTGGGAGCCTGCGCTGGGCAGAATTTAAGATGGCTCCTCCATGATCTTCACTCTCTGGGTGAAAACTGTCGGTCAGCCCATGCCCAGGATTGTTGATCAGTGCTGAAGGTCCTGAGGCTGTTTTTAGCATAGTCTAAAACTTAAGCAAAGCAATAATTATAATTGAGCAAGCAAAATTGTTCTTTAACATGGAATCGATGCTGTTACACAACCACATAAGCACTATTTTAGTCCGTTCACGCTGCTCTAACAAAATACCAGAAACTGGGTGTCTTCTAAACAACAGAAATGTATTTTCTGAGTTCTGAAGGCTGAGCAGTACAAGATCACGGTGCCAGCAGGTTTGGTGCCTGGTGAGGGCCCACTTCTGGTTCATAGAAGCCCATCTTTTTGCTATAACCTCCCACAGCAGAAGGGGTAAGGCGGCCCTGTGGAGTTGTTTTATGAGGGTGCTAATCTCATTCATGAAAGCTGAGCCTTCATGACCACATCACCTCCCAAAGACCCCACCTCCTAATATCATCACATTGGGGATTGCTTTGCAACATATGAATTTTGGGGGGACTCACATATTTGGACCATGGCAAGCCCCTTAAAAGCAGAGTTTTCTCCAGCTGGGAGCAGAAGGGGATGACAGAGAGGCTGGAAGGATAAGAAGGATCCGACATGCTCTTACTGGCTTTGAAGATGGAGAGGGCCACGTTTAAGGACCGGAGAGTGACCTGTAGGAGCTGAGAGTGACCTCTGGCCATCAAGCATGGAGGGTCCCCTTAACTTTCTGCTAGAGGTACACAGTGAATAAGCCTAGACACAATGACATGCAGTGGGTGCTTAATAAAGATCTCTTGGGAAATGAGCATTAAAGCAACATTTACTGGGCTCCTGCTGTATGCCAAGCCCATTTCAAGCTGAGGAAACAGATGACTAAACTGACTAAGTACCTGCCCCTAGGGCCTGTTTTCTCGCAGAGGCACTTATATAGTCCAGTGAAGAAAGAAATCTTCCAGAATGATTCCTAAAGGCATATTCAGAGCCTGGCAGGGCTGAGGAAACAGTGGTGAATCAGACCCACCTTGGCCTTGGGTGCCCACAGTGGGTAAAGCCAGACTCCAACTTACAGCCAAAGCCCCAGGCAGAGTGAAGCTTATACCCTTAGGAAAAAAGTAGGGGGAGGCTGGGTCACAGCACTCAGCATCAGCACCGAGGCCGCAGCTCTGTGTTCCAGGAGCATCTGCCCGAGGCAAGAGGGAGCGGAGGCCCTGGCTGGGGGCAAATCCCGACGCTGTGAGCACCTGGCTTCTCGGAGCCTGGAATATTCTAACGGGACCACTGAATTCGGTTGTTTATTATTTTTATTTATTTATTTTGAGACAGGGTCTCGCCCTGTCACTGGGCTGGGGTGCAGTGGCGCAATCAGGCGTTCAGAGCTCACCTCGGTCTCGACCTGCTGGGCTCAAGCAATCTTCCCGGCTCAGCCTCTCAAGTAGCTGGGACTATCGGCACGCGCCACCACGCCCAGCTAATTTCTTGTGTTTTTTTTGGTAGGGTTTTTTCCCTTGTTGCCCAGGCTGGTATGGAACTCCTGAGCTCAAGCGATCCTCTCACCTCAGCCTCCCAAAGTGCTGGGATTATAGGCGTGAGCCACACGCCCGGCCTGGGTGTTTATGATTTAGAATGTTGGTGAGAGGTGACAGTGTGCTGGCAGTCCTCACAGCCCTCGCTCACTCTCGGTGCCTCCTCTGCCTGGGCTCCCACTTTGGCAGCACTTGAGGAGCCCTTCAGCCCACTGCTGCACTGTGGAGGCCCCTTTCTGGGCTGGCCAAGGCCAGAGCCGGCTCTCTCAGCTTGCAGGGAGGTGTGGAGGGAGAGGCGCGAGCGGGCACCGGGGCTGCACACGGCGCTTGCGGGCCAGCTGGAGTTCAGGGTGGGCGTGGGCTTGGTGGGCCCCGCACTCGGAGCAGCCGGCTGGCCCTGCCAGCCCCCGGCAATGAGGGGCTTAGCACCCGGGCCAGCGGCTGCGGAGGGTGTACTGGGTCCCTCAGCAGTGCCAGCCCACCGGCGCTGTGCTCGATTTCTCACCGGGCCTTAGCTGCCTTTCCGAGGGGCAGGGCTCGGGACCTGCAGCCCGCCATGCCTGAGCCTCCCACCCCCTCCATGGGCTCCTGTGCTGCCCGAGCCTCCTCGACGAGCACCACCCCCTGCTCCACGGCGCCCAGTCCCATCACCACCCAAGGGCTGAGGAGTGTGGGCGCACGGTGCCGTTCTCGCAGGCAGCTCCACCTGCAGCCCTGGTGTGGGATCCACTTGGTGAAGCCAGCTGGGCTCCTGAGTCTGGTGGGGATGTGGAGAACCTTTATGTCTAGCTCAGGGATTGTAAATACACCAATCAGCACCGTGTGTCTAGCTCAGGGTTTGTGAATATACCAATCGACTCTGCTGGGGCCTTGGAGAACCTTTGTGTCTAGCTCAGGGATTGTAAACGCACCAATCAGCACCCTGTCAAAACAGACCACTCGGCTCTACCAATCAGCAGGATGTGGGTGGGGCCAGATAAGACAATAAAAGCAGGCTGCCGGAGCCAGCAGTGGCAACCGGCTCAGGTCCCCTTCTATTGTGGAAGCTTTGTTCTTTCTCTCTTTGCAATAAATCCTGCTGCTGCTCACTCTTTGGGTCCACACTGCCTTTATGAGCCGTAACAGGTCTGCAGTTTCACTCCTGAGCCGGCGAGACCACGAACCCACCAGAAGGAAAAAACTCCGAACACATCCGAACATCAGAAGGAACAAACTCCAGACGCGCCACTTTAAGAGCTGTAACACTCACCGCGAGGGTCCGTGGCTTCATTCTTGAAGTCAGTGAGACCAAGAACCCACCAATTCCGGACACATTGGGAACTTAGAGCAGTGCTTGGGACATGGTTATCAGCGTCAGATATTTCCTTAAACTAGCGTGAAGTCGACTTTAACCTTCCAGCAGTGTGAGTGAGGGCCCTGACCCTAGAATCAACGCCCAAAGAGCTGTGGCGCTACAGCGGGCGGGGACATGGGGTGCGCATGCGTGCGGGGGGGTACGCGTGCGTGCAAGTGCGCGTGCGCGCGCAGGACCGCTGAGGCGGGAGCCCCGAATGCGGTTCTCGCTTGCTGCGTGGCGGTAAAGGACCGCAGGTGTCGTAAAAGGGCCGCAGTGGCAGCGTCCTGGCCGACGGCTAGTAGCCCATTTTGGATACCGTCCTCGCTGCGGAAAGTTGGGGCAACCTGTTGCTAGTCTGGTCGTTGGTGACAGCGAGGCTTCCGCGCTCGCTGCTGGTGAGCAGCCCCGGCGTGCCCCGCGGGCTGGAAGAGGCGGCGGCGTGATGCGGCCCGTGGACGCGGACGAGGCGCGGGAGCCCCGCGAGGAGCCGGGCAGCCCGCTGAGCCCCGCGCCCCGCGCCGGCCGCGAGAACCTGGCCTCCCTGGAGCGCGAGCGCGCCCGGGCGCACTGGCGGGCCCGCAGGAAGCTGCTGGAGATCCAGAGCCTGCTCGACGCCATCAAGAGTGAGGTGGAGGCAGAGGAGCGGGGCGCCCGGGCCCCAGCACCCCGCCCGCGTGCGGAGGCTGAGGAGCGGGTGGCTCGGCTGTGCGCCGAAGCAGAGAGGAAGGCTGCGGAGGCGGCGCGGATGGGCAGGCGGATCGTGGAGCTGCACCAGCGGATCGCCGGCTGCGAGTGCTGCTGAGCCGGCGAGGCCGCGCGGGTCTGGAGCGGAGCGCGGCGGGGAGTGTCCCGCGTGGAAGGCGCTGGGTAGGCAGGGAGGGGAGCGCAGAGCCGTGCCACGCTCTCCGCGGAGTTGGTTTCATTCTTTTTTCATAGGTAATTAGAGAAAATAATTTGATATGTTGTTGTAAAGAGTCATGACCACTGGAAGTATTTTCAGGACGTAGACCTGGTGGGTCACTACGTGGGGGGAGAGAGGTGTGAAGCGGAGGTACATGCTGGAAACGTGTGAATGTTGTTACGAGATTGGAGCGTTTGCGATGACCTTCCTGCAGGTGGAAGCATTGTGCACAGGTGGTTGGGTTTGTTTGACTCCCGGATATGAGAATATCAAGCTCAAAATTTATGTTGTGATGATGAATTTCTCCCACTTGTACTTTAGGTGGCCAACTGACGAACTGTGTTCACCTGATAAGGAGTCGTGGCTGCTTGGACAGGCTCAAACCAAGAGAGCCTTTCGTTTTGTCTCCCCTGTTTTTCTGCCTGCGTTTTCTCCACATTAGCCACTCAATTTCCAGTACCATCCTGGCGGATGACTTCAGCATTAGATGGTCAGGTGTATTTTTTTATTAATAGGCGCATTCAGTTTGGAAAAGACAGCTTTTCATTAATGTCCCACGTAAAGGAATATGGCCTATACAGTACGTACGCTGCTGCGTGGTCATATTTGTTCCTGTGATCTTATTGTATTTTCAAAGTTTGGAAGTATACTCGTGTGCTTTGCTGTTTTTTTATGCTTCCTGGAATTTGGGGACTCATGAGAGACTTGAGGTTAGAGTTCTGCAAGTGAGAAGACACTACATGGTTGCAGCTGCCACATGAAGAACCCAAGCTCCTGTCAAAGTTGTGAATGCGACTTTGGATGAGATTAAGAAGGCCCAGTGGACGGTTGGTCTTGAAGAGTGGCAGTGTGTGGATTTGAGGACCTCTGCAGACCATCAGATCAAAGGAGGGAGAGCTGTTTTGGGTGTTTTGTTTTTTTTGTTTTTATAGCATTTTGCTTTTTCTTGGAATGTAATTTTCCTATGGCATGTTAACTGGTGCACATCGTGTAACCTGTCTGGTGAGCAACCTACAATTGGGATGAGTTCTAGGTACATGTGTTTGCTGACTTTGGGGTAAACAACTTTGTTATAATACAGTCTCTGCCACAGATGCATGTGACCTCTTCAGGGGCCCAGAGTGGCTGAGGAAGGAAAGCTTCAAGCTGGCCATGGGGGTCCCAAACAGTCATTCCAGGCTTAGATGATGACTAGCCTAGGTCATCAGAGCCCAGACTCCACAGAGACTAAAATCAGAGCTCTGTCTTGTTATGATAAATTTCATTTGCTTGGAAAAAGAAATGCTGAAAGCCAGTGTTTAGAATCTTTGTGCAGATGACCAAAGCAATTGACTTGGCCAAGAAAAGGTAAGGTAAATAAACATTTTTCAAAATGAGTTTCTCCTTGATAGTGGTCACTGTCAAATGGAGGAGAATTGCTTCTGACTCACGAGTTGTTCAAAGCCTGTAGCCCAGGGTGGGGTTTGAGCTGCAGAAGAAGAAGAAGGCAGACCTAGAGTAGGAAAGGGGTGCCTCATGAAGCCATATGGTCTGGCCCCAGCCTTTGGAGAGGTGAAGTCCATTCAGGCAGCTAGTGTTCACTGTGACCACAGAGCTCCACACTATGCCAGGCACTAGGAATTTCTTGGAGAGACGATCTAGTGGGTTGAGACAGGTCTGAAAACACAATTACAGTACAGTGTCCGCAATGCTGGTCTTTGATTCAACGCATAAATTGAGCACCTACAGATGCTGAGACTACCTGAGTGAACAAAGTGCTTGTAAAATTGGATCTGAGGGCCAGGCATGGTAGCTCATGCCTGTAATCCCATTTCTTTAGGAGGCCTGAGCAGGAGGATTGCTTGAGGCCAGGAGTTTGAGATCAGCCTGGGCAACATGGTGAGACCCTGTCTCTAATAGAAAAAAAAAGTTGGATTTGTTATTCATAAGATGCTTAGAATTGTGTCTGGCTATAGTAAGTGTTTCCTAAGTATTTGTTAGATAACCCCTAAATGAGGGAAGCAGGAAAAAAATGATATGTACCCATATTAAATAGTGTAAGTTCTGTGGGGGAAAAAAATGGCATTGGGGGATAGGGTGTGGGATTTCTAGTTGATTTGCATGGTCAGGTAACATGTCTGATATGACATTTGAGTGAAGGCTGATGTGTGGAATGTGCATGGGTGTCTGGGGAAAGAGTCTTCTAGGCACGGGGAACAAGTAGGGTAAAAAGGTGAGGCAGCATGAAACCCCAGTGGGAAGGGAGGAAGTGGTGGGCACCGAGGTCAGAGGGAGAAGTGGGTGGATGTGAAGCTGGTGGGGGGTTGCCAGCAGAGGAGCGATGGGAGCTGACCATCTGAGGTGGTGGCTGCTGTGCTCAGGCCTGACAGTGGGGGACCAGGACAAGAGTGGGAGGCAGCGTGGAGAGTGGAGCACGCGCTGTGTGGATGGGGACGGGTGTGGACTGCGTTGGGAAAGTGCCGAGGGCCTGCCTGTGGACATGAGAGGATTCAGCAATGGCTCTGAGGCTCGGGACCTGAGCACCTATTTAGTACCATTTGTCAAACAAACTGGGCCACTTTTGAAAGTGAAGGGTGGCTCTATTAATAGAAATTCATCTGGGACTGCAGATGTAAACAAGGACTTTCACAGGCAAAGAGGTGCTTACGCTGTGTCTGGTGGGAGGACTTAGGGAGGAGTCCCCTCAGACCCACTGACTTGCTCTGAGCGGAAGCATGGGCACAGCTACACAAACAGCACCTCAAGCATGGGGAACACGAAACAGGCCAGGGGCCCAGCGTGGGCTGCAGAGGCCGCCCGTGGATGGAAATGGGGCGGGGGGAATGGGGGATCCTTCGGGAGACCTGTCTTTGAGTCTTGTGTCTCGGGTAAGGCAAGCGCGCTTACAGTTAAATACATTTCCTTTTTTAAAAAAATTTTCCCTGGGATTGTTAAATTTGCTTTAGCAAACTTGTAAAGAGGAACATCATTATATAGGATGTCAGTGGGATGGCAGGAGTAGGTAGAAGTCTAAAACCACACAAAGGGGCCAAAAGGGAAACATTTTGCACTGGCCTGTCTCGTCTGTTACCTCCCAGCCCAATTCCCTAAGCTCCCGCCAGTGTTAGGACACTGAGGATGTGAAAATGAGAAAACAAAAGCCTGTATTACAAGAATCCACTTGGGATTAGGCACTTAACATATCTAATTTTCACAAATATCAGAGGTCATTTTATTATCCCCATTGTTCAGGTGGGGAAACTTCAGCCAAAAACAAAACAGAAAACAACCCTAGAACCTTGCCGGGAAGAATTCAACTGATGCCAAAGCTCTTTCACAACATCAGTAGCTCCTGATGTGCCATCTGCATCCTCTAACTGTCGTGATGGGGTTTTTTTTGTTTGTTTTGTTTTGTTTTTTTTGAGACGGAGTCTCGCTCTGTCGCCCAGGCCGGACTGCGGACTGCAGTGGCGCAATCTCGGCTCACTGCAAGCTCCGCTTCCCGGGTTCACGCCATTCTCCTGCCTCAGCCTCCCGAGTAGCTGGGACTACAGGCGCCCGCCACCGCGCCCGGCTAATTTTTTGTATTTTTAGTAGAGACGGGGTTTCACCTTGTTAGCCAGGATGGTCTCGATCTCCTGACCTCATGATCCACCTGCCTCGGCCTCCCAAAGTGCTGGGATTACAGGCGTGAGCCACTGCGCCCGGCCCGTGATGGTTTTTGAAACAATGGTTCAGAATGCTGACCACTCTGGAGAGGGCTGCAGCAGCAAGCCTGGGACTGAGTTTCTGGCCTCATAGAATGTTCCATGAGAGACCCTCTCTGACTGACGAGAGGTGTAAGTTGTCTCTCAGGCTAAGTGAGATTTGGAGGGCTGAATGCAGGCATCCCCGCTCTGCTCATGTCCCATGTTCCAGATGTCTTCTGGACACCAGCCAGTGGATGTCATAGGATGGATTCACTTCTTTGTTGATGTATTCATCCAGTGTGTTATGCTGGCAATGTACTAGGTCCAACTAAGAAGCAGTTGGCTCCTTGGCGATGGAGTCATTGATTCATTTGTTCAAGTATTCTTTGAATAGATACCAAAGACTTAACATGTGCCAGGCCCGGAGTAGACATGACAGCCACCCTTTTGCACAGCTGCTGCCTTCAGAGGGTTTGCACCCTAGTGGGTGAGATGGACACTTAGCCCCTGTGTGTGGGTGAGAAATGCTGAGCATGAGCAGAGCCCAGGGTGGGTGGTATCTACCCAGCCAGGGAATAGGCAAGGCTCCTTCCCTGAGGGGTCACAGATATGTGTTACATGATTGAAGCCGTGTGGGGATGTGGGCAGGGGAAAGGAGGGTGTGTAGAAGGTTCCAATCTGGCTGGGTGCGGTGGCTCACACCTGTAATCCCAGCACTTTGGGAGGCTGAGGCAGGCAGATCACGAGGTCAGGTTATCGAGACCATCCTGGCTAACATAGTGAAACCCCATCTACACTAAAAATACAAAAAATTAGCTGGGCGTAGTGGCAGGCACCTGTAGTCCCAGCTACTCAGGAGGCTGAGGCAGGAGAATGGCGTGAACCCGGGAGGCAGAGCTTGCAGTGAGCCGAGATTGTGCCACTGCACACCAGCCTGGGTCACAGAGCGAGACTCCATCTCAAAAAATAAAAATAAAAAAAAGAAGGTTCCAATCTGACTGACCCCATCCTGTCAGCAGAGAACAACTGAGGCCCAGCCCTCTACATCTGCATGTTTCCTCATCCTGCCTGACTCCTTTGATGAAGGCAGTTTGGATCTTGGGTGCCATGATGGTAAAAGCTAAGTTTGTGAACTTTGCGTCTTGGGAGCCAAGGGCAATATCCTGTGTATGAGCCTAGAGGAAGAGAACGCACTTGGGGAGGAAGAGCCCCAACCCCGCTGTACATCGGACAGCGAACAGCACACAAGGCGTGGGCCGGGATCAGGAGGGCAGTTCCATTCCTGGCTGTGCTGATTACTCACCCTGTGGCCATCTCTTTGGGGGCCACCATAAAATGATAGATTTGCACTGTGTTGTCTCTGAGTTTCCTTGGAACCTAGACATTTCATTTGACTCAGATTCATATAAAGTAACCAGCCACCTCGTGGACAATTTTAGCCTTGCTCCCTGAGGTAGCACTTTGAAGACAGGTGTCTGAGGCCCTCTCAGAGACTTTTGGAATTTCATTATATGGTCTAGCCACACTCGCACTTCCAAGTAGGTCCTATATTGGGACTAAGAGTCTCATTAGCAGAAGATTCCTGGGTTCCAAGATGCCCTGAGACTTCTCTCCAACTGGAAAAAGGTTGCTGAACAAATGAAATTGATCTTTGATTTTTCTCCCCCTTGATTATGTCATATGACAACATAATTCTTGGGTATTCAGAGGCATCCTGAACTTGGGTCAGGGTGTACCTGTCAGTCTTATTTGTTCAGTGTCCTGTAAGTCAGACACATTTTTCTGTGTTTCTTCATTCCCACAGTCCTGGTCGCACATATACTCTGAGACGCAGAAGAATGAAGAGTTCCTTAATGTGGTCCCTTGAGTCATTGCTCTCTGACAAACCAGTCCCATTATCTTCCTCAGTTTTGTTTCCTCTCTTTCTTGAAAGATAATTTTTCTGGGTATATAATTTTAGGTTGGCGAGTATTTTCTCTTGGTGTCATTAACATGTTATTTCACTAACTTTGGCTTCTATGTTGAGAATTCAGCTGTCACTCCAGTGTTTGGCGCTTAGAATGGAATTGAAGTCTGGGCCACAGACCACAAAGTGCAGAGTGGGCAGGCTTCTGTGGTCCCCCAGTCCAGTTTCTCGGTGCTTCTTCACTCCTGGCCACACTGGCTGCTTTGCTGTTTCCTGGCCATGGCAAGCATGTGGTGTGGCCCCAGGGCCTTTGCCCATGCTGAATCCCCTGACTGGGACACTACTGCAGCTGAACCATGGTAAAGGTGGACAGAGAAAACATGCAGCATTCTTTGGAGAAGTTCTGCTGTAACGTGGCAGAGAAATGGGGTGACTGCAGAGGTAGCTGAAGGGAGGGTGTCTTTCTGTGTGTGACCATGTGTGATGTGGACAGCTGTACCGCCTGACGGGACTGACCTGGTGCAGCAGGACAGATGGGATGCAGGTGGCGCAGCTGCAGGCAGCAGGTGGGGTGGCCCCTGCAGCTCCCCCTGTAGGTGCCTGCCTTCCTCTGCATCTTGCAGAGTCCCTCCTCTGGTGGTCAGCCAGTTCGCATAATCCCATCCCCAACTTAATTCGATGAAGCCAGTAGCCAGAAGTGCACCTGCACTGACACTTCATTTCTAGAACATTTCCTTTGGGAACATTCCAACCACGACCCAAATGCCGCCCCTCCAAGCCCCCAGCCCTCTCCCTGCTTTCCCCCAGAGTCCTGAACTTCAAGTTCTAGGGCACCCCAGCCAGCTTAGGCTCCCCTCACACAGCTTGTTCCACACTTCAGCCCACCAAGTCTTCTGTGGCCTCTCGGGGCCCTCTCCCTCCTGAGCAGTCCAATTTGTTCTAAAGTTATATGTTGGATGATTATGGTTTATGAGCCCTGACCCACGAGCCCTTTCCCCCAGGGTCTCTGGGGGAGCTGGCCTGAAAAGCTTCCACAAAAAGCAGGAGGCCATGTTCTGCCCTCCCTGAGTGGCGTCAGTGCCCTGGGCACAAGGGCTCCCCCTGCCGGCTGCCCCCAGCTCCTGTGCAGCCCTCTGCTGACAGTGGAGAGGCCTCCCCACCATTCAGCAGGCTGCCCCCAGTGCATTCAGCAGGTGCGCCTGCAGCGTGGAGGTGTGCAGGCAGGTGCAGTTCATGACCAAAGGATGGTCGTGCTGTTTCTTAGTCAAGCTCATAGAAGCCCAGGCTCACTGTGGATCCATTCTCGCCCCACTCGGATCGCAGGCAGCAGTCCTCTCAAGGCTCTGCCTGAGCACAGATGACTTCAGAACCCTTATCCGTGTGCAGTCTGGGGGACACCTGGTGGACAGCCTTTTGGGAGGATGTTTGATGTGCTACTTAGACTCCACGAAGGTCCCTTTGGAAGACTCATCCTGCAGGTCCACTTTACTGGAGAAGGCACCAGTCTCATCAATGGCCAATCCACGGAGCATCATTTCCCAGCTTTTTCATTATTCTCAGGATGCTACCAGCCCAGCCCTCCTGAGAGGTTCAACGACTGTGGATGGAAGAGGGGAGCCCTCATTAAAAGAAGACGTTCCCAGCTGCCATCCAGAGCTCATCACACCAAGTCTTTGGGGGCTGTGGGGCAGCTGGGCAGCGTTCTTTGCATTTCTTTGCTCCAGCCTTGGTGCAGGTGGAGGGAGGTGAGCAGAAGATACTTTCCCATTGTGCCTTCTGCATCTGTGAGCTGTGCAGCCCTGGGGAAGGCACCAGGCCTTTCTGAATATCTCTCCCCACCCGTAAGATGGGCATGATACTCCCTGCCTGTATCCCTGTCAGAACTGCTGGGAGGACTGATTGGAGAAAACTTTGCCCTAGATTAGCAATTAAATTTTCGCTAAGGAGCCAGATAGTAAATGCCATAAGAAGGCCGGGCGCAGTGGCTCACGCCTGTAATCCCAGCAATTTGGGAGGCCAGGGCGGGTGGATCACCTGAGGCCAGGAGTTCAAGGCCAGCCTGGCCAACGTGGTGAAACCCCTACTAAAAAATACAAAAATTAGTTGGGCATGGTGGCATGCACCTGTAACCCCAGCTACTCGGGAGGCTGAGGCAGGAGAATCGCTTGAACCCGGGAGGCAGAGGTTGCAGTGAGTCAAGATGGCGCCATTGCACTCTAACCTGGGCAACAGAGTGAGACTCTGTCAAAAAAAAAAAAAAGAAAAAAAAAAAAGGAAATTCCATAAGGTCTTTGTCAAGGCTGCTGAGCCTGAATAAGTCCAGTAAGGTAATGCACCCCACTGGCAGATGAGTGGAGAAAGAAAAACACACTAAGGTCTCATTAGACACAGAAAAGGCATTTCACGCAATCTAGTACATGAACATTCATTTCAAAACTTCTCACACGCTAGTACTAGGTGGATAAAATTGTCCACTTACAACCTGCGGGAAACATTCTCCTTAAGCCAGGGGACAATGAAGCCATGCCATGTAACATGATGGCAGCAGGGTGCTTGTGGCTGGAGCGGGAGGGCTGGGGCGGGGAGCAGTGAGGCAGAGATTTGGTTGGTTGCTTGGTTGGTTTTAAATAAACCTTTACCACCCATGCACCTGGGAAACACTTAATCGTGGCTCACACCAGCCAGCTCTCCTCACCTAGTTGCAGACAGCACCCCAGGTCTGCTGTGGGCAGCAGAGTTTGGCAGGATGCTGACCCTCACCTTGACCCTGACCCCTCCAGTCCTCCACCCTCTGTCTCTCCTCTCCCAGCCCTGCCTCCATACCACCCACAGCTCCAGGAAAGGGGCCCCTGTCCTGAGCTGGGCTCCAGGCATTCAGAGGTGGGTTGGACCCACCCTTGGCCTTTGCAGAGCTCCCAGGCCACTGGCAGGGCTAGTGCTCGTAGAGAGGGAGGCCCTAACCAAAGGGACCAGAACAAGAGGGACGAGACCGCCTTGCTGGACTGAAGTGGAAAGCGTGCTGGGAGGGCTCAGGTGGAAAGGCAAGCTGTGCCAGAGCAGGACAGTGGCCATGGTGCCTGTGAAGGAAGATGCGCGCCTTCTCACTGCTGCACACACCAGCGCTGACTCCTACAAGCTGGGGTGTGTGGCAACATTCTTCTGGAAGAAACCACAGCAACTGTTAGTAGTTGCCCCAGACTGAGGGCTGAGGCTGGGTCGAGTGAGGGTTTTCCGTTTCATCAGGTGCCCTTCTAATCTCGCTTAAATTTTCTAAACCTGCTTGAGACCCTCTTTATTTAGTTGCTAATATCAACAAAATATATCTGAGTAGCAAGATTAAGCTCCGTTTTTTTGTTATTTATACTTCATAGTGTTTAAAAAACTAATAAAAGTAATATTAAGCCAGGTGTGGTGGTTCATGCCTGTAATCCCAGTGATTTGGGAGGCTTGCTTGAGCCCAGGAGTCCAAGACCAGCCTGGGTAACATAGCAAGGCCCCGTCTCTACAAAAAGAATTTTTAAAAAATTAGTCCCCACTACTCAGGAGGCTGAAGCAAGAGGATGGCTTGAGCCCAGGAGTTCGAGGCTGCAGTGAGCTATCATGCCACTGCACTCCAGCCTGGGCAGCAGAATGAGACTCTGTCTCTAAAAAATTTAAAAAGTAGTGTTATACAATTTTTTTTTTTTTGAGACAGAGTCTCGCTCTGTTACCCAGGCTGGAGTGCAGTGGCACAATCTCTGCTCACTGCAACCTCCAACTCCCGGGCTCAAGCGATTCTCCTGCCTCAGCCTCCCAAGTAGCTGGGATTACAGGCGCCTGCCACCACGCCTGGCTAATTTTTGTATTTTTAGAAGAGACGGGGTCTCACCATGTTCGAGGAGGTCACCTCGAACTCCTGACCTCAGGTGATCTGCCCACCTCGACCTCCCAAAATGCTAGGATTACAGGCGTGAGCCACTGTGCCTGGCCACAAATTTTTTAAAATAAACGTTAGAGGTAAAACATGTAAGCATTCAGGTGCTTCAACTTTAGTCTCATTTCCAGGAGTCCATCTAAAGAAAGAGGGGCCGGGCCAGAGTGCTCAGCAGCAGTCCCCATCCGCACACCTCCAGGACAAGCGCCACAGTGTCGCGATCACAGTTGCTGGCTGAGGGAAAATGTCTCGTGCACTTTATTCAGGGTCTTCACAGCTCCCCATGAGGCAGATGCCAGCGTCGCTCTCTGCGGGCTCCCCTTAAGGCCCCCGGTTCCAGAACAAACCGCTGCTCTCCTCACAAGGACAAGAGACTCCCCTGCTCTCCCGCCACTTCAGGAGACAGTGGGCACCTGAGGGGGCTGAGATTTGGAGAAACGGCCCCCCTTTCCTGAGCTGGCAGGGCTGGGAGTGGCTGCACCTCATAGACCAATTCCAGGAGTAGGACCCATGAGTCCTCTTCTGGTCCCAGACCCAAGCTAGCTTCTCCAACCCAGCTTTCCCGTGAACAGGATGGCCAGGCTGTGGCTCTGCGGTCTTCCCAAGGGAAGGAGGAGGCAGGGGGCTTGCACACCCCCAGGCTTCGCCCTACTCCTCCCCGCCTGACCTCTCTTGCCTGCACCGTGGGCTGGCGGGTTGGTCCCCACCAGGATGCCACAGCACCTCCTCCAGGGCAGGGACCACACTCTCCCCGGTATCCCCAGCACCTAGCGAGAGTGTTTCCAACCAAGCGTTTGCTAAACTGAACCCAGAGCCAGAAAGGAGCTTGGAAAAACTCACATGCCTGGGGCAGCCCAACCTCAGGTGAGGGGAGCGGGGGGCTTGACTGTCCCGCTCTGGCAGGAACGGATGCCCAGTGTGGTCACATCATCTGATTTCCATGTTAGGAATCCTCTTGTGTGTGTGTGTGTGTGTGAAACCTTATTTTTGAACATTGGTAACTTATTTTAACACTGATTGATTGATTGAGTTTTAAGCGATTGGCTCGTGTGATTGTGGGGACTGGTAAGTCCAAACTCTTAGGGCAGGCTGGCAGGCCTGAGACTCAGGGAATAGCTGATATCTCAGGCTTGAGTCCACACGGTGCAGGCTGGAAACTGAGTCAGGCTTTCTGTATTGTGCTCTCGAGGCAGAATTCCTTCTGGAAACCTCAGTTTCAACGGATTGGACGAGGCCTACCCACACTATGGAAGGTCATCTGTTTTATTCAAAGTCCACTAGTTAAATACTAATGACACCCAAAAATATCTTCACAGCGGCATCTAGATGAGAGTTTGAACAAACAACAGGGCCAATAGCCTATCCAAGTGGACAGATAACATTCACCATTCAGCTGCCAATGAGCAACTGCCGGATGGGCACTGCCCATCCTCACAACAATCCTTGGGGTAGGAGCATGTGCACCCCATCCATTTTACAGATGAGAAAACTGGGCTTAGAGAGGTCCCCAGCCAGCACATGGCTGAGCCAGACTTGGACCCCATCCTCTGCTCCAGGCCTCAGCCTGCACCCCCACCCCAGGGTGTTGACCTTGGCAGCACTGGGAGACTCGCTGCGAGGGCAGAAGCGGCAAATGTGGGGTGTGCCGACTGCAGACTTAACAGGACTTCCACAGGCTGCAGTGCCCAGCCTCTCTCCCTCCTCCTCTCAACTCCTCCTCCTCCAGGTTCTCCAACAGGCCTTCCCTTTGTGGGCACCCAAGACCCAGACAGGGGAGCTGACTATGGAGACTGCCTCGCCTGGGTCAGGACCCCCAGTGCACATGGCCACTCGGGGGTGGGAAGAACTGTCTCTCCAGGAACTGGCTGGATGGGTCTGGGAGATGGAGACCCCGTGTTTTCACAGGGCTCCTGATTTCTCCCCATGTGAGTTTCTTAGTCTAAATAGAAATGTTTTAAAACCCCTGGTGTTCTAATGTGCCCAGCATGCACTGTGCACGCCTAGGAATCTGGGCACCTTGGTGTGAGAATGTGGGCTCTGTGGGTTCAGAGTCCTGGAGGTGATCTCATCTGAATCCCTTGTTTTACAGATGAAGAAAGTGGCCCTAGAGGAAGGAAAGGGCCCCAGAGTCACTCAGGAAGTCAGTGACCCAGGGGCTGGGCAGGCTGCTCACCTGAGGCCAGTACCCTGCACCAGCCAGCCCTGTGCTCACAGGCAGGGGGCCCCGTTCCTGCCACCACCGGGACACTTGAGATGTCCCTGTGCTTCTACTTAAAATGAAGGTCACAGGGAGGAATTCATGTCCATGCCAGAGGGATCTGATGAGGAAAGACATTTGAAGCCTTTTTGGTTTTAATTTTTTTGTAGAGATGGGGTCTTGCTATGTTGCCCAGGCTGGTCTTGATCTCCTGGGCTCAAGCCATCCTCCTGCCTCAGCCTCCCAGAGTGTTGGGATTACAGGCACGAGCCACTGCATTGGCCTGAAGGACATTAGCATGTTAGATGGGCATCTGCCAGGCCTGGGTCAGCACATGCAGGAAGGTGCTCTGAGTCCCCTATGCTTCAAAGCAGAGTGCTCTCCACCACAGGCAGTCCTGGACTTGGACCCAGTCTCCCCAGATTGTCAGGGGTTTTCTGGTACTCTGTCACCTGGAAGTCTTGACTCACAAAAGAAATCAACTCAACAGAGATGATGGTGTGGCCTTGAGGAAGGCCTTGAGTGAGAAGGCAGGAGTAGTGGGGACCCGCAGATCTGGGGGGCTGTGGAACATGGAACCCTGGCCCAAAAAAGGTGGTTGGAAGACACTATGCAACCTGCTGCATCTCCTTTGAGAAGGTGGGCTTTTTCTTTCTGTTCAGGCACTTTGCCAGCGTTTAATATTTCATGTCCATCACCAAAGCCACTCTACAGCAGCTCACAGGGGTGCAGAATCACAGACTTCCAGCTTTAGGAAATATCTAAATTCCTCATCCCGCTCTCTGTCCCCCACCATCCACATCCCCCTGACTCCCGCCACATGGAGCTGCTTCCCTATCCCACAGCTTCTGCCCCTGCTGCAATCTCTCCAGATGTGCCACACTCTGTCCCAGCTCCAGTCCCTGTCGCCCCTGTGAGAATGTCCTGAGACCGGAGCACACATCAGAATCCCCTGACAGGTTTCTCTGGCCCCTCTCCCAGCCTTCCCTGCAGTGGATGCCCTGCCTCAGGGTTGTTCTAGCTCAGGGGATGCCGGCCCTGCTGTTCTGGTGTAGCAGGAGGAGCCACAGACAAAACTCCTCAGACACTGGATTAAAGAAGGAAGAGGTTTATTCAGCCGGGAGCATCAGCAGACTTGCGTCTTAAGAGCCGAGCTCCCGGAAAAAGAAATTCTTGGCCCTTTTAAGGGCTTACACCTCTAAGGGGCCCACGTGAAAGGGTCATGATAAATCGAACAAGCATGGGGAACGTGACTGGGGGCTACATGAATCAGCTAACAGAACAGAAAATTTTGCAATGCTTTTTCCTACAATGTCTGGAATTTACAGATAATACAAGTAGTTTAAGTCAGGGGTCGATATTATTATTATTACTTTTTTTAACTACCAGGGCCAGGTGGTGGTGCCAAGGTCTTCTGGCTATTTATCTTACTTCTGTTTTTTTTTTTTTTTTTTCTAACTTTTTGCTTTCTCTCTTTCCTCCTGTCTTGTAAACTAGGCAAGGTCGGGGGAGGAGGGCAGCAAGAGTAGTAGTGGTCTCCTTCCTTACTGGGACCACGCTCTGAAGACCATTCATCCAAGCAAGCCCCTTTGTCTAGCAAACACCTTCTGCTCCTTCAAGTCTCATCTGAAGCACCACCTCCTCCAGGAAGCCTCCCTGACGTTCCTGCCTGGGTAGCCGCTCCATGGGGCTCCCACAGCACACCACTGTCACACTGCACTGTCACCATCCGCTGCTTCTCAATGTCCTTGACTGAACTGGTAGCTCCTCGAGGGACAGGATGAACCAGTCACACAGCTCCTCTCCAAAGAGCTCCCAGCAGAGAAGGCAGCTGGGAGCGAGGAAGGAGGGAGCAGCAGGTGCTTCGAGCGCCACTGGGTGGCCGACACCTGCCAGGCACCTCACACGCTCCGCTGCAGTTCATCCTGCACTTTACTTACCCTTGAGTCCCCCTATCTCTGATCATTGTCACTGGTTCCTAGGAAACTGACACTCGGGTCACAAAACTTGTCCAAGGTGTCACAGAACAAATAAAGGACAAAGCCAGGGACCAAACTAAAGTCAACCTCTGCCTTTCTACAATGCCAGGCTGCTCACCGTCAAGCAACTTGGCGGTGTCACCGAACTCTGCACCGGTGTACTGAGGTGAACAGCATCCCCCAAAATTCATGTCCTTCCCAGGACCTCAGAATCCAGCCTTCTTTGCAAATCAGATCATTGTGAAAGTTCTAAGTTAAAACGGGGTCATGCTGGGGTAGGGAGGGTCCTTAATTCAATATGACTTGTGTCCTTCTGAGACACAGAGGCACATGGGGGGCCAAGTGACAACAGAGGCAGCGATTGGAGTGCAGGGCCACAGGCGGAGGAAGGCCGCCAACCACCGGAGCTGGGGACGGGCAGGGAACAGAGTCCTGCTCTGAGGCCCCAGAAGGAGCAACCCTGATGACGCCTTCATTTCTGCCTTCTCGGCTCCAGAACCAAGAGGGAGCCCATTGCTGGTGTTTTCGGCCCTCCAGTTTGTGGTGATTTGTTCCACAGCCCCTAAAAAACAAATACTACCGGTTGGGAATACTCAGTCACCAGCAACAAGAATCCCCACAGCGTCTCCACGTGGCTGCACGTAGCCGAGGGAGATCACGCCCAGGATTCCTGCAGGAAGAAAGCAGACGGCTGAGAGCCTCCTCTTTGTATTCGGCAAGACCAGGCTCCGTAGCCCTCAGGGAAACATTCGACCACAACTGTGGTGTGTGGGCCCCGCTGTTTGCTAGAGAGCCTGAGAGATGAGTCATTGGTTTCTAGCCTGGAGAAAGACGCCTGCGAGGCGAGACTGTCAGGGTCTCTGCCGCCCTCCCCAGGAGCTGTGTCCCTGAGGTGAGACGCCACCCCTGCCCTCACAGCTACCCGGTGCATGACCCCTGTGTCCAGCCTGTCCCTGAGAAACTGATTTCCTCACCTCTCTCAGCCTCCTCCCTCATCAAATATTTGTCGGAGGCATTATCAAGGATCAAACCGGTTTGATCCAGTGCAGTGCAGGAAACGCGGGCAGGGTGGAGGGGCCTGGGCTTGTTGACCAAGTTCCTCGCTGTGAGCCTCGGTTTCCCCTTCTGCAAAGTGTGGAGATCTCATCAGGTGATGAGTGAGGCCCCTCCTCCTCCTTCAGTTTCCTGCTCCTGCCCAGGCCTCCGCCAGCTCCCAGTGTCCTTGGGCGAGTGCTGCGGGGACCCTGAACCGCACATGGCTGGGGGCTCCTCACCCTGCAGCCCCTCACTGCCTCACCGTGCACATCCGCGTCTCACACCAGCGGCCATGTGGGCCTCAAAAGGGCAAACCTGACGGTGCCTCTTGTGGCTGATAACTCTCCAGACCATTGACCTGGCACAACAGGATCACCTGGGAGGTGCTGGGCCAGCCCAGCCACTGAACGGGCAGCTCTGCCTGGGTGCGGCCCAGCAAGAGCTAGTTCTTAAAATCACCTAGGAGCTCGGACGTGTGGCTGGCTCTGCGAGGCCCAGAACTACAGGATCAAGCCCCTGAGGGGCCTTCCCTGGTTGGTGCCCTCCTCCCCCTCCAGCCCATCTCCACCCTGGACCCCCGCTGCCCATCCCAACTTCTTGATTCCCCAGAGCACTGACTGGTTGTTTGTGCCTTGTTCCTCACTGTCCCACATCCCAAGGCACCGACTCCTCCAAGCCTGCCTCCCACTCCACTCCCACTTCACTCTCCCCATGCCCTTCCCGGGCATGAGTTCCTCCACCCCCCAGCACAGGCCCCGCCCTCCTCCTGGCCTCTCTGCTTCTCCCCTTCCCAGTCACCTCTTCCTTGCCACCTCCTCCATGCACATGGCGCCCTCTGTGGCTGGTACTCCCTGACACCAGGATCCCAGCCTCGTTCATCGTGCATCCCCCAGCCCAGCACAGGGACTGGAGAGCTTGGATCAACTTACAGCTCCCACCTGCTTGGGCCGGTGCTGGATCCTGGGCTACACTCGAGGGGCCGTCTGTCGCATCTGCTGAGCACAGATGTCTGGAGAAGGCCCCATCTGATCCAGATTCCAGAGGACAGAGGAGTCACTTCCAGAGCTGTTCCCATGACACTCAGGACAGGCTGGGCAGGCCAAGCCTCACCTGCCCCACTGCATAGCTTGTGTTTTCCTGAAACCTCCTGATCCCCACCTGGGCCCGACTGACTGGGGATGTCTCCTGCCTGCCCATCTCCGTGGTGATAGGGCGGCCTTGCCGAAACAAGGCCACATCCTGGCCTTCCCGGGGGTTGACTGCTGGGCCCCTTCCTGTCAGCGGTTGCTCTTTACCCTGGTTAACATGTAGAAGCTCGTGGTTCGAGCTCTTCATCTGGCCTCTTTTTTTTTTTTTTTTTTTGAGACAGAGTCTGGCTGTCGCCCAGGATGGAGTGCAGTGGTGCGATCTCAGCTCACTGCAACCTCCACCTCCCAGGCTTAAACGATTCTCCTGCCTCAGCCTCCCGAGTAGCTGGGATTACAGGCACGCGCCACCATGCCTGGCTAATTTTTGTACTTTTAGTAGAGACAGGGTTTTGCATGTTGGCCAGGCTGGTCTCGAACTCCTGATCTGAAGTGATCCACCTGCCTTGGCCTCCCAAAGTGCTGGGATTACAGGCGTGAGCCACTCCCAGCTGCCTCAAGGGCAACTCCCCGCATGGCAATAATCACGACCCCTACAGCAACATTCCTGAATAAAGTCAGAATAATTTTCTCTTTAACTGGTCCTCTGACTCAGAGGTCTGTGTTGAACCCTTTCTTGGAAAATGCCACCTCCCTCCTGAGAAGAGTCTCCAAGGGGGCTTGTCCTCAGAGTTACCCAGGTGAGCTACTCCAGCAGGGGCAGCCCTGGTGGTTTGGTGACACTCCAGTGGCCTGAACGGGTGGGGGAGTGCAGCAGTTTCCACCCGATGGATGTCCTGATCCTTCCTCCCACAGCGGTGAAAGATTAAAGTGAATAGTCGGGCATGGTGGAGCGCCCCTGTAGTCCCAGCTACTGGAGAGGCTGAGGTGAGAGGATCACTTAAGCCCAGGAGTTGGAGGCTATAGTGAGCTGTGATTGAGCCACTGCACTCCACCCTGGGTGAGAAAGCAAGACACTGTCTCTAAAAGTAAATAAATGGGGCCAGGCACGGTGGCTCATGCCTGTAATTCCAGCACTTTGGGAGGCCGAGGTGGGCAGATCACTTGAGGTTAGGAGTTCAAGACCAGCCTGGCCAACATGGTAAAACCCCATCTTTACTAAAAATACAAAAATTAGCTAGACAAGGTGGTGCATGCCTATAATCCCAGCTACTCAGGAGGCTGAAGCAGGAGAATCACTTGAACCAGGAGGCAGGGGTTGCAGTGAGCCAAGATCGTGCCACTGCACTCCAGCCTGGGTGATAGAGCGAGACTCCGTCTCAAAAAATAAATAAAAATAAATAAATAAATAAAAATTTTAAAACAAAGTGATGACCGGACTGGCCAACATGGTGAAACCCCCAAAAAATTAGCCTGGTGTGGTGGTACATGCCTGTAGTCCCAGCTACTCGGGAGGCTGAGGCTGGAGAATCACTTGAAACCGGGAAGTGGAAGTTGCAGTGAGCCGAGATCACACCACTGCACTCCAGCCTGGGCAACAGAGTGAGACTCCATCGCAAACAAACAAACAAACAAACAAAAAATATATGTGTGTGTATATCTATATATATATGTGTGTGTATATACATATGTGTGTGTGTATATATGTGTGTGTGTATATATGTGTGTATACATATATGTGTATATATGTGTATATATATGTGTGTGTGTGTGTGTGTATATATATATCTATATAACGCAGTGAATGCCCTTCCTGAGGAGCACTGCCTCTGGGGTAGGGAGCCTCCTTCTCTCTCCCACTTCTCTGGCTGGGGTGGTATGATGGTGGCCTGTGCTGTGCGACCTTATCCCAAGAGGGAACTGCCCAGCTCAGGAGTGAGCAGAATGGACCTGTCCCTGCTCCCCAAGGGGTCACCAGTGGGGCCAGTCTGAGCCTCCACTGCAGGACACCTGGGCAGAGGCAGTGTGTTCTGAGAAAGCCGGCTCTTGTGAGACCTGCTGCTGCCATCGTGCACCAAGGTTTTTCTATGTTGAGCCACAGCCCCGTGGGGAGAGTCTCGGCCCATGTGCTGGTGGAGGCTGTGTTGGGAGAGGTTAGGGAACTTGCTGGAGGCTGACACTCTGGAAGATCTCTGCTGAGAGAGAGGCCTTTGAGTGTGGGCCTACTTTGACCGGGGCAGGATGTGAACACAGGCCCCTACCTCCATGCTCTCCAGGACTCGCTCAGCCTCCCAAGCACAGACCCTCTGAGTACCTCCGCTATAGAGACGGGGAGGGGTGTGACTGTCCCTGACTCTGCCCAGAGTCCCAGGAGCCTTTGTGCCGTCTAAGCCCTGTGGGTGATTTGGGTTTGGTAAGTGCCGGGGCTCAAAAAACAACACCCCAACGTGGAAGCCTCAGAAACAAAAGTTTCTCTGTCCTGCTCCCACCCTCCTGTCTCCAGCTCCTCCTCCTCTGAGAGGCTTCCCCAAACCCTGCCATAAAACCCAGAAATATGACTCCAGTTCTCCACTCCCTCCCCTTTCTGTGTAGAAACCAGCCTAAAGAAACCCTCTGGCCTGCTTTATTTGACTGTAGGTCATAAGAGCTCCATTCCAGAAAGAGTCCTGCCCCACACCTAGAAGGAAGGAGAGCTGCTCAGAGAGGCCCCAGGGAATCTGACTCAACAGGCCCTACCAGGCTCTCCTCTTGGTCTGTGAGCATCCAGCCTTACTTTTGTATCCAATCATATTTCCATACTTCGCTGAACTGTGTTTATGGATAGTTTCCACCAGATCTTTGGATCTTCATCTTGAAGGCTGCCGTGCCACATAAGCTATGATCAAATACATCTGTTATGCTCTTCTCCTATTCATCTGCCTTCTGCCCGTTGATTTTCAGCAAACTCCCAGAGGATGAAGGGGAGTTTTCTGTTTGGCCCCACAGGGGAGGAGCGAGCGAGATTGACGTGGAAGCTGGGCCTCTGAAGGACACAGAGTGCTCTAAGAAAGGGACGATGGGGCAGATCCATGTTCACAAACACGCCCATGTGAATTCACTCTCAGATGTCTCCTCGTGTCAGCACGCTGGGTGCCAGCACGCTCTGATATTGACACAAAGGGCCACGGAGTCACCACTCACTCCACACACACTCACCCCGTGCCCACTTACCCAGGGAGGGCCAGGAATGAGGATGCCACTGTGGCTCAGTGATGGCGCCGAGACACAGGTGAACACTGTAAAATGTGGATGCCTGGAGGCAGCCCACACCCTGGGCCTTGGCTGGGGGAAAGGTTCCAGAAACGTCATCACAACGATGCATTTCATCAGAACTGAGCACATGAATGGGGAGGGGCAGGACTTCCTGAATGTCCCAACCCCACTGTCCCACCCTCTGTGTCAATATGAGGCTGCCTTATAAAGCACCAAGAGGCTGCCAGTGGGACATTTTCTCGGCCCTGCCAGCCCCCAGGAGGAAGGTGGGTCTGAATCTAGCACCATGACGGAACTAGAGACAGCCATGGGCATGATCATAGACGTCTTTTCCCGATATTCGGGCAGCGAGGGCAGCACGCAGACCCTGACCAAGGGGGAGCTCAAGGTGCTGATGGAGAAGGAGCTACCAGGCTTCCTGCAGGTGAGCCAGGCCGGCAGTGCTGGACTCAGCGGGGGCTGGGGAAGAAGGGGAAGGCGTGGCAGGCAGAGGGCTGAGAGCTGCGGTGGGGTCGGCGGTCAAGGGGCTCAGAGGCAAGAGGGACAGATCCTGAAATGCCCTGGAAGCCCAGCCAAGGAACGGACCCACCCTGGCATAAAGGCAGGGGAGGCGGGAGCATCTGAGCAGGGAGAGGGTGTGGTCAGCTTGATCCTTGAAACATGGGGTTGACCCCAGTGTATTTGTGACAGGCCTGGTGGGAGAGTGGGACTCAAACCTGTGCAGTGGGGGCAGGGGCGGAATGCAATCCAGGGCTGCCATTTGCAAGTTTGCCAAGCTTGCCAAGCCCTTGAGCCCTCGGGGCTGTCCTCCAAGGCTGCCGGCCATAAACGCCCCAGCTCTGCCTCCCACTTGCCCGCTTTCCCTGCTCCCATTCCCAGGCCCCTTGTTGCCTGGTATTAGTGGGTCTGGCAGGAAGGACGGGAGGAGGCTCCATCCTGGCACCTGTCTGCGCAGAGCTGTGGACCTCCCTTGGGCTCCCTGCCAGGGAGGAGCCACCGGCCTGAGCCTCACAGAAGGCCCCTCAGGGCGGCCAGGACCAGCTTCCTTCCGCCCGGGGCAGCCTCCGGCTGGGCTGAACAGAAGCCGTACCCTCTCCATTTCCCCTTCCCTTTGACCCCTGTCCTCTCCTTCTTTCTCACTCCCCCACTTTCTTCCTTCCTTCCCCTCCCCTTCGGGCCCCACCAGACTCTGCCTACCTGCTAAGGGGCTAACCCACATAGATGCTGATAATCAAAAATGAAAGCCTGAAATTTTCAGCCCTAGAATCACTTCAAAGACATGAAACACTTCAGAATATTGCTTCTATTTTCTTTTCTTTTCTTTTTTTTTTTTTTTGAGACAAGATGTCACTCTGTCACCCAGGCTGGAGTGCAGTGGCAGGATCACGGCTCACTGCAGCCTCGACCTCCCTGGGCTCAGGTGATCCTCCCACCTCAGCCTACCGAGTAGCTGGGACTACAGGTGCATGTCACCATACCCGGTTAATTTTTGTATTTTTTTTAGAGACAAGGTCTCACCATGTTGCCCAGGCTGGTCTCAAACTCCTGTGCTCAGGCAATGCGTCAGCCTCGACATCTCAAAGTGCTGTGATTACAGGCGTGAGCCCCGACACCTGGCCTAGTTCTATTTTCTAAATGTGAATTCTGTAAAGATATCTTTTAAAAATAAAGTTCTGTTTTTGGTAGAAAATGTAAAAATAGATAAATATGGAGGGAAGAAATCCCCCCTGGAATACAGACGCTTCCTCTCCCTTCCAGCCTTTTCCCCATATGAACATTGCTGTGAGTGAGATTTACATGCAATGTAATTTCTTTTTGAGCTTAACATTACAACATAAATTCTCAAACTCTGATGTTCATTAAACACCCCAGCCCCATCCTGGGAACTTGGGCTTGGGGCTCGGGGTGTTCTGATAATGATCAAAGTATGAGAATTGAACCCATGAGGACTTTGATCCAAGATACTGGGGTGTGGGGAGGGGCAGGCACAGGTGTCCTGGGAACACACTTTGAGAAGCAATGGCAAAGCTGGGGGTCCAGCTAATGTGTTACATTAGAATCACCTCGGGGAGGCCCTGGGTGCCCTTCTCAGCCCTCCCTCCGGAGGCTGCTGAAGCCCAGCAAAGCCGGAGTCAGAGAACAATGTCCGCCTGAGGGCAGGGCTGGGCTGGGCTGGCCTTCTGGCCCTATCTGCTCCGTGCCCAACCCAGCGCCCCGCACAGTCGGAGCTTTGTAAATACGAGGTGACTGTCTGCCTACAAACTTTGTAAACATCACTTGAAATGGCCGCAGGGTATTGTGACATGGCCATACCACTATTTGTTTGCTATTGAATTTGTACTTCCCTGCCTTACTTTTGCTATTGCAAACCATGCTGTCACTAAGGTCTTCATGCACACAGTTGTGTCTTGGTCAGATGATATGTTTCTACCAATTTTAATTGTGTTTCTTTCCACCTGGACACACAGCTCTCTGGCCCAGGGCTGGGTCATCAGCACACCCTGCTGCTGCTGTTCAGATCTGCATCCTGGTCCCGCTTGGTCCCACAGTGAGAACGCTTTGCTATCACATGGGCAGGCTCTGAGAGCCCTGCCGGCCTGGCCTTCTCAAAGAAGACCTGAGAGCTTGGGACCCAAGCAGAGAGGAAGAACAGGGCTCAGGGTGCTTGCTCCATGCTCGCTCCACACCTGGGGCTCAACCCTGGCTTTCCCCGGCTCCCTGTGTGACTTCAGGGCAGGTCCCTTGGGCCCTCTGGGCCTTATCATCTTCATCTGTAACAGGGCGATGCCTCTGCCGTGTCTGGTGGTGTTGAGGAGTTCCTGTTTGTGTAAGCAGCTAGTTCAGTGCCAGCACGAGATGGGAGGCCCATGAAGTTAGCAGTGCACAAAAAATAGAGCAAAGACTGGATGCATTTCCTGAGAACAACCATCACTGTAAAGCACTTTACAAATCCAAAGACAACCCCCGGCAAAAACTCAAAATGAAACTCCCTCTCGCAGAGCACAATTCCAATTCGCTCTAAAAACATTACAAGTTAGTTCATGTCATGCCAGATAGCTGAAGGCAGCTCACAAGTTCTTAAGGCCAGGAATGCCATGTGTCTGCTATGCACAGCTGGCCCTGGCCCTGACAGCAAAGGTGACGCAGATGTGGGTGCCCTGCTCCTGCCCAGCAGCAGTGCTTGGTGGAGGCTGAGGCCCTGCACAGGCACCCTCACTGCTGACCTTGAGCCTCTCTCTCCTCTAGAGTGGAAAAGACAAGGATGCCGTGGATAAATTGCTCAAGGACCTGGACGCCAATGGAGATGCCCAGGTGGACTTCAGTGAGTTCATAGTGTTCGTGGCTGCAATCACGTCTGCCTGTCACAAGTACTTTGAGAAGGCAGGACTCAAATGATGCCCTGGAGATGTCACAGATTCCTGGCAGAGCCATGGTCCCAGGCTTCCCAAAAGTGTTTGTTGGCAATTATTCCCCTAGGCTGAGCCTGCTCATGTACCTCTGATTAATAAATGCTTATGAAATGATCCTGGTCTCAGAGAAACTGGTTATTTCCTTAAAACCTCAGTGTCCTCTCCCCACAAAACAGAATTCACTAATTAAACTTGTCATTTCATTACTCATTGCCTGCCTGCAGTGGTGAGACAGATGAAGAAGACAAGGCAGTCGATAAAAATCCATTTGTTGGCCATCTTCTGAGTGCCCACTGAGACACAGTCCCACCTTTGGCCGTGTGAATGCCACCATGTCCTGGACCCAAGGGAGGCTCGGGTACACACATCCATGTATTTATTCATCTACTTCGTAATTCATTTAGTCGGTCACGTAGCCACTCATTGAACCTGGGCCCCTCCATCTCTCCAAACAGCATGTTTTCTTCAAGTAACATACTTCTAATATTTATTTATTTTTGAGACGGAGTCTCGCTCTTGTCACCCAGGCTGGAATGCAATGGCGCCATCTCAGCTCACTGCAACCTCCGCCTCTTGGGTTCAAGTGATTCTCCTGCCTCAGCCTCCCGAGTACCTGGGACTGCAGGCACCCGCAAAACCACACCTGGCTACTTTTTGTATTTTTAGTAGAGACGGGGTGTCACCATGTTGGCCAGGCTGGTCTCGAACTCCTGATTTCAGGTGATCTGCCCACCTCAACCTCCCAAAGTGCTGGGATTACAGGTGTGAGCCACTGCGCCTCGCAAAGTAACATATCTTTTTTTCTTTTTTTTTTTTTTTGAGACGGAGTCTCACTGTGTTGCCCAGGCTGGAGTGCAATGGTGCGATCTTGGCTCACTGCCAGCTCCGCCTCCCAGGTTCACGCCATTCTCCTGCCTCAACCTCCTGAGTAGCTGGGACTACAGGTGCCCACCACCACGCCCGGCTAATTTTTTGTATTTTTAGTAGAGACAGGGTTTCACCGTGTTAGCCAGGATGGTCTCGATCTCCTGAGCTCGTGATCCACCCACCTCGGCCTCCCAAAGTGCTGGGATTACAGGCTTCAGCCACCACGCCCAGACAGTAACATACTTTTAATGATGCAATGCTATTTTTGCCACAAAGACTATGAAACACCATAACAGAGAAACAATGAATTCCAAGAGAGCATTAGAATCATCAGTGAACAACTGCTCACATCACCTGTATTTAGTTTTACGACACTAATGTTGGGAGCACCCAAAAGGACTCAAGCGAGGTCTTGGATGATAGGTAGGTAACTGGATCTGGTTTTAGGACCCCTATCATTTTTTGGATACCCAGTATTTAAAGCCTCTTGCTATGTTTGAAGACATTTTCACTAGAGAAGATCTATCACCAAAAGATCCTGAACTTGGAGGTGGACACAACAATACGAGGCTTGGGTGGATCCCTCTTTGGGGAAGGGACTGCAGATTGCAAATATTTTTGCTAGAGAGAGAGTCGTGTTAGGTTAGATGGGAGCAGATACACACATTTAAATAAAGTAAAAACTAATAATGAGGGAGAAGTAAAGTTAATAATGGGGGAAACAAAAGGGGTGGACTGCCAGAATGGAAATCTTTGTTTCTTTTTTCCTTTGAGAGACGGCCTTGCCCTGTCACCCAGTCTGGAATGCAGTGGTGCTATCGTGGCTCACTGCAATCTTTTTTTTTTTTTTGAGACGGAGTCTTGCTCTGTCGGCCAGGCTGGAGTGCAGTGGTGTGATCTCAGCTCACTGCAAGCTCCACCTCCCGGGTTCACGCCATTCTCCTGCCTCAGCCTCCCGAGTAGCTGGGACTACAGGTGCCTGCTACCAAGCCTGGCTAATTTTTTGTAATTTTTAGTAGAGACAGGGTTTCACCATTTTAGCCAGGATGGTCTCGAGGCTCACTGCAATCTTAAACTCCTGGGCTGAAGCAATCTTCCTGCCTCAGCCTCCCAAGTAGCTGGGACCACAAGAACGCACCATCGCGGCTGGCTAATTTTTTGTAGAGACGGGGTTTTGCTATATTGCCCAGGTTGGTCTTGAACTCCTGGGCTCAAATGATCCTCCCAACTCAGCCTCCCAAAGTGTAGATGTTAGAGGCGTGAGCCACATGCTCAGCCTGTTTTTCTTTTTTCTTGCTGTTTAACAAATTAGTTACCGTCCTATAAATGACAAACCACCCAGCTTATCAGTTCTGGGGGGAGGCAGAGCCCTCACTCCCCAGCCTCTGTCATAGCTGGGGTGCAGGCACCTGACCTGGGCTCTCCCAGACTTTATTCTCACCCCAGACTTGCAATCGGACAATTGACACAAACAGGCAGAGACCTGAAAAACCTCTTATGGGTTTTGCAGCAGCGCCATATGAGAGGTTTCTGGCTACGTAGCTATGAACCTCGTCCTCCAGGACTCTTGAAGGAGACAAGTCTTTTGTAAATCAATCACCTAGGCTGAATTTCTGTGCTTTGTGACTAAAAACCCAGACTACTGGAGCAGGAAAACAACAGCGTGCCACTTCCTCTGGGTGTCCTTCCTGGGTTATCTCTGACAGGTCTTGGTAATTCCTGACCTCTCCTTATAGAGACAACAGGGCCCATCCCTCCTCAATCTTTCTTTCATCTCTCCTCAATCTTTCATTCATTTCATCCTAGCTTCTTGCCCTGCACCAAATGGTAGATTACGTCTGGTTTGGAATTCAATTCCCTGCCCCAGGAGACCAGCCTCCCATGGTGCTCCATCATTGATTTCTGTTCAGGGTCTTCTGAGCAGCCTGCAGATGCCTCGTTCCTGGAGGTAAAGTCCACAGTCACTTCTCCGGAGTTTATACCAACTCTGCATGAAGCAAAAGCCAGGTCCAAACAGTAGGGTTTGTTGTTGTTGTTGTTTTTTGTTTTTTGTTTTTTTGAGACAGGGTCTCACTCTGTTGCCCAGGCTCAAGTGCAGTGGCATGATCACAGCTCACTACAGTCTTGATCTCCTGGGCTCAAGTGATCCCCCCACCTTAGCCTCCTGAGTAGCTAGTACTACAGGCATGTGCCACCACACCTGGCTAATTGTTTTTTATTTTTTTGTGGAGACAGGGATCTCACTATGTTGCCCAGGCTGATCTGGTACTCCTGAGCTCAAGCGATCTTCTCACCTCAGCTTCCCCAAATGCTGGGATTACAGGTGTGAATCAGTGCACCCAGCCCCTAAACAGTATTTTTTAATGGCTACAAGGAATTTATTGGAATGAGGGTACCATCGTTTGCTCATTGTTAAAGATACTGTTCTTCATATTTTTGTAGAATGTATGTTCCTATTTTTGTTTTTAGAAAGTATGCTACAATTAACATTTTCATGTATAAAGCTTTGTCTTTTGGGGTTTTTTTTTTTTTTGTAAGATGGGGTCTTACCATGTTGCCCCGGCTGGTCTCAAACTCCTGGCCTCAAGTAACACTCTTGCCTTAGCCTCAAAAGTGTTGGGATCACAGGCGTGAGCCACTGTGCGTGGCCAAAGCTTTGTCTTAAGCTCAGATAATTTCTCAAAATCAAATTCCATTTTTTACCTAGGATGACTGGATCAAAGGGTAATTTTTTATTGTGGTGTCAACATAAAATGTACCATCCTAACCATTTCCAAGTGTACAGTTCGGCAGTGTTAGGTATACTCACGTTGTGGTGCAGGTCAGTCTCCAGAACTCTTTCCATCTTGTAAAACCACAACTCTATCCCCACTAAACCCTCACTCTCCCTCTCCTTCTCTGGCCGCTGGTCCTGACGATTCCACTTTGTTTCTATGAATTTGACTCTAGGAACGTCATATGACTGCAATCACACAGGATTTGTCCTTTTGGGACAGGCTTATTTCACTCAGAATCATGTCCTCAACGTTCATCCGTGTTGTAACATGTGTCAGAATTTCTTCCTTTATAAGGCTGAATAGTCCACTACGTGTATACACCAAACTTGCTAATTGCTAATTCATCTTGCTAATTCATCTGCTGATGGACAGTTGGGTTACTGCCAGAATTTTTATTTATTATTATTATTATTATTATTATTATTATTATTATTATTATTATTTTGAGACGGAGTCTCGCTCCTTCGCCCAGGCTGCAGTGCAATGGCGGGATCTCGGCTCACTGCAACCTCTGCCTCCCGGGTTCAAGTGATTCTCCTGCCTCAGCCTCCCGAGTAGCTGGGATTACAGGCGCCCGCCACCACACCCGGCTAATTTTAGTATTTTTAGTAGAGACGGAGTTTCACCATATTGGCCAGGCTTGTCTCAAACCCCTGACCTCAGCTGATCCGCCCGCCTCAGCCTCCCAAAGTGCTGGGATTACCGGCGTGAGCCACCGCGCCCGGCCTATAATTCTTTTTTAAACAAAACATTTAACCAAGTGTTTCTCCACTGCCCTGCTTGGAAACCAATAGGCAGCCAGTCTCCTTTGTGATGCTTTCCTGTAGGAGCGGCAGCCACCTGAGGCTCTCCTGGCTCTTGGGCTCTCGCAAGCGCCCCCTGCAGCTGCTTTGCAGAATTGCTCCTCGGGCTAAGCTCCCTCGGTTACCTAGCCAGCGCATTTCCACCCCTCCAGAATGTCAGATGTTTGGGTGCTGGGATTGCCATGGCCTACCTAACTGCTCAACAAGCACAATTCTTTTTTTCTTTTTTTTTGAGACCGAATCTCACTCTGCAGCCCAAGCTGGTGTGCAGTGGCGCAATCTCGGCTCACCGCAACCTCTACCTCCAGGTTCAAACGATTCTCCTGCCTCAGCCTCCAGAGTAGCTGGGACTACAGGTGCCCGCCAGCACACCCTGCTAATTTTTTGTATTTTAGTAGAGACGGGTTTCACCATGTTGCCCAGGGTGGTCTCGAACTCAACTCCTGAGCTCAGGCTATCCGCCTGCCTCAGCCTCCCAAACCGCTGGGATTACAGGTGTGGGCCACCACGCCTGGCCAACAATTCTGAATTAAAATTTGAAACGTACAGAAATAACAAACTTACGGAAAAGTTAGAAGTACAGTACAAATAACTATTTTTCTGAATGATTTAAGAATAAGCTGATGCACCACCCCTCAATGCATTAGTGGAGAGAATCCTCCACAGAAGATTCTCCTAATAACCACAATGCCACCATCAAAGTGAGAAAATTAACACTGATACATCACTACCATTGAATCTTAAGCCCTCATTCAAGTTTGCCAATTGTTCTATGTCTTTTTTTTTTTTTTTGCGATGGAGTCTCACTCTGTTGCCAAACTGGAGTGCATTGGCGTGATCTCAGCTCACTGCAACCTCCGCCTCCCAGGTTCAAGCGATTCTCCTGCCTCAGCCTCCTGGGTAGCTGGGATTACAGGCATCCACCACCATGCCCGGCTAATTTTTGTATTTTTAGTAGAGATGGGGTTTCACTATGTTGGCCAGGCTGGTCTCCAACTCCTGACCTCAAGTGATCTGTCTGCCTCAGCCTCCCACAGTGCTAGGATTACAGGTGTAAGCCACCAGGCCTGGCCACTTTTTAATAAGTATTTTTAGAGAGGAATTTTGAAACTATGTATATATTCTGTTCCTCATCAAGCATTTAATTTATTCATGTATTCACATTTGTGAACTCCTGGTTACCCATATTATTCAGTGGGTTGTAACCTGTTACTAGCATTATCTGTTCTGATGCTCACATTGTCCCTGATCTGATCAATGGGAGCCCATTTCAGCTGGCTTCTATTACCCTCTGACATGTTCTCAACATTCTCTGAACACATCCTTGCCTTCTGTCATCACAAGATGTTCTAGACACATTTCGTACTTTGCTTGCCCTAGCTCTGGAACTGGCCATTTCTCCAAGCAGCCCTAGTTTCTTGTAATGGAAAATGCTATTTAGAAGCCAAGATCTGGGAGCTAGGTGTGCTCATTGTTATTGAAGTGTCACTGCCCCCAGCCTCTCTTAATGGAAATAAGTAGAGAATATTTGTAAGTATAATACATAACTTTAGATGGCTACACATACCTATAGTTCTATATCTTATAGATATCTGAAGTGTGTGTGTGTTTGTATGTTTGTAACCACAAGTTCACACAGAGACTTCCATTCAAGTTCACACAGAGACTTCCATTTTCAACATAATACCACAGGGTCCATTCTAGCTTTCTTTTTACATTTCTTCCCCTCTGCTGGTACCTGGTCTCCTGCAGAAACCTTTTCCCTGCTCAGGTTCTGAACCCCATACCAGTCTGTCCCCTGCACAGACACCCTCCTTGCCTTTCAGGCTGAGTCAGGTGAA
The DNA here is from genome assembly GCF_000001405.40 of Homo sapiens. NCBI lineage: Eukaryota > Metazoa > Chordata > Mammalia > Primates > Hominidae > Homo > Homo sapiens. The sequence goes on from NC_000004.12 coordinate 6,703,345, forward strand.
GGACTGGCTTCTATGGATGCCCATCTCTCCCTGCTCAAACTGCACCAACTGTCCCCATGTGTGCATGCTCTCTTCATCCCACGGGGCTCATGCCCCAGAACACCCCCTTGGGAACTCCCTCCTCACCCTGCCTGGGCTCTGACCTCCCAGGCTAGATTTCCCTTCCCCCAAACCTACCCACAAATGGATGTCCTGCTCACACTGCTCAAATCTGGTCTGTCCACACTGGAGACCATCCACTGCCAAAATAAATAAATAAATAAATAAATAAATAAATAAATATAAAAATAAAAAAAAAGCAAAACCATACACACACAGATACCCTCTTCACCCTGCTCAGAGGACTCTGACTCCCACACCAGGCTCTGACCCCCTCTACTTCCCACCATGGGGATGCCTTCTCTACCATTCTTGAGCTCTGAGCCCTGATCTGGGCACCATGGCTTCCCACTCCCCAACCAGGACACCTACATCATTATGTGTGTGTGTATCCTGTCAATCTTCATTATTCATTATTTTGTATTTGCAAATTCATCTACTTTCTAAAATCTATATGGAACCCCAAAATCAACACTCTTGGCACTTTGCTAGTCATTTGTAGACACGTGCAGGGCAGCAAAAAATCTGAGTCATCTGACATTCCCAGTTGGGGTCAAACAAGGTGACTCTGCCTTCTTGTTTCAGCTCTCATGCTGTAAACAAGTTCCTTTTCACAGTCTACTCGGTGCCACATTTTTCTCATTTTGGTGCTTTTTGTTGGTTATTTTGCTGTTTAAAATGACCCTCAAGTCTCATGCCAGAGCACTGTCTAGTGTGCCTAAGCATAAGGCGGCTGTGATGTGCCTTACAGAGAAAATATGTGTTAGACAAGCTTTATTGAGGCATGAGTTACAGTGCTGCTGGCTTTGAGTTCAAAATTAATGAATCAATAATATATGTTAATTATGATGTCTTTAAACAGAAACACAAGGTTAAACATGGTTACGTATGGATCAGCTGATGAAAAATGCAGCCAGGGGCTAATGGGAACCTAATCCTCTATTTTACTTAGGGGCAGTGAAGTATTATAGTATTTGCTAATTCAGTGTTTATGGTGACTTTATATAACTACTGCAAATAATGACAACTGACTGTAAACAAACATAGACATGGCACATTTTAAAGAAATTGCAACTGCCTAACACATTGCAGCCCTGAACGCACGTCAGTATCCATATTCTCTGTGGCTTCACCCAGAAAGCTGATAGTGTTTAGGGGAGTTGCACGTGGAGGCTGTAGAGGTTGGGGTTCAGAGACAGCCAGACCTTGGATGAGGTAGGTATTAGAGGAAATTTGCAAAGAGGTGGAAGACAAGTCATGAGGCAGGAAAGTTGGAACATTCTGAAGATGAAAATTTGGGAGAGGACCAGGGAGGGCGTTTAAATTTAGGGTGACTGAGGAAAACTAGGATGAGACAGCTCTGGAGATGGCAGAAATTCTTGAATATATTCTACTACATATGTTGAATACATGAAATAGCTTTAGCACTTATTTATCTTGCTTATTGTGTTTCTCCACCACTAGAATGAATCCCCAGAAGGCAGAATTTTTGGACTATCTGTTCAGTACTGTATCTCTCAGTAGTTAGAACAGTGCCTGGTATATAGTAGGAGCTAAGTTAATGCTGATGAATAAATAAAAACATCTGTGGCAAAAAAAAATTTTTTTAAGAGTTTCAAGCAGGGAATTGACATAACCTAATTCACTCTAGCTAATTTGTGAAGGAGGAGGATTGGAATAAAACTGAAAGCTGGGAGGCCAGTTAGGAGACTGTCACACTAGTGGCTTGGAGTAGGAAGGAAGGTAGATGAATCCAAGGTGTATTCTAGGCAGAACCAACAAACTAGTGGTAGAAGGAATGGAGAGGGGATTGCTGAGGAGGGGTGTCAAGAATGACACTGAAGTTTCAGGCTCAGAAAATTCACCTGAGTTATGTGCATTGGTAGCAGACACAATTAAGTTAATTTACATACTTAATTGGCACTTATTCATTCAATGAGTATTAGATACCAACCAGGTGCCAGGCACTGGTCTAAGTGCTAGGAATTCAGCAGTGAATAAAGTCCCTGCCCTCAAGGGGCTGACATTCTACAGAGAAGTCAGAAAATGCACAAATAATCACACACTAAGTAGTGAAAAGAAAAATGTAAGAAGACAGAGAGTAATAGGGGATGGCCGTGCTATTTTAAAAAGAGTGGCATGGGAAGACCTCTCTGGTATTGTAACATCTGAGCAGAGACTGGAAAAGTGGCATAGTGAGCCATATGGATATTGCACATTAAAAACATTTTCAGAAAAAACAAAACTCTGGGATAAAGCAGTCAAACAAAACATTATTGAAGACTCAGCCATCACTAGCCAGCTGATGCAAGTGAAGGTTAAAGAATTTGCCCAGTCTTTCGGAAGAAAGCACAGAATTTCAGATTTTAGAGCAAGGGGAGTTTGGGCGTGAATGACTCACACAAGACAGACCAATGACTTTCAGAGCTACTAACAGAAGCCAATCCAAATTTTCTAGATGACTTTGAAGTTGTTAAAATTCCACTGACACATCATTCAATGAAAAGAAAATGTGTAAGTTAAATAGGAAATAGAGACAAAACTCTCAATGTATCTAAATTATTTTTTCATCACAGCATGGGTTAAGACAATTAGCCTGTCACTACAATGCTCTGCCTAAGAGCCAAGGCTCAAAAATGATTCAGAACACTCTTTAGGCTGTAAATTTGAAGGAGGCTTAGGAAAAAAAAAAAAAAAAACCCTAGGATACTGAAGAGATGAAATGCAATCCTATGTATGAATATAATCTATGGTCAGTTAATCGAGGGGAAAAACATACATATACATAGTATATATGCACACGTGTATGTATGTAGCACATATATAGTATGTGTGTGTGTCTACGAGTGTGTATGTACAGGACTCAGATTTTTCACCCCCAAAGCATGTTTTTAAATCCGTCAGGTAACTTGTAAATAACAGCTTTCGCAATCAAGATCCACAATATCCCAAAGAGCAGCTGCTCCTTCAGCCAGCTCCTAGAATTAAGAGAATATGGAACAACTCACCTACAATGTATTAATACATCAATATGAATAAGAAAAAAAAATCCTCAGGTGTTGCAAGCCACTAAGGTTTTGGGGTGAACTGTTACAGCAGTTTAGTCTAGTTGACTGATATAGAAAGACCCCAAGTCTTGGCTCCAGAAAAGCCTAGCTGGTCCTTCCCACTCATTCTGCCCCAGTTCAGGCCCTCACTTCCCATCTCTACTTCTGCACCTGCCCCTATCTTCTAGCCCACACTCAAACTCACATTAATCCATACCCAGTCTTGGGTAATCTTCCTAAACTACAAATGTGACGGTCATTCTCCTGATTATCAGAAATTATGGCTCCCCAGCCATACTTCTCGTTTTTACTGAAGAACCCAGACAGGCAGGCACATGAGCAAGGATCTTAGATATCATGACAAAGCCAGAAACAGCTTCTGTAATTTTTCTGTGCTCAGGTACTTGATTTTTAAAATGCCTATTTTACACATTAATCCAAAACGTGTATCTGAGCTTGTTATGATCATGTATCTATTTTTATGAAATTAGATTTAGTAATTCTGGAAATTGTACCATGCCTACACTATGGCTCTGAGCATCCATTAGCACTCTGTGAAGAAACATTCCAGGGTGAAGAAATCTCACTGAAGTACAGGCTTATGAATCGATGAATTAACACCTTAAGGAAGACCTCTTGGCCCTGCCTGCCAATTTCACTCTGTCTCCCACAACCCCCTCCACACTCCTTAACATCCAGCTCAATGGCCATCTCCCCAGTGCTGGAACTGGAAAGGCTTTTGCTCACTTTGATCCCTGTCCCTTATATGCCTTCATTCATTTCTACTTTTCAGGTCCAGGTAAGTCACCTGCTCTGAATTCACACTTCCCTACGAAGAGTTGACTCCCTCCTCAGGGATCCCACAAGATATCCACGCACTCTATGTCACAATTCCTTGTTTCCATTTCTGTCCCACATATTCGCCCCATCCATGTCTTCACCTTTACGTTCCTAGTGCCTTGGATAGGATATGAAGCAAGTTACATTCCCACTGGTTAACTAAACACACTTCCGCTGCTGAAAAGCAGGGGCTTGGCCCAGAGGATGGCCGAAAGTTTTTCTCTTCAGAACTGAGTGTTCTGTCAGCTCATCTCCATAGCACCTTCCAGAAATAATTCTCCCTCAGTTAAAGGCTTACCAAGAGCCTTTAACTACAAGCAGTTCAACCCCATTTGATGACACTCAATGAAGAACATCCATTCCAAAAAAATTTGTTTATGATTCTTTTATTAACACACACAGGAGGGGCTTTGGTCATGTGAACAAAAAATTTATTTCTTAAAAAAGGCTTTTTAGGTCTTTGTTTTTCAAGGCAAATTAACACTTATTATACTTTTGACTTTGACCTCCAATCTGACAGGTCTACTACCCTGATGAACTGGAAGAGACTTTCCAGGCCCTGATAATGTCTTTTCCTTTCTCCGGCCTCTTAAAGCTCTCTGTAGACTGTCTCTTCCATGCCATTCTCTGATGCCCCTATAATGTGTGAGGGTATTACAATAGTCCCTATTCAAACTGCCTTGTCATAAAAGGTCAGCTATGTTGTCTAAATCAACTCACCTGACAGGTTACACAATATATATCAGACAATGTGCCACAAAACATAGCTCTCCTCTTTCGTCTCACAGAGGAACTAAAGTTCCAAAATATATACAAAACCATCTTCCATCTCCAACTGTCTTCTCTTTCTTCCCAGTTTTATGCAAAGCAGTCTCATTAATACATTCTTCACCAGGCTCAACCAAGTAGCGTAGTGTCTTCCATTGCACCTCTAAAGTTGGAAGATTCTGATCCCACGTCTTGACGTGTTCCAAAAAACAATCAGGTCACAAAGGTAACAGCAAAATACGAGGCCATGCCCAACATTTCAAAAACACAGCGAAGTAACAAGAATAAACGTGACCACAAAAACAACTTAATTAAGCCCCATTTCTCTTCTGAGAGTATTTCTTTGACAAAAGTTATATTTCCAAAACCAAACACATTTGATAATCTAAATCCATATCGAGGTCATCAATCACTGACCATAAGGGAGACTGTTACATCGGGGTAAAAAACATACAAAAACAAAACAGAGAAAATGACAAGCTGTTTCAGTTTCCTCAAGGTGTCAGTTCATCCTTACCAGTTGACTACAGTCCTCAGCTGTGAACCTAAAGCACAATTGGGAGAAATTTACCATGAAGACATTGACTCTCAAAGTTCCATATCCTGATGTTAAAAATAAATGTGAACCACCCAGAAGAATGCCACTTCTTTGAGACACGGTCCTCTGACATACCTGTCTCATAGAACAATCTGGAAATTTCAGGTAATGGCCTCTGGCTTTACTCTTTATTTCTCCTTCCCTGCGTTCTCAGCCTGCGTTCCACTGTGCTCTATGGCCTAGGTCTTCTTTGGCTTTCCCCAAACTCCCTTAGTGCCTAGACAGGTCTACTTCTGGCGACTGCCCTATTAGAATTGACTTTTATGTTTCACAAAAACAAAACCGAAGTTACTGTTATCTTTCTCTAATTAACAGCGTGGGAGGGAGAGGCCACAAAAAAACGGTATACTAACGCCTAACAAAACCAGCACGCATTCTTTCCTCTTGACCCCAACTTTGTTCCCAATGCTCAATTTTTGATGCAATAAAATGGGGGATGCAGGCCTAGAACATAACTTTTTACAGGGCGCGGTTTAACCATGCTTAGGGCGACTACTGAGTTTCATCCAAGCTCCAGCTAGTTTCCGACCTTACCACCGATCTCCTCCTTCAAGAAGACTCGCTTCTCTCTATTCGCCAGACGAGCTCGACCAGCATCTCTGCCATCTTCGCAATCTCCTTGGCTTTCTCCTCAGCCTTCTCGCACAACTCCGACACTCTCTCGTCGGCTTCGCCACTCGGGTGCTGCACGTGATTGAGGGCGCTCTCCTCCGAGGCCTCCACCTGCGTTTTGATCTGGATAAGCATATTGTCCATCTCCCACAGCTTGCTCCTGGTCCGCAGGTACGCCCGCCCGTGCTCGCGTATAAGAGACGCGATGTCCTCGCGCATCTCGTTGATGACCGGGAGCAGGAACTGCTCGAAATCCTCCTCGGGCTCCAGCACCTCCACTTCCTCAGGCGCTTCCACCTCGTCTATGTCCAGGGGCCGCATCTCCTCCTGCCGCTTCCTCAGTACCGCAGTAGGGGCGTTCTTCTCACCGGAACCCTCCAAGAACTGGAGATCAGCAGTTACTGCTGGAGGCTGAGCGACCCACACGCTTTGTCAATTGTACTCCCGAATTATCTTTATTTTTTTTTCTTCCTTTTAATTGTAAGCCTTTCGCTTCACAACTCTGCGGGAAGAATCGCCGTGGATGCACACAAATAAGCGGCCTACAAAATGGAGTCGCAGCCGTCAACTCGCCCTCGGCCTTTTTGCGGCCCTTTCACGACAGAGCCGGGCCCCTTTACGGTCACGCCTTCGGCAAGACCAGGTAGCGGGCGCGTGCACGTAAAGGGGCCTCGGGCGCGCGCACGTCCATCACCAGCTGCTTCCCGGCGCCCCTCCTCGCCCTCTAATTTAGATCGGTGGCGGCAGGTTTGTTCGCGTCTTCATCTAAAGCTTCCCTTCAGCGGGCTTTTACTTTTATTATTTTTTAAAAGTAAAAGTGACCCTCCCTTCCCTATATTTGAATAAGACTGGCTGGCGTTCACAGCGCTTACTATCTAAGCATGCACAAGCTTGAATTAACTTATATGAATTCATTTAGCCCTCACAACGAACCTAGAGGTAAAAACCGTGCTAAAAGTCGTGATTTGAGCCCAGAGCAATGTGGGTCCACAGTCCCTGCTCACTGTTTTAGAATGGAACACGTCCTTCTGTCCTCCCCACCCCTGGCTCATACTTTTGTCCTGGGGGGAAATTCTCTCGCTGCCTTGGGTGATTCTGGCCGGTGGTTTTTGGTCTCTCTTCGCCAGTCTGTAAGGTCCTCAAGGTAAAGGGCTACTTCTGTTTCAGTTCTGTCCTCCGCCCCTCCTGTCAGCCTGGCGTCAAGCAGGGTCTTAGGGGATGCTTTAGAGAGAGGAATTCTTCTCTAGTACATAAGTGCTTCTACCAGACTGGAGGCTGTTTGGGGACAGGTTCTGGTCTTGATCACCTTTATGTCCCTCCACACACAGGACCTGAAAATCAGCAGGGACCTAGTAAATGTGGCTTTGATGGTCAGTACATTTTGATCACTAACCTAATGCCATTGTGGAATGGAGGAAGTCTGTTGCTAGGCTTAGCCACCCAGTGCCACACTAGTAGTAATATGAGTGTGTGTAGAGGGGGCATCCTTCTTAACACAAGTGCCACAGATCAGAGCTTCAGTTTTCCAGTCTGATAAAGACCAATGGCCCCAGCCTGAATATCTGTCAGTGGGAAGAGGGATTTGTAAGATGACATGCGTGAAACAGTTTTGCAAACACCAACATTCTAGCAGATGTTCATCAAAAAAACATGAAGAGGGAAAGAGCAAGACACCGTGAAAAAAGATATTTTCAATAGTTATACTGACAAAGGACTCATATGCAGAATATATTGAGAACTCCTACAGATCAAGAAGGAAAAGACAAAATTTTTAAATGGGCAAAAGACGTAGGCTGGTACTTAACAAAAGAGAATATTCAAATGGCTAATAAGTATATGAAAAGGTGTTCAACGTCATGATTCAACAGGGAAATGCAGATGAAAACCACAATGAGGAAGCACTGTACATCCACTAGAATGACTAAAATTTCAAATACAATACCAAGTGTTGGGGAAGATGTGGAACAACTGGAACTCTTATACATTCTTGATGGATGTCTTAGTCTACTCTGGACACCATAACAAAATACTATAGACTGGTTGGCTTAAAAACAGACATTTATCTTCTCACAGTTCTGGAGGCCAGAAGTCCACGATTAAGGTGTCAGCAAATTTGGTTTCTGGAGGTGAGGGCTCTCTTCCTCAATTGCAGATGACCACCTTCCTGCTGCAGTCCTCACATGATCTCTTCTTTGTGCATGCAGTGTTGGGGGGTACAGGAAAGAGTGCTCTCTTGTGTCTCTTCTTATAAGAACATGAAGCTATAGGATCATGCCCCCACTTTTATGACCTTATTTAACCTTACTTACTGCTTTACTCCAAGTACAGCCACACTGGGGGTTAGGGCTTCAACATAAAAAAATATTGGGGGACACATATATTCAGCACATAATAATGGGAATGTAAGTTGTTACAATAATTTTGGAAAACTATTTGGCAGTATCAACCAAGATTAAACATATACCAATCCTATGTTCTAGCAAACTGACACCTTGTTATACACTCAAGAGAGTTTGAGTGCAATTGTTTATAAAAATACATATACGAGAATATTCACAGCAACTTTATTATAATAGCCCCAAAGTTAACCCAAATGTTCATCAGCAGGAGAATAAATAAATAAAATGAATAAATAGTAGCATATTCCTTCAGTGGTTTATTATTGCATAACCAGTTAACCCAAAATTTGGCAGCTTTAAAACATTTATTATCTGTCATAGTGCATTTAGGCTGCTCTAACAAAATGCCATAAGGTGGGCAGCTTACAAAAGAAATTTATTTCTCACAGTTCTGGGGGATGGGAAGTCCAAGATCAAAGTGCTAGTAGATTCTGTCTGGTGAGGGCTAGTATTTTGGTTCATAAACCGTTCCTTCTTGCTGTGTCCTCACAGGATGGAAGGAGCAAGGGGTCTCTCTTATGCATCCTTTTTTTTTTTTCTTTTGGAGATTGAGTTTCACTCTTGTCGCCCAGGCTGGAGTGCAGTGACACAATCTCTGCTCACTGAAACCTCTGCCTCCCGGGTTCAAGCGATTCTCCTGCCTCAGCCTCCTGAGTAGCTGGGATTACAGGTGCCTGTCATCACGCCTGGCTAATTTTTGTATTATTAGTAGAGATGGGGTTTCACTATGTTGGCCAAGCTGGTCTTGAACTCCTGACCTCAGGTGATCTACCCGCCACAGCCTCCCAAAGTGCTGGGATTACAGGCATGAGCCACCGTGCCCGGCCCTCTTATACATCTTTTGTGTATTTACTTGTAGACAAAGTCTTGCTCTTTTGCACAGGCTAAAGTGCAGTGGAATGAGCATAGCTCACTGTTTCAAACTCCTGAGCTCAAGTGATCCTCCAGCCTCCACCTCCTGAGTAGCTGGGGCTACAGGCACATGGCACCACACCCAGCTTTAAAAAAAATTTTTTTTAGAGACGGGGGTCTTGCTATGTTGCCCAGGCTGGTCTCAAACTCTTAGCCTCAAACAATTCTCCTGCCTCTTCCTCCCAAAGTGTTGGGATTACAGGCATGAGCCACTGCAGCTGGCCTTATATCCTTTATAAGGGTACTAGTCACATTCATGAGGGCTCTGACCCCATGACCAGATCACTTCCCAAAGGCCCCATCTCCTGATATCATCACTGTGTTAGGCTGTTCTCACATTGCTATAAAGGAATATCTGAGACCGGGTAATTTGTGAAGAAAAAAGGCTTAATTGGCTAAGGGTTCTGCAGGCTCTACAGGAAGCAGGGTGCTGGCATCTGCTTGGTTTGTGGGGAGGCCTCAGGAAACTTACAATCATGGCGGAAAGCAAAAGGAGAGCAGGCATGTCACATGACCAAAGCAGGAGCAAGAGGTGACAGGAGGTGCCACACACTTTAAATGACTAGATCTCACGAGAACTCACTCATCACAGGAACAGCACAAACGGGATGGCGCTAAACCATTCATGAGAAATCTGTCCCCATGACCCAGTCACCTCCCACCAGGCTCCAGCTCCAACACTGGAGATTACATTTCAACATGAGATTTGGGCAGGACATCCAAACCCTATCAATCACCTTCTGGGGTAGAATTTAAATATATGAATTTGGATGTGAGGACACAAATATTCAGACCATAGCATTATCTTATGTCATTTCAGTTTAGTATCTTACATGAGGTTGCAGTCAACCTATCAGCTGGGGCTGCAGTCATTTCTGAGTTTGAATGAGGATGGAGCATCCCCTTCCAGGATGACTTACTCATGTAGTTGTTGGAAAGAGGCTGTTTTTCCCTAGCTGTTGGTCTCAGTTCTTTGCTATATGGGCTTCTCCATGGAGCTGCTCACAACAAGGCAGCTGGTTTCCCCAGAGCAAGTGGTTTGTGAACCCCCAATATCTGAGACAGGTCTCAGTTCATTTAGAAAGTTTATTTTGCCGAGGTTGAGGATGTGTGCCCGTGACACAGCCTCAGGAGGTCCTGATGACATGTGTCCAAGGTGGTCAGAGCACAGCTTGGTTTTATACATTTTAGGGAGACATGAGACATCGATCAACATATCTAAGATGAACGATGGATTGGTCCGGAAAGGTGAGACAACTCAAAGCAAAGGCAGGACAACTTGAAGCGGGGAGGGGGCTTCCAGGTCTTGGGTAGATGAGAGAAAAATGGTTGCATTCTATTGAGTTTCTTTTTTTCTTTCTTTCTTTTAAAATTTTATTTATTTATTTATTTATTTATTTTGAGATGGAGTCTCACCCTGTCGCCCAGGCTGGAGAGCAGTGGCGTGATCTCGGCTCACTGCAACCTGCGCCTCCCAGGTCCAAGCAATTCTTCTGCCTCAGTCTCCCAAGTAGCTGGGATTACAGGTGTGTACGACCACAACCGGCTAATTTTTGTATTTTTAAAAGAGGGTTTCACCATGTTGGCCAGGCTGGTCTTGTACTCGTGATCTCAAATGATCCACCCACCTCAGCCTCCCAAAGTGCTGGGATTACAGGCGTAAGCCACCGCGCCCAGACATTTTGAGTCTCTGATTAGCCTCTCCAAAGGTGGCAATCAGATACGCATTTATCTCAGTGAGCGGAGAAGTGACTGTGAATAGAATGTGAGGCAGGTTTGCCCTAAGCAGTTTCCAACTTGACTTTTCTTTTAGCTTAGTAATTGTAGGACCCCAAGATTTATCTTCCTTTCGCAGGTTGGAAGGAAAGAGATGCCACACTACCTTTCATGAACTAATGTCCAAATCATACATCATCACTTCTGTGTTTTTCAGTTTATTATGAGCAAATGAAGTCACTAAGTCCAGTACATACTCGACAAGAGGGAATACACAAGAGTGAGAATACCAGGAGTAAGAAATCACTGGGAGTCATCTTGAAGGCTGGCTAGCAATCACAGTTTGCCCCCTGACTACCAATTCTTCATGCCATTTTAACGTGCTAACCACACTCCCCTCTATCCAAGGTCCCCAAAAGTTACATTTTTTTAAATCTCATGTAGTTTTAGGTATTACTATCCTATTGTCACATCAGCTTTAAGTCCAGAATTTTGTCTTCTCAATAAGATCAGATGTAGATGAGGCTTTCTGAGCTTAGTTCCTTAAATTCAGCTCCTAGAGTACAATTCTTCTTGATCTGTAGACTTTTGAAACTAAGGAGACAAGTTCTCTGCCCCCATGCCTGGAATATACAGTTGTGGGGCTGGCACAGGATAATCACTACAGACCTGTTCTGCTCCACTACGACTAGATTAGCCACTGCCACTCCTGTTCAAAAAGGGGGAAATTGGAAGTACAAACAAGTTGCCAGCCCACAGTAACTCTGCCATCCAGTCTCAAGGTCTAGGACTCCATGACTCCCAGTTCCACCATCTGGGCTCCTGGTTTCATGCCCTGAGTTATACTTCCTTTTTTGTGAAATGTGGCATGTGTTTGCCAATGAGTCTTTTTCTCAGTCTGATTCCTGCTTGTACAAGTTTGGGGAGAGGGGATCCAAAGGCCTGTTCCTTTCAGTCCAATCTGCAATGTTTGTGTCAATATAATTATCTTTAAAAAACTTTATAGGTCTCCTGTGAATCTCATCGGGGTTCACTCCGTTAAACAAAAGTGCTACCTACAAATCCCTTTGAGATAAGTCCATCTCTATCTTGGGCTTCTGCTAATACTGACGAACAAGCCTTAAGCCTTCTGGAGGCCTTGTGGTTTGACTGATGGACTCTGTGAGCCACACCATTAATCTCTTTAAGGAGCTGTTAGTCTAACTGAATGGTATTCTCAGGCACCGTCTTTGCTTTTTTTTTTGAGATTTTAAAGGATTTAACCGTCACATCTCAACTTCACCTTTGTTTTTTTCTGGCAGTACCCTGGATTTGATATTTGCTTGGAAACTATTACTATTTCTTAGTTTTACGCCATTTGCAATCAGGCGAAGCTGAGGACTTTAAAAATCATCCAAAGTCGTCAAGGTCCATCCCTTTTGTGTTTCGTCTTGCTTATCTCATTTATTTTACTATAAACAGCAAAAAGAAATGAAGGACAGGAGGGAGACGTTCATGGGTGCTGGACATGTCCTACCTGTTGGTCTGGATAGAAGATGCATGGTTGTATGGATGTGTACAAAGTCATCAATGTGCACACTTAAAATGTATGCACTGTATTGTATTCCTGCTATACCTTCGCTTAAAAAAGAAAAAAAAGGTTGAATGTGAGTTCGGGCGTGAGAAAACAGCAGCGCGCATGCGTGAGCGTGAGCGCGCATGCGTGAGCGTGAGCGCGCTGGGAGGCCGGAAACAAAGGTGGATGCGCGTGAACAGACGCCCTCGCAGGCCGCCGGAAGCAAAGGCGTGAGCGCGCGTGCGTGCGTGTGCGGGTGCGTGAGCGTGAGCGCGCGGAGGCCGGAAGCGAGCGCTGCGCAGTCGGGTGGTCGCGGGCCATGGAGGGTAGCTTTTCGGATGGCGGAGCGCTGCCGGAGGGGCTCGCGGAAGAGGCCGAGCCGCAGGGCGCCGCCTGGAGCGGGGACAGTGGCACTGTTTCCCAGAGCCACAGCAGCGCCTCGGGGCCGTGGGAGGACGAGGGCGCGGAGGACGGCGCGCCGGGCCGCGACCTGCCGCTGCTTCGCCGCGCCGCTGCGGGCTACGCCGCCTGCCTGCTGCCCGGGGCCGGGGCGCGGCCCGAGGTCGAGGCCCTGGACGCGAGCCTAGAGGACCTGCTTACCAGAGTGGACGAGTTCGTGGGCATGCTGGACATGCTTCGCGGCGACTCGTCCCACGTCGTCAGCGAGGGCGTGCCGCGCATCCACGCGAAGGCCGCCGAGATGCGGCGCATCTACAGCAGGATCGACCGGCTGGAGGCCTTCGTGAGGATGGTGGGGGGCCGCGTGGCCAGGATGGAGGAGCAGGTCACCAAGGCCGAGGCCGAGCTGGGCACCTTCCCCAGGGCGTTCAAGAAGCTCCTGCACACGATGAACGTGCCCTCGCTCTTTAGCAAGTCTGCTCCCTCGAGGCCACAGCAAGCCGGCTACGAAGCCCCCGTCCTGTTTCGGACCGAAGACTACTTCCCTTGTTGCAGTGAAAGGCCTCAGCTCTGACGGCCTGACCACTGCGGCAAGAGGACCCCAGCTGGGGTGCTTACCTCCAGTATGAAGTGAATTGCAAATCCTGCTTATGGACATATATGATGTTGGAGTGTGGGATTTTAAAGTTTACTTTCTACAAACTCTCCGTAGTATATTCATGATTCAGTGTAGAATGTATAGACTTTATGTCTTCCAAGTTTAAAAAAAGAGACAGGGTCTTGGTATGTTGCCCAGACTGTTCGGAAACTCCTGGGCTCAAGTGATCCTTCCACCTCAGCCTCCCCAGTAGCTGGGACTACGGGGTCGCCACTGCACCCAGCCTGTGTCTTCCAGCTCTAATCAGAAAGCTGCTTGTCGAGGGCATGGGGAATCAAACTGAATGAACTTTTCTCTGCACTGTGGCAAAACTGTTATTTTTATGGATTTTACTAAATGGCGTTACCTTTTCAAGATTTATATGTTTGTATAATCATAAGAAAATTGAGCCATTAAAGCCTTGTTATTCAATCCTAATAGTCAGTTTTCTAGAACCTACTTTTAGGGTAAATGGTACATTATTTAATATTATATTAAACCTCCTATAGCGTGGATTGTAGACCAAAGGAAATGGTACAATTTCTGAGAATATATGTTGATTTTTTGTGACTAATTCCAAAGTTGTATTTGAAAGTATGACCTCACAGTCTTCATTTGTCCATAGCAAACATATGTGTGTGTGTGTGTATATATATATGTGGGTTGCCAATGTTTGGTTTATAATTTAAATGTTAATAGAAATTTTGAGTTTTATTGGAAATGATTTCCTTCTGAAAAGAGCTTTACGTATTTCCTTGTGTGTGTTTGAAATAGACGTACTGCTCATGTGCTTTTTTAGTAGTGGGATAAAGAAAAGGGGCTTGAGTATACCTCCTTTAGAGAGCTAATGTGAAAAGCTGTAGCTTCTATTTCAGAGCATGGTATATTTCTTTTCTTTTTTTTTTTTTTTTTTTTTTTTGAGACGGAGTCATGCTCTGTCGCCCAGGCTGGAGTGCAGTGGCGCAATCTCGGCCCACTGCAAGCTCCGCCTCCCGCGTTCACGCCATTCTCCTGCCTCAGCCTCCTGAGTAGCTGGGACTACAGGCGCCTGCCACCATGCCCGGCTAATTTTTTTTGTATTTTGTATTTTTTTTTAGTAGAGACGGGTTTTCACTGTGTTAGCCAGGATGGTCTCGATCCCCTGACCTCGTGATCCACCTGCCTCGGCCTCCCAAAGTGCTGAGATTACAGGCGTGAGCCACCGCGCCCGTCCAGAGCATGGTATATTTCTTTCCTCTCGAAATGGATAGTTAAATTATTTGTGTGAGTGAATGGTATTAGGATTTTCCTGCGGATACAGTAGACTTTTATTGAGATTCAAATCTATTTTATAAGGTGGCCCTCCTAAATAGTAGATGCTAAAAAAGCATACAGCTTAGGTTGCTTTTGTGTCATTTGCAGTGTCATCAAAGATCTTTGAGGTTCATAGAGTAGCTGTATTTTCATTTAGCTGTGTGTTGTGAAGAATCTGATCATGTAATCTTGCACCTAGCTTTCGTGGACCTTCATTGTCACATATTTACGTTTTTTATTCAGGTGGTTCATTGACGACAAATTAAGGAACTCTGAATGTAGAAGCTGAAAGAACAAGTAACCTACATTTAATATTCAGCAACTGCTGGTACCCCTATAAGTAATTCATGTGTTTCGATGACATAGTCACTGAATATGAAAATATCCTTACATAACAAAACATTGCTAAAAGATTTTTCACTTAAAGTTAACATTCAAAAGCAGTAATTAGGGGCCGGGCGCGGTAGTTCACAAGCACTTTGAGAGGCTGAGGCAGGCGGATCACAAGGTCAGGAGATCGAGACCATCCTGGCTAACATGGTGAAACCCTGTCTACTAAAAATACAAAAAAAAAAAAAAAAAATTAGCCAGGCATGGTGGTGGGCGCCTGTGGTCCCAGCTACTCAGGAGGCTGTGGCGGGAAAATGGTGTGAACCCGGGAGTCGGAGCGGAGATGACGCCACTGCACTCCAGCCGGGGCGACAGAGCAAGACTCTGTCTGAAAAAAAAGAAAAAAGAACTAATATCCACCTATCCACCTTGGCACTCCCACAATGCATATTCCCAGTGCTCTGTCCATCCCCACTGCTACCCAACCCATCCAAGCCACTGGCATCTCTCCTGGGCCACTCAACAGCCTCTTAAGTGGTCTCCTGCTTCCCCTTCCCCGCTCCAAGCCACTCCCGCATGTAACACATCAGCCAAAGGGGTCTTTAAACAACATAAATCAGACATATTGGGCTTTGCCTAAAGCTCTCATTAGCTTCTCTTCATATTAGAATAAAGCCCAATTTCTGTTCTCTGGCTTGAGGTGGCTCCTGCCCCCTTGCTCACTCCCCTGCAGCCTTCCCTTGACCTCGAAAGATGCCCCATAGCATCTTTCATATGAGGATATGGAAAGGGGACATATGAACTGTCCCCTTCATAGCGCTTGTTACAGTTTGTGAAATGTGTTTGTGTCATTATCTGATGACTGTCTGCCTTACTCACCTGGAGTAACAAGTGGATGTTAGCTGCATCCACTTGGCTGCATGCTCAGCAAGCAGGTAGCACATCCCTGGTACACTCACATATCTGTGCAATAAGCGATTGTCAGAGTGACTGAGTGAATGAACGACTACACAAAATGTAGGCACTCCATAAGGAATGCGAGACAGAAAGGCAGACAGGAGAATTCAGTCAGACTAAGGGCTGGCTCAGAAATCAAGCACCATGGGAAGACTAGGACACAAAGAAAAACAAGATGTGATTCTTTCCCAAGAGCTGGGCAGGCCAGTGGGTGAGAAAGTCAGACGCCCAATCCAGTTGAGTCCAACCTAAGGTTCAGTCAAACACCACACAGACATTCCCGTGGGCTCCAATGGGGCTTTGTTCCTAATCGTGCCCTGGGATGTTGATACAGAACTTACAAAACTATCCTTCTAAGAAGACTCCTTTTATGTGCTGAGAAGTTATCCAGATTCAGGCACAGTGGCTCATGCCTGTATTCCCAGGGCTTTGGGAGGCCTAGGCCAGAGGATCACTGGAGGCCAGAAGTTCGAGGCCAGCCTGGGCAACATAGTGAGACCCCGGCTCTACTAAAAATACAAAAATTAGCCAGGCACGGTGGCTCGTGCCTTGTAGTCCCAGCTACTCAGGAGGCTGAGGCAGGAGGATCACTTGAGCCCAGGAGTTCAAGGCTGCAGTGAGCTGTGATCACGCTACTGTCCTCCAACCTGGGTAACAGAGCAAAACCCTGTCTCAAAAAAAAAAAAATTAATTTAATTAAAAAAACCACAAACCACCATTTCCCAAAGTGACTGAAACCATTTGACCCACTAATGGAGAATGAGAGCGTCTCCTCTATACTGTTCATGGTCCAAGGGAAGCAAGGGTTCCAGCGGTCGGGTGTGAGCCCGTGGGAGGGAACTTGGTCATCAGGAAGGATGCGAGGACCCTCTGGCTGTGGGGTGTGGGGTCCGCGGTGGCTGCAGAGACTGGTCCCCCCACACCAGGGGGCGCTGCAGGAGCGGGAAAGGCCTGAAAACAGCTGGTCCAGCCCCTGTCCTCGGGAAACTAAAGCCTTATATCCTGCCACGGTCACTGGGCACTGGAAATTCAGAGCCCCAAGATCCTGTCCATGCTCGAGGGGCTCCCAGTGTGCAGACAGAGTGGGGACGGCAGCTGCAGCCCAAGGCACAGTGGCTATATTTGCATGGGGGTAGGAGGGGAGGAAATTAGGTGAGGGAGGCAGACAGGGTGCTAATTTGGACGTGCCCTGTCTGGTGGGGGCAGAAGACAAGGCCTGTTTATGTCCACCTGGCTCTTATCTCTCCCCGAAAGGAGCACGATCATTTATTTATGTACAGTTTGTCTGTCTCCCCAACGAGGAGGAAGATTGTGGTGTTTTTCCATTTTGTCCACTCTGAATCCGTGACACCTGGTACCAGGCACCTAGCACAGAGAAGGCAC
This sequence comes from Homo sapiens, assembly GCF_000001405.40. Classification (NCBI taxonomy): domain Eukaryota; kingdom Metazoa; phylum Chordata; class Mammalia; order Primates; family Hominidae; genus Homo; species Homo sapiens. The sequence goes on from NC_000004.12 coordinate 6,720,890, forward strand.
TGAAAACGTACCCACTGAGGGAATGACAGGGACATTGAGGATGAGCAGGTGCTGGCAAGGAGAGCAGGGAGGGTTTCAGGGCCCACAGGCTGCTCCCCCGTCAGCCCAGCTCCCGCCTCCCTTGGCCAGGGCCTGTGGATGCGTCTTCCTCCAACCTTCCCCCTTCCTCCCTGCTCCATCCTTACGCTCTAGATGCGGCTCATAAACAAGATATCATCGGACTTGACTCTCCTTGTCTGACCTGACAAGCATTTGTTTCATAGTAGGCGCACTCAGTCCGCTGAACCTTCATGGATCAACTCCGGCATCTGAGTGCTGTTCCCGAGTCACACCTGCCCTGTGCTCCTTTTCTTCCCAGTTCACCCTGGCTGCTGGGATCCAAGGCCTCTGGGGTCCCAAGCAAAGGGAGACATTTACCAGCGCACACCCCCCACCAACTCCGTCAAAAACATCGCCCAGGGCCCCAGTGTCCGCCCGAATCACCAAATGTCTCTGAGGTGGAAACAGCCCCAAACATCAGGCCACCCCAGGCCTGTGTCATTCCTGAGACCCTGGTCCAGGAGCTCTTCAGATGCTGGCAGCCTGCTAGTGCCTTCAAGCAGCTCTCTCGCTCTCTCTCTCTCTCTCTCTCACTCACCTAAAGAAGACAACCTATTACTTTAGGTGTGCAGAATAATTTTACTCTTTTTTTTTTGTCTCAATCTGAGACTTGTACTGGAAAACCCAGAAAACCCATTTCAGTGTTTTCTCATGTTAAAAAAAAAATGCAAAAACAAAAAACACCAGAGTTGGCTGGGCTCAGTGGCTCACGCCTGTAATCCCAGCACTTTGGGAGGCCAAGGTGGCCAGATCACCTGAGGTCAGGAGCTCGAGACCAGCCTGGCCAACATGATGAAACCCTGTCTCTACTAAAAATACAAAAATTAGCTGGGTGTGGTGGCCCACACCTGTAGTCTCAGCTACTTGGGAGGCTGAGGCAGGAGAATTGCTCGAACCTAGGAGGCAGAGGTTGCAATGAGCTGACATTGCGCCACTGCACTCCAACCTGGGTGACAAGAGCGAAACTTCATCTCAAACACACACGCACACACACACACACACACACACACACAAACACACCAGACTCCCTAAATATCTGTCGCAATTCCTAGACTTGAAAACACTTTCTGGTAGACTTTCTTAATAGAAGATTGTTTCCTGTTACACTATTAATTGAAATAAGAGCCAGCAAGATGGAAGGGGTGTGTGTGTGTGAGTGTGTCTGTGTATGTGTGTTTGCTAGTGATGTGAGAATTAGGAGTGGTTTGGAACATGCTGATTTTCAGTTTTCAACTGCCAGCACTACTGCTTTACAAACTTGTTCAGACATTCGATCCAAAATTCAAGAAAGATGGTAAATGCCAATGAGAGGGAGGGAGAAAAAACAAACTTGATATGTTGTATGTACTGCGGGATTTAGGAATGGGTTGACATACACAAGAATGCTCTAGAACAGAAGACAAATTATATAGCGTCGTGGTCAGACATGGCCCAAAGTTTTGTCCTGCCACTGCCTATCTATATAACATTAGGTGAGTTATCTCTCATCTCCAAGGCTCAGATTTCTCACCTGTAGAATGAGAAATAATAAATAGTATCTACCTCAAAAAATAAAACAGTTCAGAAAGACGTTTAAGTTGGAAATGTAATTGTTCTTATTTTCTTACTGACTTTTTGCAGTTTAGCCAGTTTTTATTATCTTTTTTCTAAAATTGTAAAATACACGTAACATAAATTACCATTTTATCCACTTTGAGAGTACAATTTACTTGCATTAAGTACATACATATTAATGCACAACCATCACCACCCATCCATCTTCAGAACCTTCTCTTCTCCCCCAAGTGAGGCTCTGTCCCCATCACACACTAGCTCTCTATTCCCCATGCCCCAGCCCCTGGCACCCCCATTCTACTTTGTGTCTCTATGAATTTGACGACTCTAGGGACCTCACAGAAGTGGAACCCTGCAGTATTCATCGTTTTGTGATTGGCTTCTACCACTGAGCATAGTGTCCTCAGGGTTCATCCACATTGTAGCCTGTGTCAGAATCTCCTTCCTTTTTAGGGCTGAATACTACTCCATGCTGTGCGTGCCCCCCTTGGCTTAGCCACTCTGTCAGTGGACCTGGGTTGCTTCCCCCTCTTGGCCGTTGCGACCAGTGAGTACGGCTGGACCCTCCAGCCCCTTCCCAGTGCAGTGCTCTGGCAGAGCCGTGAGCCCCGGCCGGGGGTCCGATGAGCGGCTGACGCCAATGGGGCCCTGGCCAGAGGTCTGATGAGCGACTGAAGCTGATGTTCCACTTGCCCAAGTCTCCCTTCCCCTCCAGCCAGGCTTGCTGGCCTGTGACCACACTTGACCCACATGACTTTCTCTTCCACTGCGACAAGTTACTTCCCAGTGGGCTCCTGGCCTCACACAAGGAGAGCCTGGTGAGCAGCTCAGCGGCGCCCAGGGGTAGCCACGCTTATCTACATCCCGGTCAAAGCCTCCATCCTAACTCATCTCCCCCTCTCCCGTTATTCCCAGGCCATGAGGAGGGAGTGAGAGGCGCTGCTTTGTAGAGAGGGACCAGTTCAGGCCAAGCAAGGCATTTAGGCTTCACCCCAAGAGCCCTGGAGAGCACCTGGGGCCCAAGACCAGGTGCGAAGGAGTTGGGCTCTGCAGCCAGGTTGCTGGCCTCGACCCCTGCAGCCTGCAGAGCGTGGGCATCTTGTTCTGCTGATGGTTGACTTCAGGGTGTGGGAACCTCTGAGGCTTTGACAACTTGAGGCTGGCAAGGAGGACAGGGAGCAGGTGGGATCTTCAAAGACTACACCTTTAAAGACTGTGACCTTTACCCTGGGGACCACAGGAGCCACTGGGGACTTCACTGGGAGTAACTCATCAGAGTGGAGTTACACTCAGTGGCCGCCTGTTTATCCTGAGATCTGCCCGCAGGCAACAGGCCCAGTCTGCACCGCAGTCTGTACCACACTGCCACAGATCCCTAAGGCTGTCCCTGACTGAAGTTGGTGGGGGACGAGGGAGTCACCGGGTGACAGAGCATGACTGTAAGGACACACGCTCATCACAAGTATGCATTGACCCTGCTCTGTGCTTGGAACCTGCCAAAGTTCAAGCATTTCTCCACATACCCCAAGAGGGGCCTGGCCAGCTCTGCCTGATGTCAACACTGACACCCAGGCCTTGGGTCCCTGGACTTCTCGTCTCTGGGCACTGGGGGCCAGCGTGGTGCAGTTGGGAGGGTCCCCAGAGCTGAGGCCCTTGAGTGAATGATTGCAACTCTTTGGGCCTCGGTTTCCTCATCTGGAGACTGTGATGGGGACTACATGAGCTCAACAGACCACCACAAGTCTCCCGAGTACCTGCTGGGGCCAGCCTGGCATCAGGCTCTGGGGATAGGCAGATCACATGCCCTTGAGCGACAAATCCCTATGTCCTCTGCACAGCGTGACTTGGACACTCGGCCCACCCCGTGGGTCTCCTGACCATCTTCCTCTATCCTTCAGGACACTCATTCTGAAAGAAGCCAGGCACCACGCTGCAAGGAAGCCCAGGCCAGCCCACACGACAAGACAGTGCAGAGAGCCATGTGGGAGGACCCAAGGCCCCCCAGACAGCCAGCGTGGCAGCGACCCAGCCTCCATGTTCGAGCCCTAGCCTCTGAGTCATTCAGTGGAGGCCCCAAACGTCATGACACAGAGACAAGCCGTTCCCTCTGTGTCCTGCCCAAATTCCTGACCCACAGACTTTGTGAGCTGAATGAATGTGCTCTGCAGCCACAGTAACGGGAACACCCACCGTGGCCACTCTGCCCTAGCAGGGAGCAGCTCGAGGGTAGGCCAGCCGAGTTAGCACTGGCCACCGAGCCAGCACCAGCAGGGCCAGAGGGACACGTGTGGGGCTGGACTGCTCAGAGGATACAGCATGGGCAACAATGAGGAGTCAGCGAAGACGGCCTTGGGCCTCGGCCTTGGCAGAGCCCTGGCAGAGCGGGCAAAGGAAGCTGCCAGGTGCATCAGGCGAGGGAGGGAGCCCCAGGAAAGGAAAGCCTGCACAGACAGGGGGGTGGGGACCTGCCCAGGTGCCTGGGGGCACTGTCAGAGCACCACGTGCCAAGGAACACGTGGGAGCGGGGTGGCAGGGAGAGGCTGCTCCTGGGGCCTTGGCTTGCAGTGTGTCACCAGGAAGGTGTTCAGTTAGAGGAAGACAAAGGGGAGGACAGGCTGGGGACAGTGGACGGGGGCATTGCCGCTCTGTCATCACTGGGTCCACCTTTGAGGGGCTGGGAAGACCAGGGCCCCCCGAATCCGGGGCTCGGCTCCACATCCTGCCCACCAGCCTGCCAGGGATGGACCAAACTCCAGGAGGCCCCGACACGTGAAGGAAACAGTGGTCGGAAGAGCAGGCACCCAGCTCAGGGCACTGGCAGGCAGGGCCCCGGGACTGCTTCTCCACCAGCTGCTGTGAGTGAGCCTGGTGGCCTACCCCTGCTGTCCTGGCCAGGTCGAATTTTTGGATGTGCCTTGGAACAACTAGGCAGCATGTGCACACACACGCACGCACGCACATCACACACATCACACATGCATGCACACACATCACACACAATCATACCACACACACACGCACACACATCACGCACATCACACACGCATGCACACACACCACACACAATCATACACACACGCATGCACACACATCACACACAATCATACCACACACATGCACACACATCACACGCAATCATACCACACACATGCACACACATCACACGCAATCATACCACACACATGCACACACGTCACACACATCACACACAATCATACCACACATGCGTGCACACACATCACACACATCACACACAATCATACGACACACACATGCACACACATCACACACAATCATACCACACACGCATGCACACAACACACAATCATACCACACACGCATGCACACACATCACACACAATCATACCACACACACATGCACACACATCACACACAATCATACCACACACGCATGCACACACATCACACACAGTCATACCACACACACATGCACACACATCACACACAGTCATACCACACACACATGCACACACATCACACACAATCATACTACACACACATGCACACACATGCACACACATCACACACAATCATACCACACACGCATGCACACACATCACACATAATCATACCACACACGCATGCACACACATCACACACAATCATACCACACACGCATGCAGACACAACACGTACACATGCATGCATGCATGTGTATCACACACATTACACCACATATCACACATGCACACACAACACACATCATGTACACACACGCCACATACCACACACACAAACATTATGCACATATGCATCCCACACATGCCTCACACACACAACGTACCACACACACACACACACACACTGTGGTGATAAAATACATGGGCATGGCATTCAGGCAGAGATTGGTTCCATCCCTGTTCCATTTTTTTTTTTTTTTTCGGAGATGGAGTCTCGCACTGTCACCCTGGCTGGAGTGCAGTGGCGTGATCTTGGCTCACTGCAACCTCTGCCTCCCAGGTTCATGTAATTCTCCTGCCTCAGCCTCCCAAGTAGCTGGGATTACAGGTGCCCCCCACCATGCCCAGCTAATTTTTTGTATTTGTAGTAGAGATGGGGTTTCACTATGTTGGCCAGGCTGGTCTTGACCTCCTGACCTCGTGCCCACCTCAGCATCCCAAAGTGCTGGGATTACAGGCGTGAGCCACCACATCCAGCCTCCTGTACCATTATTTTACTAGCTGTGAATTTGGGCAAGTTACTGGTGCTCTCTGACCCTCAGTCTTTTTATCTGCAGAATGGGGTTACTCAAGGCACCTACTTTCTGAAATTGTTGGAGAGTCCTTGAGCTCAGGGGGCGAGGAGGACAGAGTTTTGTGAGGCACTATTCACCTTTCAGTGGAAACATTTTTAATTTTGTTTCTGTCCTGGGGGAGGAGGAGAGAAGGAAGACTGGGGGTAAGTTCTCCCACGTAAGACAGCTTCCTATGGACGATGAATTTAGACTCGCCGCATCTGTGCATGCTCGTGTGGCCTCCCAGAGCCCGGGTGGCAGATGGGTGGCCTGGCGTGAGCATTCTTCGTTTCAGGCTGTGCCGGGCCTCCCCTTAATAAAGACCTGTTTCTTCCCGGCTGCACTCTTGGCCCAGCCACCAAGGCTCAATGAGCTATTCTGAGCTCCCGGCCTGCCCGCCGTGGACACACTCGGGCCTTCTGTTTGCCCACGGCCGCCCTGTGGGGCTTTCATAAAGCAGCCCTGTTCTCTCTCCCACCGCGCAGCCGCCTGCTCCTTGGGGCCTTCTTAGGGAGGAGGCCGTGCCAGCCCGGGAGCCGGGGGCGTGGGGAGGCTGCGCTTTGCTGGCTTCCAGGAAGACGCACACGCTGTGTGTGGCCAGAGACCGGGGCACCTCTTTGTTGGCGGCCCCATTGACTTAGGGGCGATTTGTTAGGGGTAAGACACGTGTTCGGCGAGCAGGCTGCTGCTGCTCACTCCCTTGAGAGAGGGCAGGCCTCCCTCTGGGATGCACGCTCACCAAGGCCACAGGGTGCCGGGCCTTTGCACGAGCTGTTCCTCTGATCTTCCTGGGGTGGCCTCCTCCTCGTTCCCCCACTCCCCTCCTCCCCTTCCCCCTCCTCCTCCCCCTCCTTCTCCTCCCCTCCCCCTCCTCCCCCTCTCCTGTCCTCCTCCCCTTCCTTCCCCCACCCATCCTCCCCCTCCCCTCCCCTTCCTCCCCGTCCACCTCCCCTGCCCCTCCTCCCCATCTCCTGTCCCTCCTCCCCCTCCTGTCCCCTTCCTTCCCCCTCCCCTCCCCTCCTCCCCCACCCCCTCCCCTCCTCCCCCACCCCCTCCCCTCCTCCCCCACCCCCTCCCCTCCCCTCCCCCTCTCCTCCTTGCCTAAGCTTAAGTTTTCTTGTTTCCTGTCTCTGTAGTCTCATCGGTCTTGTTGGAGTTCCTCTGTGTATTTGTCCTTGTCTCGCCCCTCTAGAGGGTATGTTTCCCAGGATCAAGGAGGCGTCCGTCTTGTTCACATCCATTCCCCAGACCCCACACAGTGCCTGACTCAGAGGAAGCCACAATCAAGATCTGTTAGATGAATGAATGAACTAACTAACCATGCAATTAAGAAGTAAATCTATGAATCCATGAAGCAATGATTCACTAGATCAATTACTTAATGAGACCAGGGGACATAGGCAGGAGAGAGACTGAGTTTCCCCTTTAGCAGGAATCCTTGCCATACACATATATACATATTTGATCATCTGATCTTCCGCATTCACCTCTAAGCCCTTCCAGAGCAGTGGTGGGGCAGGCTCCTCTCCAGGGTACCCAGAACGCACCATCAGCCCCAGGCCTGGCACACACCGCTGCTCGATGAACCTTGATTTAATGAATATGCCAAGGCCAGTCCCATGGCCTCTCATCCATTTTTGGGGTCACCCTGGCTTTGTCCCACCTCAAGACCTTCACACCTGCTGTTCCCTGGGCCTGGAATCCTGCCCCTGGCTTTTTCACGTGAAGATCGCCCTCCGCTGGAACACCCACTTCCCTGGGCAGCTGCCCCGCCGCATTTGGATCGTCCTCCGCTGGAACACCCACTTCCTTGGGTGGCTGCCCCCGCCACATTAGGAGCTGCTTCCCTGGAATTCTCTGTCCAGTGCCTGCATAGCTCCTTTCTAGACCTCACTGATGGAGCTAATGCTTATTTACCTATTTCCATTAGACTTGGAGCACCCCGGGGCCAGGACCTGTCCTGCCCTGCTTGCCCTGTGTCCTCAGTTCCCAGGACAGTGTGGGCTCCCAGGACTTGTTGAGTGAGCACTTCTTGTTAAGTAAACTAACAAGTGGACCAACAAGAGCAGAAAGCTGATTGTGTGTCCATTTTACAGTGGAGGACAGTGGCCTGCATCCAACACAGGGAATGCCGCAGTCACGGAAGTTGTCAGAGATACAGACACTAGAATCCCGTCCTCCACTCATTCATGCAACAGGTTTTCATCCAGTGCCTGCTGCCTGCAGAGATGGCCCTGTGGCAGGGTGCAGCCCAGGGAGGGGGGGCAGGCCATGAGAAGGGCTTCCATGGAGGCAGGGACAGAGGCCAGGTGCAGAGCCCACTACTCCCTGGGGAGGGGTGGTCAGGGAAGCCTCCCTGGGGGAGGCGAGGCAGTCCTGGAGTGGAGTCCCAAGAAAGGAACTGCCGTTCAGCAGTGGGTGAGAGCCAGGCAAGCAGTGCGCATAAAGGGAGGACCTCGAGGGGCTGTGGAGCTGACCTCCAGCCCAGCAGGGTGGGTGCGGGGATGAGGCCTGGATCTGCTCTGTGCAGGCTCAGGAACCGGGGTCACTAGTGGAAGCCCAGGAGGATCTGTTTTATGTCAATATAAAGGAACGTTTCCCAGAGGCAGAGCCATGCAAATAGAATGAACTTTCTGAGGAAGGAGTGAGCTCTCCATTCCTGGGGTTATGTAAGCTGTGATGCTGGAGAGGGATGAGGGGTTCGCCTAGACAGAAACCCTGTAAAATCCCTTCTGATCTAAAAAATCTATATTGAAAAGTGTCTAATGCAGGCAGAAGAGGTACTTATCAGATAATATCAACATAATTTTCATACAAATATGCATAAAGGTGATCATTACAGAGATTTTTTATGGAATGCAAAAAACCCATCTCATAAATCCCACTTTTAGAGAGTTTCTCAGGCAATCAACGCATGAGTATTCAGACACTTGGCTAAAATCACTGCAGTGGTGTTTGTAACAGAGGAAAATTGGAAACAATCCGAATGTTAACTTATATGTTTATTTTCTGTCTCCCCTCTAAGCTGCAAGCTCTAAGAGGGTAGACCTTGTCCGTCTCATTGGCAGCTCTGTCCTTCAGATGCAGTGGATAGAAGAGATAGAATGTGCTCTTTGTTTCATTTTTTAAATTTTGTTTTCTCACTGCCTATTCTGTGAACCTATGTACTCTTTTTTTAAAAGTATAACTTGGCCAGGCGTGGTGGTTCACGGCTGTAATCCCAGCACTTTGAGAAGCCAAGGTGGGCGGATTGCTTGAGGCCAGGAGTTTGAGACCAGCCCGGCCAACACAGTGAAACCCTGTCTCTACGAAAAATACAAAAATTAGCCAGGCATGGTGGTGCACACCTGTAGTCCCAGCTACTCGGGAGGGTGAGGCATGAGAATCGCTTGAACCTGGGAGGCGGAGGTTGCGGTGAGCCTAGATTACACCACTGCACTCCAGCCTGGGCAAAATAGTGAGACTCTGTCTCAAAAAATAAATAAATAAAAAATAAAAAAAGTGATAAAAGTATAACTCTACTGATGAGAAACAGAGTTCATCCAAACGTTATTATAACAGCAGTTGTTTCTGGGTGATGGATCGAAGATTATTTTTATTTTGTTCTTTATGTTGCACTGAGTTTTTCATGCTATCTACAATAGACACACACGATGTTTGTAATGTGAAAAATTTTTGAGAAAAAACAAAATGACATCAGAGTTAAAAAAAAAAAAAAAAAGCAGGAAAGAAAAACGACTTCATTTGCTGAGCTCCGAGAATGGATTTTTTAAAGTCAAACAAAATCGTTTAAGATTTTCTCTAAATGCCCTTAGTGGTATCTTCTTGCCATCTGGCTAGGATCACACGAGAACAACCCAACTCGTTTGGGGAAGAAAATTGTCTTCAGTGTCGCAGTAGCCACCTCTAAACTCGCCTCCTCCACCCAGGGTGTTTTGTCGTAGCCTACCGTGGGCGTGGACTTGACATTTATCTGGGCTCACAAGCCTGCAGGGCTGTCTGGGTGTCCCAAAGCCACTTCTGCTCAAGGCAGATAACTGCCAAAGAAATAACTCTGCCAGCGAAGAATCTGCCTTTGAATCTGTCTTCCCAAACAAGCAAGCTCTCTCAATGTTCAGGAGAAAACAGCTCGCTCGCTCTGAGTTGTTCGAATTTGTGGAGCTCTCCAGTTCTTGGGGCCCAAAGGGATTCAGCCTCCTGGCGGGGTTGGGATCGAAGCTACCTATTAGAAGTCACTGCTCACCATCTGTCACCCTGGGGAAGTAGAGCGGTTCCCAGCCACTGGACATGTGCAAGCCGAGGGTGGGCCACCCTTTGTCAGAGAGCTTGTAGCGGAAGTGCGATCATCAGATGGGGGTGGGGGCGGGTCTTATTGCCTCCAATGGCCAGGTGACAGGGCCTTTGCTCAGAGGGGTGAAATTCGCCAGGGTCTCCTAGTCTACCCAGTAAATCTGGGCTGCCCTAATTATAGCCTCCCCACTGCGCTTACTGGTAGCATTTTGTACAAGATGTTAGGGTTGCCTAGAGGAGGAAGGGGACCCTTTGGGAGAGACAAGGGGCTCTCACCCTCTGGTTCCACAATGACAGCACGGTATTCGCCAGTTCAGGGTCCCTGCCCCTGGAGCTCATGCCTGTAGCCGCCCCGTCCCACAGACAGAAGCACACACAGGCGCCTCTCCTCATGTGCAGCTGGCTCTGAGATTCATGGAACAAGAAGAGCCAACTCCTAGGAGGAGGCCAGTTCAAATTCTGCCTTTTTCCGGCTGTGTACTCTTGGAGAAGTTACACACCTCTCTGAAAAATTGTTGAAAGTAAACTTACTGCACAGGACACTTTCTGTGCTCAGTTATGTCTGCCGAGTTCAGCTGGCGTGCAGGCACTGCCACAGGCCCCGAGAAAAGAACGGGGTGCAGAGCAGGGGCTGCTTTCAGGGACCCGCCGTGCTAGTGAAGGTGGAACGGTAAAGAGGGTCCCGGGTTTAAGGGCGCGGGCAGTGATGGGAGCACAGACCCAGTGAGGCAGGGGAGGGTGAGGGAGGCCTTCTGCAGAGGGGGTACCCTGCAGACAGAGTCAGGGAGAGATCAAGAGACGGGGATGGCCAGGAGGGCACAGGGCTCACTGGCCAGGCAACATCGCCATTATTTCTGTTATTATGACTTCTCCTGCTGAGGCACAGAGAGGGTAAGACACCTGCCCAGGGACACCCTGTTAGAAGGTGGCAGGGCCAGGACTCAGCCGCAGGCCTGTCTGGGGGCCCCCATGCACACGGTGCACTGGTCTTCAATGGGTGCACAGGTGGGATCTCTTTTCTTTTCTTTTCTTTCCTTTCCTTTTCTTTCTTTTTTTTTAGATGGAGTCTCACTCTGTCACCCAGGCTGGAGTGCAATGGTACGATCTTGGCTCACTGCAACTTCCATCTCCTGGGTCCAAGCGATTCTCACCTCAGCCTCCAGAATAGCTGGGATTACAGGCGCATGCCACCACGCCCTACGAATTTTTGTATTTTTAGCAGAGACAGGGTTTCACCATGTTGACCAGGCTGGTCTTGAACTCCTGACCTCAAGTGATCCACCTGCCTTGGCCTCCCAAAGTGCTGGGAATACAGGCATCAGCCACCGCGCCCATGGGTAGGATCATGGGTAGGATCTCTGATCCTCCCGGTTCATGGATCTCCAGATATTACGCTCCAAATCCACCTTCTGCTTTCTTGACATCAAACCTAAGAAACAAGGGCCCACGACACTTTCTGCTTAAGCCTAAAGTGCTGGTAACCAGAAGGGACCCCGAGGGGACCCCCAGGTCTCTCTGCATCCTGAGGGGCTGCCGCTGTGGTTTCTCCCCAGTGCTGGGGACGGGGGGCCCTGTCTGACCTAGTGGCTTCTCATGAAGGTGCCCTTCCAGAGAGCCAAGCACCGAATTGGGCCAGCCCAGGTGGTCACTCGGCTCTGCTGAGGCCTGCTTGGATCTCAGGGTGACTGGCCCCGTCAGGGTGACTCAGCTGTTCTTGCAGCTGGGCGTGGGCTGATGGCTGGGAGCTCTCCAGGCAGCCCGCAGTGGCCAGGCCGCAGGAAGGCAGGCGGGAGCAGCCCGGGAGGACTCACCAAGTTCTTATTTTGCTTTTAAAGCCTCCAGCTCCTGGCCCAGGGAGCCAGGTACAGTCAACCTGTTGGAAAAGTGCCTCCTTCTCAGGGAAGCCTCGGGCATGGGAAAAAGCTAGGATGCTCAGAACCAAACAGGAACTGAAAGTCAGCCCAGCCAAGTCCTTCATTTCACAGCTGAGGAAACTGAGGCCCAGAGAGGCTGACCTGCTTGGGGTCACGCACACGTAGGGTGGTGCAGGCCTGTGATCTTTGCACTGGGCCCCCAGACCTCTCTGGAGAGACGTCACACTCCTCAGAACCAGCAAGCTGCTGGGTGATGCCACAGGACTCCCTGAAAAACCGGCCCGTTGAAGACCAGCACAGGGTGGGCAGGAGGGTCCCCAGACGGACCTGAGGCCCAGTCCTGGCCCTGCCAGTTTCTAACAGGGTGGCCCTGGGCAGGTGTCTTACCCTCTCTAGGCCTCAGTCTCCCCTCTGGCCACCTGCTGGGATCTCCAGGGGAGTTCAGTGAGTGGCAGTGTGCGGTCAGCCCGGTGCACACGGGGTTCCCTCTGTGCTCACCAAACCTCAGAGGAGGTGGCCCTGGAGCCTTGAAGAAGAGGACGCCTCCTGCCTGCCGCTGCTGGGGGAAAGCCCACCTGGCCCTCCGACGCACATATACACACGGACAGGACAGCTTGAGAGCACGCGGAGAATTTGCTTCTCCTGAGAGCAGGCTGGAGTTCAGGGGTCAGAGCGGGTGAATTTGGGCTTTCCCTCTGCAAAACTCACGTGTGAAACCCACTCATTTGTGCAACAAATATTTGCCGAGTGCTTGCTGTGTACAAGGTCCTGCCCCAGGGCGGGAGACAGAGCCATGACCAAAGCAAACAGAATCCTGCCCCATCGTCCTTACTTCCAGAGGGCGGGATCATCAACAAGAGTCACAAATGATCAAACGCACATGGGGAGTAAATAGTGATTGCGGAGCAGGGATCGGAGAGGGATCGGTGCCAATGAGAAAAGAGTTGAGCAGAGCAAGGGACTAGGAAGCGACGGGGATGGGAATTTTAGAGGGGACCCAGAAAGGACCAGCCCGAGCAGGTGACCTCTGAACACAGAGAGGAATGAGGTGAGGGCACAAGCCATGACGGTTTCTGCAGGAAGAACTTTCCAGGTGGGGGAACAGCCCCTGCAAAGGCCCTGAGGCAGGAGCCCCGTGTAACAGCAGCTCCAGCGAGCAAAGGACGGAAGGAGGGGATGAGGGGAGGAGGTGGAGGACACCATGTGTGGGTGTGGATTGGGAGAGAGGACCGCCCTTCCTCATCTGTGGTGTCGGCTTGTTCTGTTTCAGGGTGATAGAATTGCTCAGCCTCCACGAGGTAGGAAATCCCAGAAGACAAGGAGGTCCATGAAGCGGGGGATGAGAATCCCACCAGTTTGAAACGTGCCACGTTGGTGACGCTCCTTCCTTGAGGCTTCTTTGTCCCCCTCCCCAACCTCATTTCACACTCTGCTCCTCACACAATAGAGTCTCAGAAGGCCATGGCCACAAAGGGTCAGGGCACCAGCCTTGGGACAAGACCCAAATCATCAACCAGATGTCACAGCTGCTGACCCTGGCCTCACCCAGCCGCCCTCTGCCTTGCCTCCTGCGCCCACCCCAAGCCTTGACAAGAGCTGTTCCCTCCATTAGGAACGTGCTCCCTTCACTGTCCGCCCGCAGAGGTGCACATCTTCCGGGTCTCACACGTGGTGATGACTCAGACAACTCAGCCAACTACTCATTGACTGAATGAATACATTCACAGTTGTGTCTCCAGGGTCCTCAACTGATTCCATACATTAGCTGCGTACCTGCCGTGTACCATCCCTCTTTCTCAGATTTTCAGTCAGCAATCAGGAGACCTGGGTTTCAGCTGCGTGACTTGGAGCAAGTCACGTGTCTTCTCTGGCCCTCAATTACAATCAAATCTTTCAGAGCTGGAAGGGATCGTAGAGTTCTCCAGTCTAAGCCCTTGCCCGATGCATGGGACAGCTCTGCTGCATCCACGTTCTGTCATGACCCAGTCTCTCCTTGTTCACCTCCAGAGACAGGGAGTTCACTACCAAACTCCCAAGAAGGTTCACTCCTGGGTATCTTCCAGAGTCAATGAAGATCCCTCAGACTGGAAAAGGCGTAGGCATTAGCAGACCTGGTTCAGATCATACTTCTAGCTCTATGACCTTGGGCACGTCACTTAACCTTTGTGAGCCCAAGGTTTACTATCCGTAAAACGAGGATCATAATGTTTTCTGTTGGAGTTGTCTCAAGGATCAAGCAAGATGGCCAGGAAGTGCCCGGCACACTGTAGACTCCGGAGACATTTAAGAGATGTCAAATATACACTAAGGAGCTCCACGTCCTGATTACTACAGCACTTCCCAGGACCTAGACTCTGCGTCGTTCCAGGTGAAGGGGCTGGGAGGGGAGGGCTGGTTGAAGGTGGTTGTCTGCAGGCCCTGGCAAGGTAGCACATCCTAGGAGGAGGCCGTAATGAAGACAAGGTCAGAATGGTGTAAGAAAGAAACTAGATACATAAATGATAGATAGGTAAATATTTTGTTATTGTGGTCAGATATACAAGCCTTAAAAATTTACCATTTTAACCATTTTAAGTGTAGCATTCTAGGGACCTTAAGTACATTCACAGCCAGGCACAGTGGCTCGTGCCTGTAATCCCAGCTGAGGTGGGAGGACCACTTAAGGCCAGGAGTTCAAGGCCAGCTTGGGCAACACAGTGAGACCTTGTACAAAAAAATAAAAACTAGCTGGGCCTGGTGGCACACACCTTTGGCTCCAGCAACTCAGGAAGCTGAGGTGGGAGGATCATTTGAACCTAGGAGCTCGAGGCTGCAATGAGCTATTATCACACTACTGCACTCCAGCTGGGGCAACACAGCAAGACCCAGTCTCTGAAAAAAAAAAATGTAAGTACATTCACAGGCCAGGTGCAGTAGCTCATGCCTGTAATCCCAGCACTTTGGGAGGCCAAGGCGGGCAGATCACCTAAGGTCAGGAGTTTGAGACCAGCCTGGCCAACATGGCAAAACACCATCTCTACTAAAAATACAAAAATCAGCCAGGCATGGTGGTGCATGCCTGTAATCCCAGCTACTCAGGAGGCTGAGGCACGAGAACTGCTTGAGCCCAGGAGGTGGAGGTTGCAGTGAGCCGAGATTGTGCCACTGCACTCCAGCCTGGGCGACAGAGCGAGACTCTGTCTCAAAAAAATAAAAAATAGGCCAGGCACAGTGGCTCATGCCTGTAATCCCAGCACTTTGGGAGGCCAAGGTGGGTGGATCACGAGGTCAGGAGATTGAGACCATCCTGGCTAACACAGTGAAACCCCATCTCTACAAAAAATACAAAAAGTTAGCCAGGCGTGGTGGCGGGCGCCTGTAGTCCCAGCTACTTGGAAGGCTGAGGCAGGAGAATGGTGTGAACCCGGGAGGCAGAGCTGGTGGTGAGCTGAGATCGCGCCACTGCACTCTAGCCTGGGCGACAGAGCGAGACTCCATCTCGAAAATAAACAAACAAATAAATAAAATAAATTAAAAAGTACATTTACAGTGTTGCGCAGCCATCACCTCCTCACCCATCTCCCGAACTTGTTCAATTTCCCCAACTGAAACTCTGTCCCCATTAACCACTAACACTCATTCCTCTCTCACCCAGGCCCTGGGACCCACCATTCTACTTTTTATCTTTATGAATTTGACAACTCCAAGAACCTCATGTAAGTGGAATCCTGCAGTATTTGTTCTTTTGTGACTGGCTTGTCTCATTTAGCATAATGTCTTCAAGGTTCATTCATGTTGTAGCATGGGTCAGAATTTCCCCCTTTTTTTTTCTTTGAGAGAGGGTCTCACTCTGTCACCCAGGCTGGCATGATCTCAGCTCACTGCAGCCTCAACCTTCTAGGCTCAAGCAATCCTCCCATCTCAGCCTCTGGAGTAGCTGGGACTACAGGCGCTCACTACCACAAATGGCTAATTTTTATTTTTTTGTAGAGATTGGGTTTCCCCATGTTGCCCTGGCTGGTCTCGCACTCCTGGGCTCAAGCCATCCTCCCTCCTTGGCCTCCCAAGGTGCTGGGATTACAGGCGTGAGCCACGATGCTGGGAGTGATTTTCCTCCTTTTTAAGGCTGAATAACATTCTAGTGTGTGAATATACTACATTCTGCTTATCTATTCATCTGTCAATGGACATTTGGGTGTTTCCACATTTTGGTTACGGTGAATGATGCTGCTGTGAGCAGGGGTATACAAATATCTATTTGAGTCCCTGATTTCAGTTCTTTTGGCTATATGCCCAAAAGCAGAATCGCTGGATCATATGGTAACTCTGTGTTTAATTTTTAAAATTTTTAAATTTTTTGTAGAGACAGGGTCTCGTTATGTTGCCCAGGCTGGTCTTGAACTCAAACAATTCTCCTGCCTCAGCCTCCCGAAGTGCTGGGATTACAGGCATGAGCTACCACATGCAGCTTGTTTTTTTTGAGGAACTGCCATACTCATTTCTACAGTGGGAGCACCATAGAACACTGCCACCAGCTATGCTAGCACCAGGTATTTCTCCCTATCTTCAGTTTTATTTTCCCCATATCTTCACCAACACTGGTAATTTTCTGTGTTTGTTTGTTTGTTTGTTTGTTTGTTTTTACAATAGCCATCCTAATGGTTGTGAAGCACTATCTCATTGTGGTTTTGATTTGCGTTTCCCTAATGATCAGTGATGTTGAGCATCTTTTTATGTGCTTATTGGCCATTTGTATATCTTTGGAGAAAAGTTCTTTGTCCATTTCTTAATTGCTTTTGTTGTTGTTGTTGTTTTTGAGAGGGAGTCTTGCTCTGTCGCCCAGGCTGGAGTGCAGTGGTGCAATCTCAGCTCACTGCAACCTCTGCCTCCGTGGTTCAAGCAATTCTCCTGCTTCCGCCTCCCAAGTAGCTGGCATTACAGGTGCCTGCCACCATGCCCAGCTAGTTTTTGTATTTTTAGTAGAGACGGGGTTTCACCATGTTGGTCAGGCTGGTCTCGAACTCCTCACTTCAAGTGATCCACCCACCTCGGCCTCCCAAAGTGCTGGGAGGGGTTACAGGCGTGAGCCAACGCTTCTGGCCCATTTCCTAATTGGGTTGTTTGTTTTTTGTTGTTGAGTGGTTGTTCTTTATATATTCTGGATATTAATCTCTTATCTGATATGTGATTTGCAATCTTTTTCTCCCATTCCATGGGTTGCCTTTTCAGTGTGTTAATAGTGTCCTTTGATGCACAAAGTTTTTAATTTTGATGAAGTCCAGTTTATCTATTTTTTCTTTTGTTGCCTGTGCTTTGGTGTCATAGCCAATAAATCATTGCCAGATTCAATATCATGAATCTTTTCCTCTATGTTTTCTGCTAAGAGTTTTATAGTTTCAGCTCATACATTTAGATCTTTGATCCATTTTTAATAATTTTTGTACAGGGTATAAACTGAGGGTCCAGTTTTACTCTTTTACATGTGAATACCCAGTTTTCTCAACACCATTTGTTATAAAGACTATCCTTTAGCCCATTGAATGGTCTTGACACTTTAGCTAACGTTCATTGGAAAAAGTCATTGAAAAAATTTTAATATATATAATATATAACTATTATATATAATAATATATAATTATTTTATATAATATATAATTATTGTACATAACAATATATAAATATATATAATATATATTAATATATTATATATTTAAATATATATTATATACATTTATATATATATTAAAAAAATACTGGGATCTTTATTCTATCCCATTGATTTATATGTCTGTCTTTATATCAGTATCACACTGTTTTGATAACTGTAGCTTTGTAGTAAATTTTGATCAGGAAGGGTGAGATTTTGACCTTTGTTCTTTTCCAAGATTTTTTCACTATTTGGGATCCTTTGAGATTCCACATAAATTTTAGGAAGGATTTTCCTATTTCTACGAAAAAAATGTCATTAGTATTTTGATTGGAACTGCACTGAACCTGTAGATCACTTTGGGTTGTATTGACATCTTACCAATATTAAAGATAAATTTTTCTTTTTTCTTTTTGTTTTGAGACAGAGTCTCACTCTGTCCATCCAGGCTGGAGTGCAGTGGCACAATCTCAGCTCACTCAACCTCTGCCTCCTGGGTTCAAGCAATTCTCCTGTCTCAGCCTCCAGAGTAGCTGGGACTACAGGCGCCTGCCACCACACCCGGCTAATTTTGTATTTTTTGTAGAGATGGGATTTCACCACATTGGTCAGGCTGGTCTTGAACTCCTGACCTCAGGTGATCCACCCACTTTCGCCTCCCGAAGTGCTGGGATTACAGGCATGAGCCACCATGCCTGGCTAAGATAAATTTTTCAAAATGACATTTAGTCATGAAACTGCTGTGGAAAATAGTCTGGCAGCTTCTCAGAAAGTTAAGCATAGAATTACCATATGATCCAGAAATTTCATTCCTAGATATATACCAAAAAGAACCGAAAGCAGGGACTCGAACAGATACTTGTACACCAGTGTTCAGAATTATTCACAAAAACCAAAAGATGAAAGCAACCTGAGTGTCCAGCAACTGATGAATGGATAAGCAAAATGCAGTATATGCATACAGTGAAATATTATTTTTCTGTAAAAAGGAATGAACTTCTGATACATGCTACAACATGGATGCATCTTGAAGACATTACGCTAAGTGAAACAAGCCAGACACGAAAAGAAAAATATTGTATTATTCTACTTATATAAGGTTCCTAGAATAGACAAATTTATAGACACAGGAAATAGAATAGAGGTTACCAGTGGGGAGGAAGAAATAGGGAGTTATTGTTCAATGGGTACAGAGTTTCTGTTTGGGATGATGAAAAAAAGTTCTGGAAATAGATAGCGTTGATGGTTATACAGTGTTGTGAATGTACCTAATGCCACTGAACTGGACACTTAGAGTGGTTAAAATGGTAAAAATGGTAAATTTTATGTTACATGATGTAAATGTGATATGGTTAGGCTTTGTGTCCCCACCCATATCTCATGTCGAATTGTAGTCCCCAGGTATTGAGGGAGGGACCTGGTGGCAGATGATTGGGTCATGGGGGTGGTTTCCCCCAAGCTGTTCTCGTGATAGTGAGTGAGTTCTCATGAGATCTGATGGTCTTATAAGGCAGTTTTCCCTGCTCTTACATGCTCTCTCTTGCCTGCCACCATGTAAGATGTGCCTGCTTCGCCTTCCGCCATGATTGTAAGTTTCCTGAGGCCTTCCCAGCCATGTGAATAAATTAAACCTCTTTCTTTTATAATTTACCCAGTCTGAGGCAGTTCTTTATAGCAATGTGAAATCAGACTAATATTAATACAAGACATATATTTTACCATAATAGAAAATGTTTTGAAAGGAGACATTTATTCCCTGACTACCAGTGTCATGTATTTTCATAGATGACAGTGTGGAAATGCAGAGAACACACAGAAGGAATGCAGGGAAAAGATGCAAAATGCAAATAGCTGTCAGATTTGGGGCAGCAATCCAATTTTTCTGTGGTTGTCCTGGGACATGGATGAAGTGGCTTCCCTGCGAGTTCCCCAGCCGTGCGCTGACTCTGCTGTCTGGCGGTCATGCACCCCCACGTGCAGGTGAGCACAGGCCTCCGAGGAGACGTCTTCGCCCCTCAGTTGGCTTGGACACACATTTCCCTTGCTGTTCCTACTTGGGTTTCTCCCTGCTCCCACAAAGCTTAGTGAGGATGACTGGGATTCCAAGATTCCAAGATTGTATCTTGCAAGAGTGAAACTCTAGGGTTTTTTCTGCTGCTGTTTTTATTTATTTACTTATTTATTCCTAATAATGTACTGGACTTTCTAGTTTTATGTCAAAAGAATTTTATTGTTGTTGTTATTGTTGCTTTGAGACAGGAGTTTCGCTCTTATCACTCAGGGTGGAGTGCAATGGCTCTGTCTCAGCTCATTGCAGCCTCCGCCTCCTGGGTTCAAGCGATTCTTCTGCCTCAGCCTCCTGAGTAGCTGGGATTATAGGCGTGCACCACCATGTCTGGCTAATTTTTTGTATTTTCATTAGAGATGGGCTTTCACCATGTTGGCCAGGGTGGTCTCGAACTCCTGACCTCAGGTGGTCCACCCGCCTCAGCCTCCCAAAGTGCTGGGATTACAGGCATGAGCCACCGCGCCTGGCCAATGTCAAAAGAATGTTGATTGCTGCTCATTTTCACACCTACAAAATTATGAAGGCAAATTGTGCAAAATGACTCTTAAACAGAACCTCAACATTAGTCATACTCTTTCCTGATAAACCTATGTATAGGAACCTATCCAGAGGAAACATTTGACTTATAAAAGGGTGTTTTGCAGCATCATTTATAACAGCAAAGACCTGTCCATCAAGAGGATTATGGCCATCCACTCACGGATGCATTTGCATATGTCACTTACAAGGAGGGCTATGTTAAAACTGTATGATATTGCAAGCAGTAAAGGGTAGAATAAGTGAAACAAGCAGGATACAAAAGTTTCATGCAGTATATGCTTAAACTCTATTAGAGAGGCACAGCAATAAAATCTTTTCAAATACTTTTAACAGCGTGAAACAGTTCAGTCCATGATTTTTAGTGAAAAAGACCATGAAACTGTGTATGAAAATTGCTACAATGTCATGTATGATATAATTATGAAAAATATAGGCTGGCTGGGTGCAGTGGCTCACGCCTATAATCCCAGCACTTTGGGAGGCCGAGGCAGGTAGATCACCTGAGATCAGGAGTTCGAGACCAGCCTGGCTAACACGGTGAAACCCCGTCTCTACTAAAAATACAAAAAAATTAGCTGGGCGCGGTGGCGGGTGCCTGTAGTCCCAGCTACTCGGGAGGCTGAGGCAGGAGAATGGCGTGAACCCGGGAGGTGGAGCTTGCAGTGAGCCGAGATTGCGCCATTGCACTCCAGCCTGGGCGACAGAGCAAGACTCCACCTCAAACAAACAAACAAACAAACAAATACAAAAATTAGCCAGGCGTGGTGGGGCACGCCTGTAATCCTAGCTACTCGGGAGGCTGAGGCAAGAGAATCGCTTGAACCCAAGAGGTAGAGGTTGCAGTGAACTGAGATCATGCCACTGTACTCCAGCTCAGGTGACAGAGCAAGACTCCATCTCAAAAAAAAAAAAAAAGGAAAAGAAAGAAAAAAGAAAAGAAAAGAAAAACATAGGCTGGGCATAGTGGCTCAGGCCAGGCAAGGTGGTGCATGATTGTAGTCCCAGCACTTTGGGAGGCCAAGGCGGGAGGATCGCCTTAAGGATCCCAGGAGTTTGTACAGCCTGGGGAACAAAGTGAGATCCCATCTCTCCAAAAAAAAAAAAAAAAAAAAAAAAAGACAATTAGTTGAGTGTGGTGGCACATGCCTGTAGTCTCTACTACTTGGGAGACTGAGGTGGGAGGATTGCTTGAGCCCAGGAGTTTGAGGCTGCAGTGAACTATGATTGCGCCACTGCACTCCAGTCCCCAGGTGATAGAGGGTGTCTCTAGAAAAGCAAAAAGAAACGAAGGAAGGAAGGAAGGTAGGAAGGAAGGAAGGAAGGAAGGACAGACCTTAATAATAAAGATTGGAAGGAAATATGCCAACATGTTAATAATGATTGTCTTTAACTTGTGGTACAATAAGTCACTTTTTTTTCTTTTCACCTCTTTTATTAAACGTCTTCACTACCACAAAGCCATCCAACTCTTAAAATCAGGAAAGAAAGTAGGTTATTTTTATGCTTAGGCAAATCGAAACTTCATCAAAACATAAGTCCTTGTGTTAAGGTGAGAATAGAGGTGTTTTTTCTTTCTGTTTCTATTTTTTAAATTTTTATTTGCTTTATTGTATTGCTGTTATAATAAATTCTATGTGTTTGTCATTTTTAACCCATTGAATTTAGCCATTTCCCTTGTCACCTTCCCACTGTCCCAACACCAACCCCAATTCCCAATGACTAGAGCCTAAACTTAGCTGGGAACGACAGCTGGTAGTTGACAATGATCCTTCCTTGTTATTCGGAGTCAACAGCAGGAACGAGGCACACAGGTGAGACCAGTGAGAACCTCTGGGGAGCCGGCCTGACCTCCCCACCCCTTCGTGACTCTGTGGACCTCGTTCCCAGGGCTCAGGCCCTCTGGCCCGTGCCTCCTCCCGTATGTTCCCCTCCACGGAGCCACCCCAGGGTGGGCAGGTGCAGAGGCAGAAACCTGCTGAGGATGCCCACTATGACTTGGTGTCCATTCCCCACAGGCTGGGGGCGCCTTCTCCACCCAGATCGCATGCCTGAAAACATGTTGGCTGTGGAAACCCCAATTAACGTGAAGGTGCCTCGCTTCAGCCATCAACACTGTCACCACCAAACAAGCTTGCCAGGTCATGGGCCCTAGGGTTCCCAGAGCAGGAGAAAGGAAAAGTGTTGTGTGGACAATTTAGCGTTGCCAGCTCTTTTTTTCCATTCCAAAGACATTTTGTTAAAATTTTTCTTGCTAGAATTATTCTTCTTCCCCTTCCCCTTCCTCTCCTTCTCCTTCTCCTCTTCCTCCTCTCCTCCTCCCCCTCCCCCTTCTTCTTTTTCTTCCTCCTCCTCCTCCTCCTCTTTCTTCTTCTTTGTCCTCCTCCTCCTCCTCTTCTCCTTCTCTTTCTCCTTCTCCTTCTTCTTCTTCCAGGGTTTGGCTCTGTCACCCAGCTTGGAATGCAGTGGCATGATCTCAGCTCACTGCAACGTCCACCTCCCAGGCTCAAGCAATCCTCCCACCTCAGCCTCCCAAATAGCTGGGACTACTGGTATGTGCCACCATGTCCAGCTAATTTTTTTTTTTTTTTTTTTTTTTGTATTTTTAGTAGAGAAAGGGTTTCACCATGTTGCCCAGGCTGGTCTCAAACTCCTAGGCTCAGGCGATCTGCCCACCTCGGCCTCCCAAAGTGCTAGGATTGCAGGCATGAGCCATTGCACCTGGACCACAATTCCTTTTTTAAAAAATTATTTTATTTTATTTTCTTAGAGACAGGGTCTCGCTATGTTGCCCAGGCTGGACTCAAACTCCTGGGACCAAGTAATTCTCCTGCCTCAGCCTCTCCAGTAGATGGGACAATAGGCATGAATACCACACCTAGCTACTACCGTTTCTTAAAAGAAAAAACATTTAAATGTAGGAGGAACTAAATCTCAGAATAGGGAAAATAACAAGAAAGAACAGTTGTCAACTGCATACTGATATTTCCAAAATTATTTTGTAGAGAACATGCGTTAAAAGTTAATTTCAAACAGCCCAAATGTCTATCAACTGATGAATGGGTAAATGAAAGGTGGTCTATCCATACAGTGAAATATTATTCAGCCATGAAAAGGAATGAAGTGGCTAGATGCGATGGCTCACGCCTGTAATCCCAGCACTTTGGGAGGCTGAGGCAGGTGGATCACCTGAGGTCAGGAGTTCAAGACCAGCCTGGACAACATGGTGAAACACTGTCTCTCTAAAATACAAAAATTAGCCTGGCATGACGGTGGGTGCCTGTAATCCCAGCTACTCAGGAGGATAAGGCAGGAGAATCACTTGGACCCGGGAAGCAGAGGTTGCAGTGAGCCAAGATAGCGCCATTGCACTCCAGCCTGGGAACAGAGAAAGACTCCGTCTCAAAACAAAAAACAAAAAAACAGAAAGAAAAGGAAGGAAGCACTGATACACCTCAAAAACATGGTGCTAACTGAAAGAAGCCAGGCACAAAAGGCCACACATAGTATGATTCCATTCACATAATGTTCAAAATAGGTGAATTGATTGAAAAAATTAGTGGATTGGCCGGGCGCAGTGGCTCACACCTGTAATCCCAGCACTTTGGGAGGCTGAGGCGGGAGGATCATGAGGTCAGGCGATCGAGACCATCCTGGCTATCATGGTGAAACCCCATCTCTACTAAAAATACAAAAAATTAGCCGGGCGTGGTGGCGTGCGCCTGTACCCCCAGCTACTCGGGAGGCTGAGGCAGGAGAATGGTGTGAACCCGGGAGGGAGGCAGAGCTTGCAGTGAGCCGAGATCGCGCCACTGCACTCCAGCCTGGGCAACAGAGCGAGACTCCGTCTCAAAAAAAAAAAAAAAGAAAGAAAGAAGTGGATTGGTGGTTGCCGGGGACTGAGAGGAGGGAGAAATGGTGAGTGACTGCTAATGGGTGTGGGGTTTCTTTTGATGGTGATGAAAATGTTCTAGAACTAAGTAGACTATAGTTGTACAACATTGTAAACATACTAAAAACTACTGAGTTGTATACGTAAAATGATACATTTTATGTTATGTGAATTATATGGCAATAAAACATACATTAAAAACTAAATGGAGGCTAGGTGCAGTGGCTCATGTCTGTAGTCCCAGGACTTTGGGCAGCCAAGGCAGGTGGATCTCTTGAGGTCAGGAGTTCAAGACCAGTCTGGCCAACATGGCGAAACCCCCGTCTCTACTAAAAACACAAAAATTAGCTGGGCCATGGTGGCCCGTGCCTATAATCCCAGCTACCTGGGTGACTGATGCGTGAGAATCACTTGAACCCAGGAGGTGGCGGTTGCAGTGAGCTGAGATCACGCCACTGCACTCCAGCCTGGGTGACAGAAAGAGGATCTTTTTTTTTTTTTTTTTGAGACGGAGTCTCGCTCTGTCGCCCAGGCTGGAGTGCAGTGGCGGGATGTCGATCTCGGCTCACTGCAAGCTCCGCCTCTTGGGTCCATGCCATTCTCCTGCCTCAGCCTCCTTAGTAGCTGGGACTACAGGTGCCCGCCACCACGCCCGGCTAATTTTTTGTATTTTTAGTAGAGACACAGTTTCACCGTGTTAGCCAGGATGGTCTCAATCTCCTGACCTCGTGATCTGCCCGCCTCGGCTTCCCAAAGTGCTGGGATTACAGGCGTGAGCCACCGCGCCCGGCCAAAGTCTCTGTCTTAAAAAAGAAACAAAAAATAAAACAACAACAACAACAAAAACCCGAAAAGCAAAACAAAAACTAAATGTAAGAAAAGGTCTGAGAATGTATACAAATGACAACACTGAGTTTTATTTTGTATCCTTCTGGCATGGGTTGTTGCCACCTTCCCTTGGATTTTGCAACTGTTGCAAATCCATTTTCACGGAAGAGGGTGGGCCGGGATGGAAGTCAAAGAGCTCACACTTCCACTCAAGGCACAATATTCGTTCTGAGCTGTCACCGGTAGAGGCTGCTGGGCGGTGTCAACCCCTGGCCTTTCCATCCTGCCCTGAATCGGGTAGAAAAGCTTCTAGGAAGCCCTCAGGCACAAAGATGCAGATGCTGCCTCCAGCAGAGGGGCTGATGTCCCAGGAGAAGCCCTGAGGGCAGTGGCTGCCTACTCCAGTGGCCGCCCACCTCCGAAGGACGTCTTTGGTGCAGGTGATGGGTGCCTCTCCCTTTGGAGTTGCGGGTGCTGCTGCCCTGGGAAGCCCCCTCCTGCCTTTGCCCCTCCCCCATTGCTTAGATCCTGCTCTGTTCCTGATGCTGGCTGGGAGTGGGATTTTGACGTCCACCATGAATTGGAAGCTGACTGTCACACCATGGCAGCAGGGACCAGCACAGAGGCAGTGCTGCCCACGGCCATAGAGAGCCCTGAGTGAGGAGAGATCTGGGGAGTTCTGGGCCGTCCACCGGCAAAGGACAATGGATCTCCAAGGGGTGCGGCCAGCGGATGGGTGATGGCATGGATGGAGGGTGGGTGCATCAATGCTGGAGCATCAACTCTGTGTGCCCCTGCGGGGAGAATCGCCCCTGCCGAAGCCCCGGCTGGTCCAAAACCACGCCAGCCGCTTTAGGGGTGTCTGTGGACCCAGGACCACACAGCCTCAAGAGCCAAGAGTCCCGAGTGTGTGCACCTGTCGGCCTGGGTCTGGACTTGCAGCCCCAGGCAATGGGGCCCCAGGTCATGCTACCCATGGGTACACACAGCTGAGCATGAACGAGGGCACTCCTGCACTTGTGTGAGTGCTGGCAGGCTTGTCCCCCTCCCAGCTGAGCTGTGGGAGAGTGAGGGCAGGCGTGAGAATGTGGGAGTGTGCCAGGGTGCTGCATTCCTGTGCGAGCGATGGTGCGTGTGCATGAACGTTTGTTGGTGGGCGGGCACCTGTGTGCTTGCCTGGGAGTGAGAGGGAGTTGTTGGGGTGGCTACTGCTGGGAGCAGGGAGGAGGGGACCACAGCGGACCGCGGGGGACCTTCCCAAGCTGGCTGCCCGCCCAGGCTTCCGTGTGTTTTGGCAGGGCTACGCAGGCCCAAGGGCCCTCAGCGTCCAGGTAGAACTGCTCTGTCCAGACATTGCCCCTCAGCACCCTTCTTCCCTCTCGCCTCTCTCCTCCCCACACTCTCAGTCTCTTGCTTTGTCTCTGTCCATGGGTCTGTGGTCCTTTCTGTTTCCATCTTTCCCCCTCCATCTCCCTCTATTTCTCTGTCTCCCATTCACCCCCGGCTAAGGATCCTCCTTAGAGGCCCTAGGCCCTGCCACGCCTTCCTGGCAAGCACAGCCCAGCTGGCCTGGGAGCCAACAACCTTCCCTCCCAGGCACCAGTGTGGGTCGGGAGGGCCTCCAGGAAGTCCTCTCTCCTCATCTCTGACATGGCTCACTGTGACTGCATTTTATGGGGCCTTAATGAGTCCATTCAGACAGACAGAGCTGCACCAAGGTGTGGGGACAGACGTGATAATTAAAGAGGTTGCCAGTAGCCAGGATGGCTGGCACCAGGGTGTTCAGAAGTGTGACTAAAAAAGGCGGTGGGTGGGGCCTTCAGAGAGCCAGAGCCAGGGTAACAGCCCTGAGTGTGCAACAGCCTTGCTATCTGCTAAGTCCTCCCACCACCGTGCCTCCTGGGCACAGATCTGGGCAGACTGTCCTCTCACAGATGGAAAAACTGAGGCCAAGGGAGGGTCAGTGGACGGTTTGAGGCCACACAGCACAGCAAGTGTTTGCATGGAGACCGCCCTGCCCCTGGGCTATCCAGACTGGGGAGAGCCCCACCCAACTCCTGGCAGAGAAAAAGGCCTAGGAAGGGGACCTGAGCCAAGAAGCACAGGAGGCGAGGGGGACCGTCCGCCACTCAGACAGCAAACGCTTCCTGATGCCTCCATCACCACCTAAGAGGCTCGACTAGGTGATTTCCCGAGGTCGAGTTCCCTCCCTGCAAAGAATTCTGGGGCCTGCTATAAGGATAATTAAATATTCTCCACCTCACTTCGTTCCTGCACTCTTTCACTCATTCCGTGCACTCACTGGACACCTAGGGCCCCAAGGCACCTGTTTGAAGCTGGGGAGCCAGCAATGAATCTGGACCTGAGAAGTGGCACAAGGGGCAGGTGCTGAGGCCATAGGGCCCCTCCAAGGTCCAGCTGAGGGCCCCTCCCTACCCTGAGCTCCATCTTGTGGTGCGGCTGTCCATCTGTCTCCACTGGCCTGCGGCTCCTGTGGGCCCAGCGCAGGAGCTACCCACAGCTGCAGCCAAACAGCGTTGTTTGTCAAAGGGGGTGACAGCACCATTTGGGTGAAAAGCCTCATAAACAGCACAGGTTCATGCACAGGCGAAGGGTCATGAGAGTGTGCACTTAGGCTGGCTGGGTCGGGGGGCAGGAGAGGGGTCAGGCCAGGGCAGGGGCAGCGTCAGGAGGCCAGAGTGGTGACTTGGCCTTGGTCCAAAAGGATGCTGCCCCTGGCTTGGGAGAAGACCCCGCTGCCGGTCCCACCCTCCCAGGCTGACCTTGGCCAACACAGAGCCCAAGCACTCACCCCTCTGAAATATTTATAGATCGGGAAATTGAGTTGGAGAAGTGATTTCCCAGATCTACAGCTACTCAGAAAGAGGACTGGAATTCAAGTTCTGATGTCTCTGGTTTCTCCCACTGAATCCAGCAGCCCCCCATGTGTCGGTCATTTTTTTTTTTTTGAGACAGAGTCTCGCTCTGTCGCCCAGGCTGGAGTGCAGTGGCATGATCTCGGCTCACTGCAAGCTCCACTTCCTGGGTTCACACCATTCTCCTGCCTCAGCCTCCTGAGTAGCTGGGACTACAGGTGTCCGCCACCACGCCCGGCTAATTTTTTGTATTTTTAGTAGAGACAGGGTTTCACCGTGTTAGCCAGGATGGTCTCGGTCTCCTGACCTCGTGATCCTTCTGCCCTGGCCTCCCAAAGTGCTGGGATTACAGGCGTGAGCCCCCGCGCCTGGCCCCATGTGTCAGTCTTAATAATAACATAGCAATAACAATAGTAACAGCAGCAGCAACCCTTTGCAGATGAGCCTCGGGGTTAAAATGCACTTTCTCTAATTCTCTAATATTATCTCATTGGCTGCTCTTGAGAGCTCTGAGAGGTAGGAATTCTCATCTGCTTTGACAGATGGGGAAAATGAGGCACACTTCAGCCAGGCACCTCCTCACACTACAGGGCAGATCCAGCCCATGCAAAGCTGGGCCTAGTTCCTGGGTGGGGCTGTGTCAGGACAGCTGGGCACGGACGGAGCTTTCACCCACGCTGGGGCGCCTGCTCAGCGAGGCTGCCTGGTGGGGCGGTGACTGCATGACAAACTTGCTGTGTGGCCTGGACGTCAGGGCGGGAGTAACAGCTCCAGGAAGGCCAGAGTTCAGCCCAGTCAGCCCACTCGGCCCCACTGTTCGGGCTGCCCTCTGAGCATGTGTCATCCTGCCAGGGTCCCTCCCACTGCGACCTGTCTTCCTGGCAGCTGCTGTTCAGGAGTTCTGCACCCCGCCCTGGGTGTCCTGCCAAAGCCAAGGTGGCCGTGCGGTCAGAGGCAGCGTCCTCTGCCCTCCCTGTCTCCCTGCCTGTGTGTGCCCCTCCTTCCATGGCCGGGAGCCTTTCTCCTTTCCCTTCTCATTTTGCCAGACTCCCACCCTACTGTCACAACCTGCCAAAGAGGCACTGCTCCAGGCAGCTCCTGGACTCGCCCAGATGCAGCCAGACCCTCTGCTGCGCTCACTGCATCGTCGTGGATGTAGCTGTCTCTCTGCCTTTCTGGACATCCTGACTGTGGCAGAGGTCCCCAGCCCCACGGGAGGTGGGGTGGGCAGGGTCGGGGGGTCCATGTCCCCTTTTCTTAGGTGAGGGGAGTCACTTGAAGCCAGGGCAGGTGTGGGGATGGGGGCCCCAGACTTGAGCACGTGCCAGGCAGAGGGAAAGGGAGCTCCGGAGAGGTCGAGTCAGGGTAGGGGGCTTGATGGCCACACCCAAGCCAGAGAGGAAGCCGGAGGCTGCGAGCCAGCCCTGAACCCGGCAGCCTCTGCCGTGATGAACCAGGGCGACCCCTCTACCCAGCGGCTCAGCCGACACCCTCAGAAACTCAATTTTATTTAACCAGCACATATCATGTGCACTCTGGACCAGGAGTGGTTCACTTACTCCTCACAAGCAGGCTGCCAGCAGCAGGGACACGGGCACAGAGGGGCTAGGGAACTTGCCCAAGGTCACACTGCTGGTCGGTGGCAGAACTGAGATCGGAGCACTGACTGTTTGGAGCCACAGTCCAAAGCGCTGCTGCCCAGCTCTTCCCCAGGGAGCCACTGCAGGTGGAAACTGAACCCCGAAGAGCAGGGGGCTGGACTGGGGTCGAGACTGCTGGCGTGAACCTGACGGATCGCCATGGCCCAACCCCTTCCTGGCTGTGTGGCCTTAGACGAGTTGCTTCACCTCTCTGGGCCTCAGATGTCTCCATTCTAGAGTAGGAATAGTAGCAATAACCATCCATTCAGAATTTGTTAAGCACCTTCTGTGAGCCAGGTCCTATTCTGGAATCCGGGACCACAGCTGTGGTGAGGACAGGCGAGACCTGCCTCACGGTGGGGCTGGGGTGGTGAGGACCACCTGAGACAGGGTGTGGACAAACACCTTCGTCTACTTGTGGCTGGCTCTCCTTAATGCTCCACTGGGCCCTCCACATTGGGCCTGATGGCGAAGACTTGGGAACTACACACCCGGAGGTGAAGGAGATTCCAGGGCAAGGCAGTGCAGGAGCAAGGGCCAGGGGGCTGGGCTGGGCGGGGCAGTGCTGGGACAGCGCTTGGGTGGCGCCTGGGGCCGAGATGTCCCTGCTCTGGAGGCTGTGCTGGAGGTCCCGAGGTTGGAATGTCCTCTCTGTGTCCTGGGGTGGGGATGGGTGACAAACGGTAGCATCAGGCCAGCAATCCCTGGGCACATCTTGAGGTACAGGAACATCCTGTCTGACAGCTTCCACCGTGAGTTCCCTGACCTGTGAGTAGTTCAGGTTCACCTGCCCAGCTGGGCCCAAAGCACGAACACCCACGGGCGTGGGCTGGGAACATCTTTTTTTTCCTGAGAATCCCTTTCTTTCTGAATTCAAAAGCGACATTTGTTCATAATAAAAATAAGATTGGAAAAGCTAGGAAGATACCAAAATTATATGAAAAAAAAAATCACAAAATCACCCCATCCAGCCCCCCTGAGACGAACGCTAGTAATATGTTGGTGAACAGTCCTCTGGCTGTTTTTCTGTGCAACTTTCAACCTGGTTGGGACCAAGCTATGCATAGAATTTTGTGTTGGGTTCTTTTTGTTTAACATATGGTATGCCATCACCTAGAATTATGTTTATGGTTTCTTTCTGATTACAAAATTAATATGTACTCACTGTGAAAACAAATGAAACAATTATAGAAATGTGGAACGGTGAGAGGCCAGGGTGAAAAAGAAAGTGAAACTCCCCCCTAATTCCCAGCCCAGAGACATCGCCGTGTAAACTGTAAACAGGTAAACACTGCTGTGTAAACTCCCCGAGGAGCGCAGACCAGCAGAGGTGTTTAGAGCACAGGCCCAGGATCAGGTTGGCCTGGGAACCAATCCTGCCTCCGCAGGCAAAGCCTTAGCTGACCTCTCTGAGCCTTGATTTTCTGTAAGCGAAATTCATGAGAGCAGGGCCTACGTCACAATGTTGCTGGAGGAATTAAGGAATATACCAAAAGCATTGCCATCAGTGAGTTACAACAGGCAAAGTGCTCGAAGCAGGACACAGGAAGTGCTGGAATCATGTTAGGTTGTACTGTAAACACCCGACAGAAACCACAAAGGGGAATGCACAACTCACTATGCGCCAGGTAAGGGCTTTGCATCTGTCTCATTTAATCCTCCCCCAAGCTCTGTGAGGTAGGTACTTTGATTATCCCCATTTTACAGATCTGAGAAACAAGGCTGAGAGAAGTTGAGTGTCATAGAAGCACTATCCATAATAGCCCAAAGGCAAATGGAGCCCGAATGTCCATCGACAAATGAATAAATCCATCATGATATATCCAATATACATAAAAAGGAATGAAAGACCAGGCATGGTGGGTAACGCCTGTAATCCCAGCCCTTTGGGAGGCTGAGGCAGGAGGAGGCCAGGAGTTCGAGACCAGCCTGCGCAACATGGCGAAACCCCGCCTCTACAAAAAATACAAAAATTAGCCAGGCATGGTGGCATGTCCCTGTAGTCTCAGCTGAGGCAGGAGGATGGTTTGAGTCTGGGAGGCAGAGGTTGCAATGAGCCAAGATTTCACCAGTGCACTCCAGGCTGGCAACAGAGCATGACCCTGTCTCAAAAAACTTAAAAAGGAATGGAATACTGACATGTGCTACAAAACAGAGGAGCCCTGAAAACATTATGCTAAGTGAAAAAAGCCAATCAGAGAAGACCACATGTTGTATGCTTCCTTTTCTATGAAATGTCCAGAATAAGGAAGTCCACAGAAACAGAAATAGATTAGTGGTTGCCAGGGAATGGGGGAAGGAGGGTGTGGGGACAGACTGCTTAATAGGTAACGGGGTCTCCTTCGGAATTAGAGATGGTGGTCGCACAGCGTTGTGAATGTACTAAACGCCACCGAATTGCTCACTTTAAAATGACTAATCTTGAGTTTAACCTCGATTAAAATTTAAAAAATGAAAAAGGAAGAAAGGGTGAGGGACTTGCCCAAGCTCGGGCCACACAGCCAGTGATGGTTCTCCTTCTGGGCAGACCGGAGACCACCTGGCAGAGCCCTTTGTTTGTAGTGTTTCTGCCCATCACCATGACCCCGATTTCCAGAGTGGAGTCGCCAGGTCAGAGGTGGCAACCTGTACATGGATGACACACTGGGGGACTGGGCCTCGCCCTGCGGGGGGACCTGGGTGGGTGGGAATGCCAGCTGCCCGGCCAGAATCCCACGAGACTGGTCAGTGCAGTTGTCCCCAGAGCCCAGCGGGGTGGAGGGCGGGGCTGCCCTTTGGCCTGCACTTTTTGGTTAAGCCTGTGCTTTCAACACCCGCCTCCTGCCTGCCTGGGTTATATTTAATCCTGCTCGCTTCCGGAAACCAGGACTCCGAGGACAGCGTGGCCTCCTTCTGGCTCCAGAGCCCTGTGGGGTCCGCCACGGCACGGACCTGCCTTTGGTCACCGTGCAGCCTCAGAACCCTGCTGTGCTTTCTGAGCCCCAGATTCCCCATCTGAAAACAGATGCGACAATGGCCCAACCACAGGGAGGTTTCGATGGGAGGATGGACCTGCGGGGCCGGCTCAGAGCTAGGCCTATTCAGATGAAGGCACCAGGAAAGGAACTGTTCGTTCACTTGCCCCTAAGATGTTCCGGGTTTCTCTTGCGGTACCTTGGAAAGTTGATTGTGGACCTAGAAATATGTCCAAGGTCTATCATTACACGGAAAAGCAAGCGCAATGGGTGAGGGGGCCCCTAGCAGACACTCAAGTGGGAGCTATTATTATTTATTTGGGCTTTTGATGTTTGTTCCATGTATGTTTCCATACACAGGGAACATTTCTAGAAGACTTCATGAGAAACTGTGAACAGCAATTAGTTCCTTCTGGGGATGGGCAAGGAATGAGATTTTTCACTCAATACCTTTCTGTTCTCTTGAAAGTTTTCACCATGAGCATGTGTTACTTTTATAGTAATAGTTTAAAATAACATTAAACTCGGAAATAAAAAATGTTCATTATTATGACCCTTTCAATTAACGGAAGAGGAAAATGGCACCCAGCCTCACATCCTCCAAGAAGTCCTCCTGATAGCCCAGGCACCCGGCTTCTCCCAGGCAGAAGGGATCACCCTACCCATCACTCTGTTTCCTTGTCTGCCTCTCCTATGAAACTAGCAGGCTGGGAGGGATGGGCCTGTCTGACTCGTCCCTGAGTCCGTAGCGCCCAGCCCTGATGAGTGGCACTGGTGGGCACGGATGAGTGAAGGAACGAGGCTCCCAGAGGCTAAGCCAGCTGACCGGGATCACAAAGTAAATGGTTTTGCAGGGTGAGACCCTGGTCTCTGGGCTCCAACTCAAACATACCCTGACTTCTCTAGGCCAGCTCCCATCCACTTACCAGAGATGTCTAATAGGGGCAGCCTGAGAATTGTCCAGACGGCCTCAGGCATCCTGCAGGTGCTATGGCATTTGGAGTTTGGGAGAAATAGTTGTTCAGGCTCCAAGTGGGAGCTGGGGATGCCCAAGGTGTGGAAAATGCCAGAGGGTGGTCCAAACAGAGCCAACTAGAGAGGCCACCAAAAAAGAGTGGTTTGTTCTCCCTATTTCCTTACCTGACACTTTAAAATTAAGATTTCAGCCTCCTAAATCAGGTACAAACTTTTCTGATGATGGCAAAGTCCCTCTCAGGTGAAGAGCAGCTGCCGCTGCCTGGAAGGCTTTAGAACCCAAAGGTCTGGTAAGACAGCTCTTATGAACCCATTTTGCAGATGGGAAAACCGAGGATCAGAGAGATGTAATGCTTTGAAGAGCAAGGTCTCACATTGACCCTTCAGAGTCTAGAATGTCTGTGTTGACACCAGTGTCCCACATGACACGGCTTTGAGTCAGGCTGCCTGGGTTTCTAATCATTCCTAATTCATAAGTCTGAATTAATAGTTTAAAATAACATTAAACTCTGAAATAAGGAATGTTTGTTATTATGACCCTTTCAATTAATGGAAGAGGAAAATGGCACCCAGCCTCACCTCCTTTGAGTCAGGCTGCCTGGGTTTCTAATC
This sequence comes from Homo sapiens, assembly GCF_000001405.40. Lineage (NCBI taxonomy): Eukaryota > Metazoa > Chordata > Mammalia > Primates > Hominidae > Homo > Homo sapiens. The sequence goes on from NC_000004.12 coordinate 6,754,970, forward strand.
ATTGGAAGATTAAATAACATAGTGCAGTATACAGAAGGCACTTAAGGCTACTGCCTGGCACAAGGTAAGCACACAATAATAACTACCATTAGTGGCTGTTGGTGTGCCATTGCAGAGGCAGATTTTTGGGGTGTGTATGGCCTTTATTGGTGACACTCCCAACATGTGTCCATATACCCCTTGGAAGCATCAGTGTCTCATCACCCTGTCCCCCAACCTTCCATTGCAGGAAGAGGCTCCAACCCTACCTTAGAAGAGCTGGGGCCTCTGTGAGCTCCACCCACCCTGGGGGCAGCAGCTGACCTGGCTCTGGCCCTTTGGCCTGCTGCCTGCACATGGTCAGTGCTGCCAGAGAGCCTGGCCTGCCCAGAGAGGGCTGACCTTGACCTCTAAACTGGACCTAGGGGATGTCTTCTGGGCAGACCTTCAACCAACAGCAAACATCATTTCCACGTGCCTTCAAACAAACAAGTACAAATTACACTCCTAAATTACAGAGACTGGGAAAACTACCTCCTCCTGCTCTGGTTTGCTTTTGAAGAGGTATCCTTGGAATCATGATCTTCAAACTTTCTGGACTCATATAAGCCTTAAACATTTTCGGTGGCTAGGCATGGTGGATTGCTTGAGGCCAGCAGTTCGGGATCAGCCAGGGCAACATAGCGAGATCTTATCTCTATAAAAATTTAAAAATTAGCCAGGCGGCACATGCCTGCAGTCCCAGCTACTCAGGAGGCTGAGGTGTGAGGATTGGTGGAGTTGAGGAGTTCAGGGCTGCAGTGAGCTACAATCGCACCACTGCACTCCAGCCTCACTCCAGCAAGAACATGTCTAAAAAAATTTAAATAATAAAAAATTGGGGCCAGCCGCCCCGTCCGGGAGGGAGGTGGGGGGGTCAGCCCCCCGCCCGGCCAGCCGCCCCGTCCGGGAGGTGAGGGGCGCCTCTGCCCGGCTGCCCCTACTGGGAAGTGAGGAGCCCCCCTGCCCGGCCAGCCGCCCCGTCCGGGAGGGAGGTGGGGGGGGTCAGCCCCCCGCCTGGCCAGCCGCCCCATCCGGGAGGGAGGTGGGGGGGTCAGCCCCCCGCCCGGCCAGCCGCCCCGTCCGGGAGGTGAGGGGCGCCTCTGCCCGGCCGCCCCTACTGGGAAGTGAGGAGCCCCTCTGCCCGGCCACCACCCCGTCTGGGAGGTGTACCCAACAGCTCATTGAGAACGGGCCATGATGACAATGGCGGTTTTGTGGAATAGAAAGGGGGGAAAGGTGGGGAAAAGATTGAGAAATCGGATGGTTGCCATGTCTGTGTAGAAAGAAGTAGACATGGGAGACTTTTCATTTTGTTCTGCACTAAGAAAAATTCTTCTGCCTTGGGATCTTGTTGATCTGTGACCTTACCCCCAACCCTGTGCTCTCTGAAACATGTGCTGTGTCCACTCAGGGTTGAATGGATTAAGGGCGGTGCAAGATGTGCTTTGTTAAACAGATGCTTGAAGGCAGCATGCTCGTTAAGAGTCATCACCACTCCCTAATCTCAAGTACCCAGGGACACAAACACTGCGGAAGGCCGCAGGGTCCTCTGCCTAGGAAAACCAGAGACCTTTGTTCACTTGTTTATCTGCTGACCTTCCCTCCACTATTGTCCCGTGACCCTGCCAAATCCCCCTCTGTGAGAAACACCCAAGAATTATCAATAAAAAAATAAATTAAAAAAAAAAATTGGGAGGAGGAGTCCCATTATGTACTCCCTTGTATATTTATACGTTGACTCTCCACATTTTTTCCCTATACTTACACAGCTGCAAATATGCTATTTCTAATTTTTTTTTAAGACAAGGACTTGCTGTGTCACCCAGGCTTTAGTGCAATGCTACCATCATAGCTCGCTACAACCTCAAACTCGTGGGCTCAAGCAAATTCTCCCACTTTAGCCTCCTGAGTAGCTGGGACTACAGGTGCACACCACTGCACACGGCTAATTAAAAATACATGTATTTTTCTAGAGATGGGGGCTTGCTTTGTTGCCCAGGCTGGTCTTGAACTCCTGGCCTCCAGCAATCCTCCCTCCTCAGTTTCCCAAAGTGCTGGGATTACAAGCATGAGCAACCATGCCCAGCTCTAATGTATTGTAAATGTTGACATTTTAAAACAAAATTGTGGCCAAGTGCGGTGGCTCACGCCTGTAATCCCAGCACTTTGGGAGGCTGAGGCGGATGGATCGCCTGAGCTCAGGAGATCGAGACCACCTTGGCAACATGGTGAAATCCCATTGTTTCTAATAAAATACAAAAAATTAGCCTGGTGTAGTGGCTCAAGCCTGTAATCCCAGCACTTTGGGAGGCTGAGGGAGGATCACTTCAGGTCGGGAGTTTGAGACCAGCCTGACCAACATGGAGAAATTCCGTCTCACTAAAAATAAAAAATTAGCCGGGCATGGTGGAGCATGCCTGTAATCCCTTCTACTTGGGAGGCTGAGGTAGGAGAATCGCTCGAACCTGGGAGGCAGAGGTTGTGGTGAGCCAAGAGAGCCCATTGCACTCCAGCCTGGGCAACAGGAGCAAAACTCCGTCTCCAAAAAAAAAAAAAAAAAAAAAAAAAAAATTAGCCAGGCATGGTGGTGCACGCCTGTAGTCCCAGCTGCTCAAGAGGCTGAGGCAGGAGAATTGCTTGGGCCTGGGAGGCAGAGGTTGCAGTGAGCCGAGATCACACCATTGCACTCCAGCCTGGGCAACAAGAGCGAAACTCCATCTCAAAAAAAATATCTACATTATGTTATGTATTTGATAAGTAATTATTGAACATAAAAGTAGATTGTTATTAGAAATGTGTTAATTACACAAATAGGCCTTGTTTTCTGAAGTAGTTCATGACATCTGCAGATTAATATTTCTTATAGCTAGAATGAGACATGGTTTAGGGTAGGTTTTATTCTTTTTTGTATTTATAGATACAAAACATGTAGAAAATTTATTCATATAAAGAAGTGGATGGAAAGGGAAGAATATTTGTTATAGAAATGTCACTTAAGGCCAGGCACAGTGGCTCACACCTGTAATCCCAGCATGCCTATAATCCCAGCATGCCTGTAATCCCAGCACTAATGCCTGTAATCCCAGCATGGCTGTAATCCCAGCACAAGGTGGGTGGATCACTTGAGGTCAAGAGTTCAAGACCAGCCTGGGCAATATGGCGAAACCCCCGTCTCTACTAAAAATACAAAACTTCCCCAGGAATCATGGTACATGCCTGTAATTCCAGCTACTCGGGTGGCTGAGGCACAAGAATCACTTGAACCCGGGAGGAGAAGGTTGCAGTGAGCTGAGATCACGCCACTGCACTCCCAGCCTGGGTGACAGAGTAAGACTTCATATCGAAAAAAAAAAAAGAAAAAGAAATAAAAAAGAAATGTCACTTAATTCTCTGAATGTCTTAAAAGATACATGGCCAAAAAAGTCACATAACGATGCTCCATCATCTAAATCAGGGAGTCCAATCTTTTGACTTCCCTGGGCCACATTGGAAGAAGAATTGTCTTGGGCCACTCATAAAATACACTAATATTAACAATAGCTGGTGAGCTTAAAAAAATCACAAAAAACTCATAATATTTTAAGAAAGTTAAGAAAGTTTACAAATTTGTGTTTGGGCTGCATTCAAAGCCATCCTGGATTGCATATAGCCCGCAAGTCGTGGGCTGGACAGGTTTGATCTGGATTGTTTTTTTGATCAGTCAGTGGACAACTTGGTTAGGATTTTCTTCAATGTGTTGGAAACGCCTGGTTTATGCAGGGATTTGTTACTCAGTCTCTAGAGTCCTTCACTTTCTCAGTTTCTGGGCAAGTGCATATATGGCAGACACACCTGACAGCAAGAGCGTGACATAAGCACACCCCTGAGAATGACCCCAGGATCTGAGAAGAATGTGTGTTCCTAGTTCCAAGCTAAGGAATCTGGGAGTGGCCAGCCCGGAGATTCATTCCTTATCTGAGGAACATCTGAGCCCCCAGCTCATCCCATGGAACTCAGGCTGTGCAGGAGATCACAGCCTGATCTCCTTGTTTTGGGTTAGATGAAGGTTGCCAGGTGGAGGTTGCCGGGGGGAGGTAGGGTGCCAAGGGAAAAGGCTACATAAACTGCAACCTTTTTACAAGCAACTGTGGTTCTCTTGCCCAGCCAACTACCGCTGGACCACCCTGTATGTAAGTCCCCTCAATAAACCCCATGTCTCATTCTCCAGTCTCTGGAACATGGTGCCATCCCTATTGAAGTCAACAGGGGTCCAGCATAACAGTGCACCAAAAAGAGTTTTCCAAGAGTCACCCAGGAGCTGGTGATTATACCTGTCACTCTTTCACTTAAATAAAGGCACCTTGTTTAACCAGACATTTGCAGAAAGAATTGGAAAAATTTAATGTTTTTAATTTCAATATACTTTCCCCCCAAACTATTGTTAAAGGCTCTTGTAATATGATTCATATATATATATATATATATATATATTTTTTTTTTTTTTTTTTTTTTTTTTTTGAGATGGAGTCTTGCTCTGTCACCCAGGCTGGAGTGATGGCATGATCTTGGCTCACTGCAACCTCCACCTCCCAGGTTCAAGCAATTCTTCTGCCTCAGCCTCCTGAGTAGCTGGGATTTACAGACACATGCCACCATGCTAGGCTAATTTTTGTATTTTTTTTTTTTTTTAGTAGAGACGGGGTTTTGCCATGTTGGCCAGGCTGGTCTTGAACTCCTGACTTCAGGTGATCTCTCTGCCTCGGCATCGCAAAGTGTTGGAATTACAGGCGTGAGCCACCGCGCCCGGCCATATTTTTGACAAAATGTTGCAGCTATAGACTTAATTCATCTGATTCATGGGAAATATCCACTGTACAAGCAGTTGGCAAAGCCAGTCCTCATTGTTGGTCCAATAAGCCAATCAGACATGCTTTCCCCAAGAGGAAAGCGTGTCTTCATCTTTCAGTTCAAATTAAGGGGGCAATATCCATCTCCGTGACCATCACCCCACTTCTGAGCTCTAGATGAATGATGGGTGTGTGGACAGGTGGAGAAGCCTTTGGTCTTTCTGCCAATGAGCTCTTCACTCAATCCCACAAGACTCTTGCTCTGAAAACATAAGGCAAAAGAATTGTGTTCATTCAAGGCAAAACAAAAAAAACAAAACAAAAAGTCCTCACTCCTGCCCTGCTCTACAATAGACCTGAATTCAGAACATTCCAACAGGAGGCCAAATCCCTGTTTCCAACACCAGGTCGGCTACTAATAGGAATAAAAAAGACAGGAAGTCCCATCTCTGTGCCTGGATTAAATGAGCTCTGCCAATCCCCATGGCCTGGGTTCTGATCCGGGGGCCTTCCTCCTGTATGGTAAGAGAAGCAGGGTATGGAAGTGGAGCTGGGGAGAAAACACTGACGTGTCACTCAACTGGGAGAGCTGGAAATCAAGTTCCTTAAACTCTCCATGCCCATGTGCCACTTGGAAAGTCTGTGCAGACCCCCAGAAGACACATTGCCCCATGAAGGCTGCTGCCTTGGGGGCACTCTTAGAACTGGAGGGACCAGTGTGCCACTTGCCCAAGGAAAGCAGACCTCACCTGAAAATGTCCTCAGCTGGAAAGGAGCAGAGATGGCTGAGGCCTCCTAGTCCTCTCCCGCTGGCCTAGATCTTTCTGCTATGCCCAGAGCCTCGGGTGGTTTCCCCTGGGATGTCTCCGGGCACCTCACACACAGCCCGGCTGGTCCCATCCTGCTCCACCTCCTGGGCTCCTCTCTCAGTGATGGCACCACCTTCCACTAGAAATCTAGAAGCTATCCCTTAATCAAGGCGCCATGGTCAAGCAATCACCAAATGCTACCATATCCGCCTTCTGGTCATCCAGGGGTCAGTCCCTTCTCTCTACGGCCATAGACACAGTCCTAGCTGAGACCCTCATCACAGCCCTCCTGGGCCGTGGCACCTGCCTCCTAGTAGGTTCATGGATCCTGCCTTGTTCCTCCCACTTCCTACCCCTCCCAGACGCCAAGGGGCCTTTCCCAAGCCTGAGCTTCAGTCTCCTCTGCTCAAAGCCTTCCATGGCTCCACCCAGGCTGGGCATTCGAAGCATGGTGCTGTCTCATGCACCGTGGCCCTCCAGTCCCTCTTCTGCCGGCCCCGACCCTCACCTCACATTGCACACCGGCCACACTCACAGTGCATGTGAGTGGGCCCAGCTACCCTCTCTCTGCCTCTGTAGGACGGAGCAAGAGCACATCTGTCCATTGTACAGTGGTTGTTAGAATTAAATAAGTGCCTACAGTGCTAATCCAGAAAGGGTACTCCAGGGTCAGTGTTCACAGCCACACTCCCCTGACCCTATAACTTTCTGTTTTGGGCTTCAAACTGGTGGGCTTGTAACATGGAAGGCAGTTCACAACAACGCAGGGTCCTGGGTGCAGGCCAGACCAACCCGTGGCAGCCTGGGCTCATGTGTGTGACCTCAGAAAAATCCTTTTTGTCTCCTGACTTCAGCTTCCCCATCTGAAAAAGGAGAGGGCTGGACTGAAGGATGCCCAATGTCCCCAGGTGTCTTCCTCATCAACATCCCTTCTTGTCCCAGATGGTAACGGCTCTATCTCGTTTCTCAACTGTCTGTGGACAGGGATCTTGTAAAGTAACCTCCATGTGGCCCTTAACATCCTGCTCTCCCATTCTTTCAGCCACCCACCCCCAACAGAACAGGGAAACCGTTTCCCTCTAGCCTGCAGCCCTGGCCTCCCGCCACTGAAGGAACACCGTGTCACCAGGGCCGGCAGGCGGAGGACAAAGGCGGCTCTGTCCCCCAGGGCAGTGGTTATCCACTGTCACCATGCAGCCCGGACCATCATCGTATGCCCCTTGTCTCCCACCTTAGGGCGCTGAGGGTGGGCTGACGCTCACATTTCCGCACTGGCCCCATTTCTTGCTGCAGAAACGCACTGACTGCCTTCACAGGCTTCCTGCAGCTGAGCTGGGGGCCTCCGCCTGGCAGCCAGGGAGGAGGCGGGCAGCGAGGAGGCGGGCAGCGAGGAGGCGGGCAGGAGGAGGCGGGCAGCGAGGAGGCGGGCAGGAGGAGGCGGGCAGCGAGGAGGTGGGCAGGAGGAGGCGGGCAGGAGGAGCTGCGCAGCCCTCAAGGCACATCTGGAATGGAGCAGCCCGGAGGCCTGATGCGGGTGGAAGTGGCCAGCAGCCGGCCAGCTTTGGGGGCTGGGCCAGGCACGGGGAGGGTGGGTGCAGGGGTGAAGTGGGCTCCCAAACTGTGATGGCCTGTGACCAGTCTGTCTAGTGGAACAGGCACAGCTCCTGAAACATTGATGTGCATGGTCTCGCTTTTACGTTCATTTATGTACATGTTAACTATAAATGTATCTTCTGCATCAAGTTATCCACAGCACCTGGCTCTGAGTAAGCACTGAATGAATGTTAGCTATTTTTTCATTGCTCTGATGTGCTACAGTGGTTTTAAAGCATGGCCCTGAAATCTTCCGTACTTATCGCCATGAGGTGTGGGTTCTGGGTCCCTGCCTCTTGACCAGGCGGGCTTGTGACTGCTTCAACTGAAAAATACCAAGGAAGCTCGCCTTGTGTGGGTGGGGGGAAGCTACCTCACCTCTTGCTGTGGTCTGAATGTCTGTGTCCCCCAAAATTCTTATGTTGGAATCCTAACTCCCAAGATGATGGTGTTAGGGGGTGGGGCCTTTGGGAGGCGATTTGCTCGTGAGAGGGGACCCCTGTGAATGGGATTGGTGCCCTCATAAAACAGACACCAGGCCGGGCGCGGTGGCCCACATCTGTAATCCCAGCACTTTGGGACGCTGAGGTGGGCGAATCACAAGGTCAAGAGATGGAGACCATCCTGGCCAAAATGGTGAAACCCCGTCTCTACTAAAAAATACAAAAATTAGCCACGTTTGGTGGTGGGTGCCTGTAGCCCCAGCTACTCGGGAGGCTGAGGCAGGAGAACTGCTTGAACCGGGGAAGCAGAGGTCACAGTGAGCTGGGATCGCGCCACTGCACTCCAGCCTGGGCGACAGAGCGAGACTCTGTCTCAAAAAAAAAAAAAAGAAAAAGAAAAAGGAAAAAAAAAACAGACACCAAAGAGCTCCCTGGCTCCTTCTCCTGGATGAGGAGGACCCAGTAAGAAGGCACCTCTGTGAACCAGGACGCAGGTCCTCAGTAGACACCAAAACTGCCAGCGCCTTGATTTTGGACTTCCAGCATCCAGAATTCTGAGAAATCAACTTCTGTTGTCTGAGTCTGTAGTCTTTTGTTAATAGCCTGAACAGACTGAAACACCTCTCTAGGTTTACTCAAAGAGGAGATGATGGAGGTCCCTTCCTCCCAAGATGCCTACACAGGATAGAGAGGGCGCATGCAGGCAGAGCGAGTGGCTGGCACCATGAGCCATCTCCATCTCCTCAACCTGGGTATCAGCCCTTGCCCCTCCCAGGCCAGCTGCATGTGGCCACTCCTTGTTCCTGTGTGTCCCTTGGCTCACACCCCTTACCACACCCCCTTTTCCTCTCTTCCACAAGCACAACCCTTCTTCAGACGTCCATATACACTTCTCCCAAAATCCTGTGCTTAACACATTGTTACTGAGCACACAGGCGTGCTGGGGCAAGCGACGCCTGGGAATATGAAGCGAACGCCACACACTAGAACGCGCCCTGGGAGCTGGCCTCCGGTGGGGGACGCAGGTGTTGAAGACATAACCGCATGACCGGTGAGTTCATCACGATCTTGCCGAAGGCTATGAAGGAAAGTTCCAGGGGAGGAAGTGCACAGCCTGTGGGCCAGGGAAGGCTTTGCAGAGAGAAAGTGGGTCAGTGAACTGCACAGAGGAAGGAGGCAGGGCTGGTGAGTGAGGGTACGATGAGGACAGGACACACAGCACAGAAATGCTATCCCACAGCAGGGAGACCCACCTAGCCCACCGCCTCTATGCGCCTCTATTCCCCACCCATTTTGTAATTAAAGCCAAGAAATAAAAAATAAAAAAAGAGCCAGCCTGAATCCACACATATGTTCAGAAACAGGCCAGGCACACTGGCTCACACCTGTAATCCCAGCACTTTGGGGGCAACAGAGTGAGACTCTGTCTCAAAACAAACAAACACAACAACAACAACAACAACCCAGAAACGGCCGAAAACAAATCTATGGTGTTAGGAATCTGAACAGGAGTTGCCCTTTGGAGGGGTCGGCTGCGAAGGGGTGTGAGGGAGCATTCTGGGCGTGGGAATTTCTATGTCTTGACTGGAGTGGTTGGTAGCAAGAGTGAACGCATTTGATGCAACTGCATTTTACACCATGTAATTGTACCTAAAAAGAAAGAGAGAGAGAGAGATGGTGGGGAGTGGGGAAAGAGAAAGGAAGGACACGTGGACGAAAGCAAGAGGCAATAAGATAATATGAAATGAAGTGCTGGAAAAAAAAATAAAGGAGTCAGCCTCGTGGCCTCACACAGGTTTAATTTTTCTGAGCCTCAGTTTCTCCATTCATAAAATGGAATAATCGCCTGACCTCCTAGAGCTCCATGGGCCTAGAAGTTTCTGCCCACAGTGTCTGGTAGACAGGGGTACTTGGTCGTCAGTCCCCTCCCTCTGTTCCTTTCTGGACTGCATCATCCTCACCCACAAAACAGGGATGAGGACCTGATGACGGCCAAGAAAAGCCCCAGGTGGCTTCCCAGGGATCTCTGCCTGTGACTGACCTCCCCATTCCTGTTGCCTGCCTTGGCTATATCAATCTTCAAAACATGCCTTTTTAGCCAGGTGTGGTGGCTAACACCTGTAATCCCAGCATTTTGGGAGGCTGAGGCTAGAGGATCACTTGAGCCCAAGAGTTCAAGAGCAGCCTGAGCAACAAAGTGAGACCCCATTTCTACAAAAAAAAAAAAAAAATCAAAAAATTAGTTGGACATGGTGGCAGGCACCTGTGGTTCCAGTTACTTAGGAGGCTGAGGTGGGGGAATTGCTTGAGCCCAGGAGGTGGAGGCTGCAGTGAGCCATGACTGCAACACCATACCCAGCCTGGGTGACACAGTGAGATGCTGTCTCAAAATAAATAAAAACAAAACAAAACAAAACACCTCAAAACATTCCTTTTCGTTTGCTTCCTAGAACTGTCTGCCACCAACTTGTACTAACTTCCGTCTCTCACCTGGGACCGTGCAGCCAGCAGCTCCTCCTGCAAGGGATCATGGCTTACCACCATCCACCCCAATGTCTCGGAGCTGCCTCATTCTGCAGGAGGAGGCCCTTGCAGGGATGGTGGTGGCAACTGCACAGCAATGAACAAAACCGCTTTTTAAATGTCACTAGTAATTCCCAGGATCACGCACAGCTCTAGAAAGCACCGCAGTAACTATTCCTTCTGAACACCTTGGCACAGGAGACCTGGAGTGACCCTACGTGGCTTTCACCCAGGGGGAATCATGTCTGGGGCTAAATACAAGGACAAAGGAGAGAGAAGCCTGGGGGATGTCGGCTGGGGCAGTAGCAGTCAGAGAGCGAAGGGCTTGAAGGTCATATCAAGGAGTCTGAATTTTGTTGTGTACAACACAGAGGGGTATGGGAGACGGTTAAGTGGAGAACTAAGAGAACAATAAGAGACAGTGCACCAGAGATTGTTGCCTCCCCACTATCTGTTTCTCCCTCCTTCCCTTCCAGTGAAACCTTGATTTTATTCTGGCCAGAAATGTGTCTGGCCAAAGACTATATCTCCCAGTCTCCCTTGCAGCCAGATATGGCATGTGACTGTTCTAATCAATGAGACATGGGAGAAATTGATGAGGGTGCCTTGTGGAAAGCTCAATCAAAAGAGGACACAGCTGATGAAAGCTTTTTTTACCCATTTCTTCTTCCTCCTGCATTCCACCTGGAATGAAGATATTATGGTTGGTGCTCCAGCAGTTATTTTGGGCTATGAGGTAATCTCCTCATAGAGGCCAGAAATTAGGTAAGGAAGAGCAAAGAGATAGGTTAGTTGTTCCTGATCCTAGTCCAGTGATCAGTAGCCCAAGGATGTCTGGTAGACCCAAGCAGAAATGCATTTAGCCTTTCACATCCCATTCGGAGTTATCCTCTGACACTTATCCTCCAACATCCTCGTCTGTCAATGTGCCACTATGCTTTAGTTTCTTAGACCAGAAACATGGGTGTCATCATCCATTGCCCTCTTTCTCATCTGCAAACCCCAACAGTTGTGCCTCCAATTCACCCACTTCTGTTCCTTCCTGTCACTGGCAGTCTGGCCCAGGCCACCCTCCCCTCCCACCTAGAACACTGCACCTGCACCTTATCTGCTCTCCTGGCTTCCACCCTCGTTCCCAGCAGCCTGATGTTGTAGAATGGTAATCCACTCCTGTCTTTGCCTTGTAGCTTCCTCCTGAACTTAGAAAAGAATCTGCACTCCCTACCTTGACCTTCCAGAACTACCTTCCCTTCCTTACCTGCTCCCACTCTCTCTGCTTTTCAGATAAGAAAACTCACCCGTGATGAGCCCGAGGTCACAGGGTGACTGTGCTGGGCACAGCAGACACAGAGATGAGCAAGACATGTGTCCCCTCCACAAGCCCCCAGCCAGGTGCTGGACATAGCAGACAGAGAGATGAGCAAGATATATGTCCCCCCAAGATATATGAGCCCCCAGTTGGGTGCTGGGCACAGCAGACAAGGATGAACAAGACACAGGTTCCCCTCCATGAGCCCCTGATTGGATGAGAAACTCAGACAAGTGAGCTGGTGGCAAAACAACAGGGCTCCTTCTCACCTTAGGGCATCTCCACATGATGTTCTCTCTGCCAGCTGCCTTCCCCTTCACCTAGCTAAGGCCTGGTTAGTCTTTTCTTTTTCTTGAGGAGGGTCTCACTCTGTCACCTAGGCTGGAGGGCAGTGGCACATTCATGGCTCACTACAGCCTGCCCCTCCTGGGCTCAAGTGATCCTCCCACCTCTCAGCCTCCCGAGTAGCTAGGACGACAAACACACCTCACCATGCCCACCTAATTTTTTTTTTTTTTTTTTTTGAGACGGAGTCTTGCTCTGTCGCCCAGGCTTGAGTGCAGTGGCGCCATCTCGGCTCACTGCAAGCTCCGCCTCCCGGGTTCATGCCATTCTTCTGCCTCAGCCTCCCAAGTAGCTGGGACCACAGGCGCCCACCACCAAGCCCGGCTAATTTTTTGTATTTTTAGTGGAGAGGGGGTTTCACCGTGTTAGCCAGGATGGTCTCGATCTCCTGACCTTGTGATCCGCCCGCCTCGGCCTTCCAAAGTGCTGGGATTACAGGCGTGAGCCACCGCGCCCGGCCTGAAAACAGACTAATTTCAAAGAATTGGCTCACACAATTGTGAGGTCTGACTCGGCAAGTCTGAAATCTGCAGGTGGGGGGCCTACAAGCTGGAAACTCCAGGGCAGAGGCTGATGCTGCATGATTGGCAGAATTCTTTTCTTTTTCAGAGAAACCTCAGTTTTGCTCTGAAGGCCTTCAACTGCCCGGCCGAGGCTCACCCACACCAAGGGGAATCCCTTCTCTTAAAGTCAACTGATGGTAGATGTCAACCACAGCTACAAAACACCGTCACAGCAACACCTGGGTTAGCGTTTGATTGAATAAATGTGACTGGAGCCTGGCCAAGTTGATACATAAAATCAACCGGCACATTCCTTTTAGGTGAGGATTCTTTCCCTCTCTCTTTGAGGTCCCTGCTGGAGTAATTCTCCCCAGAGCTAAGTCCACCGTCTTTGGAATGAGTGTTTGGGGGTGGCCTGTCCCCCTGCCGCCCGCCCGGGCCAGGGAGATGGCCAATGCACGGCGGGCGCACCCCTATTCCCTCCTCACTCATGAGTCTGGTGGGACAACTCATCCGGTCAGTCATGATGAGTTGTCCCACTGCTGGGAACACCTGCCCTGAGAGGTCTGGATGGGCTCAGCCTCATGGCACCAGAGCAGGCAGCTCGTGAGCAGCCCCGGGGGACCAGCAGGTCACTGGCAACTGTTAAGCTGTGGAGAACTTCTCAGGGCTCAGCTGGCATTCCGACCTCCCTTTGCCTCCCACGGGCCTGGGCGGGGCCCCTTCCTTTCGTCCTTAGCCAGCCGCCACTCTGTCCTCCACTGGGAGTCCCTGCCCCCATTACTGCACCAGCTCCCCTCCCCCCACCCTGAGGACACCCACCCTGTTCGTTATAAAGGGACACAGGCACAGCTAACAAGGAACAATTGTGGGCACAGTCCAAAGTTCAGGGTTTTAAGGACACCGTTTCCGCCCCGGCCTCGTCTCTGAGATGATTCTGGGCCCATCAGAGGCTTCCGGCTTCTCCTTTTATGACCCTGAGCTTGTCGGTCTCCCTATCCTCATGCCCCCTGCCCTTGGAGAGACCCAGCCTTCCTTCTACAAGATCCCCTGCTGAGGGAGAAGGAGCTGGCTGGGGCAGGACCGTAGGCTCAGGCTACATGCCCCAAGTTCACTCTCAGCTCACATGCTCCAGACATTGTCCTGGTGCTCAGCCTGCCATCCAGGAGGCCCCTCCCAAGCTCCTGGGCTTCCATCCTCAGTGATCCAGTGGACCTGGTTCCCAGAGCTGGGTGGGAAAGGGCCCCTTGCCTCTGGGATGGGAGGAAAATGTTCAGTCCTCTGTTAAGCTGGTCGCAGACTCTGATGAACCTTTCCAGGGCCATGAGTCATGCCGTTTTCCAAAAGAGGAAGGAGGCTCGGGGAGAGTAAGTGTCTTGCCCAAAGTCACACAGTGGAGTCAGCACTTGAATTTAGCTCTGACTCCCATGGCACCTGCTGAGTGCCTGACCTGCCCCCTCCATCCCCCATGGCCTGCCTGCTCCTCGGTGCAAGGATCACCTCAGCTGTCACAGCTTTAGAAGTGAGCTGTGCATGAACCCCTGAACCCCAAAGCATCAGGGAGGGTCACCCAGAACCCCATGCCTGCTGGATGCCGAAGCCATGCCAAATAAATGGGACAGGCCTACTCATCATGCAAAGCTCCAGTGATGCTTTAGCTTCCCAGGAAATCTCTCTTGTCATGATGAGCACCAGTAGCAAGTGACGGCCAGCAGGCCCCCACTACAAGCCCGACACTAGGAAGAGGTGTTCCCAGCCCACACACAAATGCCTGGAGAATCACTAATTTGCTGCCCATTCTTGCTGGGAAGAGAATTTTCTGGGAGGAAGGGCTTTGTTAACCAACACCCTGGCATCTAGAATTGCCATTGGGTCTCCGTGATTCTAGTCAAGGGATTCGGCCATCCAGAGCAGGGTATCGGGGGCCCTCTCGGAGTTTGAACCTCTAACAGGATGGGGCCCATACCTGGGTGCAGCTGCGGTTGTGGGGATGCCCCTTCTGAGCAGCTGCTGCCTCTGTGTGCTCCCCTTCCTCTCCCCACCCCCACTCTCTTCCCAGGTCTCCCTCTGCTTACTACCCAGCATGGGCAAAAGCAGCTGCACCCAGTATGGACCAATAGGGGCACACCCATTTCGAGGCACTAAATGTGGTGCTGATAACAGAGTCCCCAGGCCTGGCTTGGCCCAAGGATGGAGCACCCCAACACCCCAGCTGTCTCAGGGGCCCACTGCTCAGCCTGGCTCACTCCCCGAGGGTGGGTGGTTTCTAAGTGCAGCTGGTGGGCTTGTGTGTGATGGTGGACGGATCCTGGAGTTTAGCAGGGTGACTGTGGCCAAGCTGTTTCTCTCTGGGTCTGTTCCTTAGTGTTATTGATGTTGTTGACAGCTGACCGGTCCTGCACCGTACTAATCATTTTACATGGAGAAGCTCCATGTAAAGCTTCTAGGTTGTAATTCTCATCACAACCCCGTGAGGTAGTTCATATTATCACCTCCATTTTACAGATAAGGAAACTGAGGACCAGAGAGCTCAAACTGATGTGCCTTAGGTCACACAGCTAGTGATCAATTGAGCCAGGCCTTGAACCCAGACAGTCTGGCTCCAGGACAAGCCCGCACAATATCTATACAGAAACAGGGCCTGGTGCATTTTAGGGCTGCTGTGATTTTGTCCTTATCTGCAGGTGCTTTTACCTCTGATTTCATTCGCCCTATGACCTGTATGGTAGGTTTTATTACCTCGGTTTTATCACACTTTCATCCTCCTCCAGGGTAGAATCAGCTTACAGATGAGGTAACAGGCTCAGAGGGGTTAAGCAACTTCTCAGGTGTCCCACAGCTGGTACGTGTGACAACTCGAATTCAAAGAAGTCTCCTGACTCTCACTGCGGAGCCTCCCATTCAAGAGGGACCTCAAGGTGTCACAGAATTTAGACATACTGAACGTCCTTACTTTATGAGTCCAGATTCAAATCAGTAATAACGCAATGTCAGAGGAGTTGAAGAATTCTTTCATGTATTTGTCCATCCTTGTTCCACACCTTGTCCTAGGATCCTTGGGGTTGCAGTGGTGGGGATGGAACCATAGAGATGCACAAGCCATAGATTTAGGAACTGGAATTTCAGCAATGCTTTCGGGTCTTCTGACAAGGTGCAGGCAGGCCACCTTTCTTGTATGGCAGGGCAGGACAGGGCTGGCCTGTGTTCCAGTTCTGGCTGTGTCACTCCCATGCTGTGTGACTTAGGACAAGGCTCTGCTCTTTCTGTACATTGGGTCACCAAGCAGGGATGAGCTGCCTGGTGTGGTGACTCCAGGTGGCTCCAGGAGGAAGGCAGGGGCCCTCTCATGTGAGTAGCCACATTCCTCCCTATGGCTTGTCCACAAAATAAGGGGACCTCACGGAGACAGCTCTGTGCACCTGTCATGCTGTATCGTTGGAGGGATTGGAGCAAGGCTGCAGCTTCCTTGGGGTTGGATCATCACAGGGGCCATAGTCATGAAGCCGATTGGCTGTGAACTTGGGCTGTGGGGTCCAAAGACCCAGGGTTAACTCCTGGCTCTGCCACCAGCCAGCTGTGTGACCTTAGCCAAGTTACTTAGCCTCTCTGAGCCTCAATTGCCTCATTCATAAAGTGGGGAACCTAGCACAGTGCCGAGCAGCTGCTCATTTACTGCAGGCACAGTCACTGAAGCTGAGAATTATGAAGCTGATGAGGATAGAGGGTCCAGCATAGAAAGTGCCACCTACAAGCACCTACTATGTGCCAAGACAAGGAGACAAGAAGGTGACGTGATTTACTTCTGGGCATACAGCAAGAACATGGCAAAGCTGGACCTGAGCATTGGGATGCATCAGCGCCTGCGGTGCCTGGTGGCTCTGAGCCTGTAGCAAGCTCCCTGGCTGAGGTCTGGGGCTGTGCCCTAGAGGAGGAGCCCCTACGGCCACTCCTGCTGGCCTGTGGCTGGGGCAGCATCAGCAGATGTCTTCAGTCCATCTGGCAGGTCTCACTTGCTTGGTCTGAGAACCTGCCCCACAGGCCTGAGCTCTGCAGGGAAAAGAAATAAAAATAGCCAGGTCTGAGAGGGCAGTGGCTGGGCCGTGGGCAGCAATGCGTGCCTTTCCCATGACTCCTGCTCTGCAGAGGAGAGTCCTTCCCTGAGCCGTCCTGTGTGCCAGGCCCTGGGCTGGGTGCCCGGGAAGCGAAGTTGTGGCAGGCAAAGCTGCTCCCCAGAGGAGCCCATAGCTTGGTGGGTAGAACATATTTGTCCAGTGCGGCACCTTGGGGTGGGGGCCCGAAAGGGCTAGCAGTGGAGCATTGCAAGAGAGACCCCCTCACCCACCTGGGGGAACACAAGGTAAGCTTCCAGAAAGAGGACACACTGGAGAAAACAGTTGTTAAGCAGAGTGGCGGGGGGCTTTCCAGGCAGTGGGACCAGCATTTGCAAAGGCAGAGAGGTGTGACAAGCATGTCCCATTGAGAGAAGTGTAAGTACCTGGGTACATCTGGAGGCTGGGGTGTCTATAGGGACAGGATGGAGGGTTGCGCTAGGAAAGCAGGGAGCCTGGGACTGTGGGGACGATGGGGAGCCAAGGGAGGTTATAAAGCAGGGGGTCACGATCTCTCCTTCTCAAGATCCATAGCCTTAATCCCATCAGCAAAGTCCCTTTTGCCAGGTAAGGTAACATAGTCGCTGGTTCCAGGGATTAGGAGGTACACTTCTTTGGGGGGTCATATTCTGCAGACCCTGTCTCTGTAATAAACTGCACTGAATCCTCGTCCAAAGGCTTCTAGGGACTCCAACTAAGACACCCCCAACCTTAATTCTGGTCCCTGGGCTCCCCGTCACAGGCCCCAGCACCAGATCCTTGGCTCAGCCCCTCCAAAAATCTTGGCAGGTCATTCTCTAAACAGGCGAGAGCTGGGTTCAAATCCTGCCTCTGCTGCTTACTTGATCTGTGACCTTGGGCAACTCACCGGTCTCTTTCAGAGCCTCAGTTTCCTCATCTGACAAAGGGGGTAAGGGGCCCAAGAGATTACTAAGCAGGTTAGAGGGTCAATAAGTGCCTGGCGCATAGTAGGTGCTCCAGAAACAAGAGCTATTGTCAGTTACCAGGTAGTTCTAGCCCTTTGTTTCCTTCCCCTGTGCAGAAAATAATCATCATAATTACACGCTCTGCTGTCATCCTGACCTGCAAACCCTCCTAGGGGCAAAGAAGTTTGTTTTGTTTATTTGTTTCCTGGATGCAAAGAATCTGTTGATTTCTCCAAGCCTGGCGCTGGCTGAAATTGTCCCAGCCAACACTGAAGCTGCCTAGAAGGTGGCTGCAGTTTTGGGGTGGCACCGGAAAGGGCTCTTTTAAGGAGCCACCAGCACCTTCGCCTCAAAATCAAGAACAATACCAGGCCCCATGCCAGCCACAGGAGTAATTAGGCCAGATGGTTTCAAGGCAGAAATTCCAGTAGTCCCTGAAATGCTATAAATCGAGCCACAGACAGGAGGTGTGGTGACTTGACAGCAATTTCTCCCCAAGGCAAGGCCTCCGCGGCATCACAGCCAGCCTTCCCTCCATTCCACTGCAGAAATAAATGAAGTTATGGATGTTGGTGTTTCTTTGCGGTGAATCAAATGGATTCCCTGTGAATGCTGTTTGATATTCTTCTTGATCATGTCAACTAGACAGAATGTGTCTTTCTAGCATTTGTTTTTCAAAAAAAGATGTGTGAAATAGGAATTTTCACATAATTCCTGAACAGGTTTTGGTGGCAGTGGTGTTTGTTTTCCAAAAGCCGGGACAGGAACTGCAGAGCCTTCTAGTGCTTTCCTTCATCTTCTCCCCAGTGCAGCCGGAACTCGCCCCTGGGGTGGCCCACTCTCCCCCACTGAGAGCAGCAGAGACAGCCAGCTGCACAGGCTCGGGATGTGGGCTGGGAGAATGCTCCCCCGTGAACTCACAAGCACATGTTAGGTGCTGTGGATACAAGAAGCCCAGTCATATGGAGAGTATGTGGTTGGGCGGCCAGGCTTTGGAGCCAGTGGCCTGACTTGTTGTCCCAGCTCTGCCACTCCCTGGCTTTGTGACCTGAGGCAAGGTTGGTATTTCTCTCTGCTTCCATAACATGGGATAACAGTGGCACCCACTTCATAGGGCAGTGAGGGATTGATGTATAAATACAGGTAGTCTGCAGAAGCTCACCTGGCAGACAGTGGGCACCCAGCAGACGCTAGTAATTTAACTCTGCTGATAAGGCCCCTTGTTAAGCAGATGACAGGCAAAGTGAATCATGTATACACCTGAGGACAGGAACACCATTTTGCAAGTGAGGAATAAGGCTTAAGAAAAAAAGAACCAGGCTGGGCGTGGTGGCTCACACCTGCAATCCCAACAGTTTGGGAGGCTGAAGTGGGAGGATCGCTTGAGCCCAGGAGTTGGAGACCAGCCTGGGCAACACAGTGAGACCCCATGTCGATAAAAAATATAAAAATTAGCTGGGCATGGTGGTGCGTGCCTGTAGTCCCAGCTACTCCCAAGGCTGAGGCAGGAGGCTCTCCTAAGCTCAGGAGGTCCAGGCTGCAGTGAGCTGGGATTGCACTACTGCATGCCAGCCTGGGTGACGATCAAGACTCTGCCCCCATCCCCCAAAAAAAGAAAAGAAAAGAAGAAACGAACCATAGCAACATTATGCCTAGAAGCCAAACGGTGGAAGCAACCGAAGTGTCCATTGACGGATGAATGTGTAAACAAAATGTGCTCTATCCTACAATGGAATATGATGCAGCTTTGAAAAGGAAAGAAAGTCTGACACATGTTCCAACATGGATGATCTCTGATGACCTTATATCAAGTGAAACAAGCCAGTCACAAAAGGACAAAGACTGCATGATTCCGCTTATATGAAGTCCTTAAAAGAGTCAAATTCATAGAAACAGAAAGTAGAATGGTGGTTGCCAAGGACGGCGGAGGGAGGGGAATGGGGGGTGAATGTTTAACAGGAATAGAGTTTCAGTTTTGCAAGATGAAGGTCCTGGAGATGGACGGTGGTGATGGTTGCACAACGATGTTAATGTCCTTGACACTGAACTGTACACTTAGAAATGGTTGAGATGGTAAATTTTATGTTATGTGTATTTCACAATTAACAGTTTAAAAGAAATGAACCAACTTGGCTGGGCGCAGTGGCACACGCCTGTAATACCAGCACTTTGGGAGGCCGAGGTGGGTGGATTACTTGAGGTCAGGAGTTCGAGACCAGCCTATCCAACATGGTGAAACCCCGTCTCTACTAAAAATACAAAAATTAGCCAGGCCTAATGGCACATGCCTGTAATCTGAGCTACTTGGGAGGCTGAGGCAGGAGAACGGCTTGAACCTGGGAAGCGGAGGTTGCAGTGAGCCGGGATCCAACTCTATCTCAAAAAAGAAAGAAAGAAAGAAGGAAGGAAGGAAGGAAGGAAGGAAGGAAGGAAAGAAAGAAAGAGAAAGAAAGAAAGAAAGAAAGAAAGAAAGAAAGAAAGAAAGAAAGAAAGAAAGAAAGAAAGAGAAAAATGAACTAACTGGCCCAGGTCCTTCTTCTGGGAGGTATGAAAAGCAGAATTTAGACCCAAGTTTGAGTGACTACCCGACATGAAAGCCCTTGCCTTCTGTCTATTGGATGGGTAAAATTTAGCAGAAGTGGGTGGCTTCAGGAAAGAAAATACTTTACCAAGGGAGGACAAGAGGAGACAGAAAGAGATGAGAGATCAGTAGGCATGAAGCCAGGAGAATGGGTGTCAGGCTGCTTCCGCTGTGTGACTTTGGCACACCACTCACCCTCTCTGGGCTTTGGGTCTCCACTCTTATATAAAGGTTAGATTGGGAGGGCATCCAGGGCCTTTCAGCTCTAAGGTCTAGGGTGGGGTGAGATGGGATGCCCAGGCACGTTGTGAGAGCTCCACTAGGCATAAGTACTCACCCCATCCCAGGATCCTTGGAGAGCCCACAGTTGGAGGGTAGGGATAAGTTACAGACAAACACCAATTGGCAAATGTTGGCTGAGCACCTACCACGTACCAAGCTCTGTCCTAGGCTAGGCTCCTGCTCTGAGGCTGACATCCTGTTGGGGAGTAAAGGCAATAGAGAAGTAAGCAAACAGAAATAGATCACACGGAGAAACAAAGATGGGTAATGGGGTGCAGGTGCTCAGGGGTGGGGCTGCAAGAGTTCCTGGTGGAGGAGAAGGCTGCACTCTGGTTGGTGGCCCCCGGAAGCACCCTGGAAAAGGTGGCATCTGGGCCAGGCTTTGAGCCTGGTTTCCCAAGCCTTTACTGAGCACAGGTGCTAGAGATAGAGAATTCAGGGGCCCATCATTGTGGGGAAGACAGACATGGCAGCGAACACATCACAGCACAGCCCAGGACTCACCACCACAGGAGTCTGCCTAAGCTATGGGGCAGGAGAGATGGGGATAGCAGAGCATCTCATGGGAGATTTTCCTGTTGAAAAGGACACATGAGCAGGGCTTTGAAGGATGAATACATTTCTCAGAGCTGGGAAGTATGCCCCAGGCTTGGGGAACGGCCAGTGTGAAGGCACGAGGGTGTGCAGCAGAGGCTTGGTGCGACTGAGGGCTTTGGGGTCGGCTGACAGGTTTGTATGCAGGTGGCGCTGCAGGTTTGTATGCAGGTGGCTCTGGATAAAGCAATTAGCTTCTACGAAGTCCAGTTTCCTAATTTTCTCAATGAAGGAGAGTAATAATGCCACCTGGTGAGGGGTGTTATTTTTTGCGAGTACTTTTGAGTATTAAGTGGTGTAGGGACTCTTCTTCTTCCCCAGTTCTGCACTGCTGGATCACATGGCATCAAGGGAACAGAGATGGGGAGTGAAGTGAACTAGCTCCATTGTATTCTGGGTATGCCCCTTCGCTGTACATTGGCCACCCACTGCTCTTATAGAGAATCCCCTTCTGGGACCTCAGTACTCCACAGGGAGCCCACCAGTTCCAAAACTCTAACCATCTCAGCCCAATCCATCTAAAGCAACCCATCCCGAATGTCATATTTTGGGGACCTTCCGTTTCTGAATTTGGTGGCCAAGGATGAGTGAAATTCCTACCCAAGCCTAGGGACCTTGAGGGGGCTGCTGTGTTACACACATCCCAGACCCTGGTGGTGGCGAAGCTGCCTCTCATCAGGAGCGGTGGGGCAGGTAGACATTCCTGCCACCAAGGTCTCCCAGTCTGAGGGGAAGGAGCCTCAGGGATCTGCCACCCAGTCCAACTTTTCCATGTGGGAAAGGGAGGCTCTGAGAAGCAAATCGCCTGCCTTTGACCTGGTGCTTGCTCTAGGCAGGCTCCATGCCAGGAGCTTTCCCTGAGGGGTCTTCTCCCAGTCACTTCTTCCTGGAAGATGCCAGCTTCCTGCCATTGCCCTCAGAGTATGAAATAATTATGGCATGTCGACATAAATATAATATCCATTTTAATAGCTATCATTTATATCCGTTTTCCCTATAAACACTGTAGCATCATTGGCTGTTACTGGCAATCCTGTGTTTTAGGAATGACCCAAATAGGGCTGTAAATCTTCAGCACTGTCTGATCTTTATTTATGCATTCAATATATATGAATTTTGAGCACCTGCTGTGTGTGACGCCCCGTTCTAGGAGCTGAGGAGGCAGCAGTGAACAAGTAGACAGAGCCCTGCCTGTCTTCCTGGAACTTACAGTTAAAGGGGGAGCAAAGCCATAGGTAAATACGTATATGACGCAGCACGTGTTGATTAGCGCTAAGAAGAAAAAAATCAGGTGGGCATGGTGGTGCATGCCAGCAATTCCAGCACCTTGGGAGGCCAAAGTGAGAGGACTGCTTGAGGCCAGGAGTTCAACACCAGCCTGGGCAACAGAGGGAGACCACATCCCCGGTGCCTCTGACCCCCCCACCGTCTTCTCTAAAAGAATTTTTAAAAATCAGCTGGGTGTGGTGGCACACTTATAGTCCCAGCTACTCTGGAGGCTGAGGCAGGAAGATTACTCGAACCCAGGACTACAAGGCTTCAGTGAACTATGATTGTACCACTGCACTCCAATGTGGGCGACACAGACCCTGTCAAAGAAAGAGAGAGAGCATAAGAAAAAAAGCAAGAAGGAAGGAAGGAAGGAGGGAGGGAGGGAGGGAGGAAGGAAGGAAGGAGTGAGTCAGTTGACACAGAGGGGTGGGTGTTGTGCTATTTTATTACCACAGAAGATGTTTAAGTATAGTGGGTTGAATGTTGGCCGCCAAAACATACGTCCATATATTGATTAAATTTGACAAAATCGTTCCCGGCTGGGTGCAGTGGCTCACACCTATAACTAAATAATCATTTCCAATTCCTTCACATGCTAATTGTCCAGATGCAGGGTACTTCTGGGCAATGCAGAAGCAGCCCCGGGAACGGTTTGTGTGGTTATAATGATGACAGTAAGTCGGAAGCCAGGAGGGAGGTCGGGTCAGGGTCTGGCCTTCAGGCTCCGTGTAGGGAAGCCTTCTTTGCTTGGGTGAATCCCAAAAGGGACAGGGATTCACCAAACATAAGAAGGGGCTTCATATACTGGCAGATGGATCAAAAGATGAGTGTTCACTGCTGGAGGGTCCGCCCATTGTGTGCATTTTAGAGAGATGCGAGCCAGCTCGGAGAGAGGAAGTAACTTGTTCAAGGTTTCACTGTGCCACATGGCTGCGCTGGACTCAAACCCAAGTCTGTTTGAGCTCAGTCTGGCTGCAAGGTCATCTCTGAAACAAATTCACCAGGTCGGTGCACTAGGACTCTAGCTCAGGCAGCCAGGGAGAGGGTGATGCTGTAAATAGAGCGATGAGGGAAGGGGCCCCTGTGTGGAAAGGCAGTGAGTCAGCCAGGAACATGCTGGGGGCTGGGGAGGGTCCCACCAGCAAGGCGGACAAGCCCAGGAGGCGGTTCTGGGCCTTGGAGAAAAGCTGGGGTAGGGGAGAGATATTAGGTGTCCTTCCATTTTCATGTTACTTAACAGCTACTGGAGTGGAGGAGACTGCCCTAGTGGTATGCAGAATGATAAGAAAGGAGGTATAAGAAAGGAGGGATAAGAAAGGAGGGAATGGGAGGGACAGAGGAAGAGGGGGTCCTGGAGATGGGCAGTCAGAGCTAAGTAGTGGGGGCTTCAAGGAGGGATGGTCGTGGGTGCTGGTATTTATTGAGTGTTTGCTGTGTGCCGGGTACCCTCTGTGTGGATTCACTTACCCCTTCACCGCAACCCTCTGAGGCAGATACTATTATTATTATGCCCACTTTACAGATGAGGAAACTGAGAGGCTAAGTAATTTACCCACATCAGTGAGCTAATCAGCCAGTGTGCTTAATCACCGTGCTCCCCTACTTCTGGTGACATTGCTGATGACGTTGTTGATTTTCCATGGACTGGGTGGAGGGATAGAAGTGAGGAACAAATTTGGAAGCAGGAGACAACCACACCTCTGATCTGGTTTGGCCCTACAGGGATAGGCAAGCGGAACAAGGCGTTATTCCTCTGTCTTTTCCTGCACTAGGAAGCCGAAACCCTCAGAAGGTCAGGGCCTTGCTCAAGGTCAGACCATGGGGCTATGCCAGAGGCTTGAACTCTCTTTAGGCCTGGAATGATGTTACTACCCCTAAGAGAGGAGAGCCACTGAGAGGAGAGGCTGTCAGAATGCGGGTGCAGGCCTGGGGTGGTTAAGAGAGAAGGCCATGATGTGGGCCACCTTGACTGACAGCATCTGAACTGAGATGCCTAGTTAGTATCCCAAGTGAGGGTCTTGGTCCCATGGGGAGGCAATGGGGAGATTATCTGGTCAGGGTTTTATCTTGGCCTCATTCATTTAAAAGTCATCTCAGGATGGATTTTAATGATACTGTGTGGCCCAGTAGCAAGCACAGGGCTAAAATGAAATCCTGGTGCTGCCTTTTAGTAGCAGTGTGGCCTGTGCAAGCCACCTAAGTCTCCAGAGAAGCCTTGGCTTCTGTGGCTGCAAAATGGGGATCATCTCTTCCCTGCCTGGTATTGTGGGAGTTAAGGACAATGTGAGCAAAGCACTTGGCATGCACCTGGGGGTCAGTAAACAGGAGCTGGCATTGCTCGTGTCAGGTGACAGGTGAGGATTTGTATATCATTTATCAAAGTGTAGCTTCATTGAAATTTTGTTTCTAAATCTCTCTCTCTCACACACACACACACACACACAGGCACAGAACAAAGGAGATTTTTGAAATCTTCCTGCCCAAGTCCCTTGTTGTGCAGATGGGGAAACTGAGGCCCAGAGAGGGAGATTATGTACCCAAGATCACAGAGTCGAAGAGGCCTGGCCCCTGCCTGCCGTCAGTCCGTGTGCCACACGACATCACAAAGCATCCCGGACCCAGCCTCATCCCTGCTGTTCACTAAGCATACACATTACACAATCACTGCCCCAGATGGCAGCTGCTAGAATCCTCGCTAGCATCGAACATCCAAGTCAGAGGGCACTCAGAGTCGTCAGCTTCCTCCAGCATTGCCTTACCCGGCTGTAGGGGTTAAAAAGCTGTGGCAGGTGCTCCTGAGACTAGAGAAATGAAATGAATGATCTCAGACATACACAGGAGACAATGGTTTCTTCTCAGAAAATGCTGAAGGGGGAGTCTACCGCCTCCACACCAACCCTGCCTTAACGCAGGAGTCCTCTGGCCTCATTTGCATTCCCTAGGGATCTTAGCCCACAAGAGGGAGAAAGCTACTGTTCTCCTGAGTTTAAGTTGGCTGATCTCTACCCGGGAGCCTGAAGGAAGGTCGTAGGCAGCGTGGCACACTACAGGGGGTAAGGGGCTCATGCAGAAGAGCCCTGTTCCTGATTGCTCAAGGGAAGGTGGGATTGTTTTCTCCCTGATGTGCACTCTGACTACATCACAGATGATAGTTCAGTCCTGCACCTACAAACTGGCAGGCTCCGTGCTGGGCTCTGGGCATATGAAAATAAGCACCACAGGCAAAATGCCTGCTCTTGTGAGATACAGGTCTTGAGTGAGGAGGCTGAGATGAATGAGGAAACAAACATACAAACGAGATGATCTCAGATACTGATAAGAGCTGTGAATAAAGAAACAAAATATAGCAGTGGCATCATGACTGGGAAGGTTGGCTACTCCAAACTGGGCATCTAGATGTCTCTGGGCAGGTGACATCGTAGCAGGGCCTTTAACAAGAAGGAACCAGCCACGCAGAGGTCTGGGGAGGGAGTTCCTCACAGAAATCAGCAGATGCAAAGGCCCTAAGGTTGGAGTCAGCTGAGACTCCTAGGATTTTTATCAAAATAATTTGGAGGACAGGAGGCTATTTTGTTAAGAAAACAAAGTAAACAAGACACTTTCTTTCCCTAATCTGTCATCTTTCCCCACCAGCTCCAAATCCTATTAATACAAGATAATTCCTACTTAAAAACCTCTTCTTCCAAGAAGTCTTCAGGTTCTACTAGTTCATGGTAGAACTAGTATAAAAACTGGTCTGTGGCAAAGTAATAAAAAAAAAGGTCAATAAACTCTGTGTGTGTGTGTGTGTGTGTGTGTGTCACTATACAGGTGCCAACCGTGTTTCCTTTCTTCAGAACTGAGATATACTGTTATTACTTTTCAAAAAATTTTGCTGTTAATACTCTTTTGTAAAATATGATGTAGATGACAGATATGTCACCAATGTAGCAAAAATCAAAAGCTGACCATCCTTTGCAAATCCCCCATACTTTGGTCTGTGAAATCCTGGAGCCTGGAGGCACCTGTGAACTAGGCTCTGAAGCTCTGCTACTCTCCCCTCCTCTACTCCCAAGTGGCCCTGGATTTCCCATACCCTTTCCATTCTCGACACTGTTTTTAGAGTTTGAGTTCCAGGAGCACAGGGACTGTGCGTTCCCGGCACTGAGCCAGGTCCACAACAAGCACTCAGAAGAAACTGACTGAATGAACGTGTGATTTATGACGATATACATTCACCTGAGCGAATGCTCAGAGAATACAATTAGAAGCAAACTGGTTAAGGGAGACAGTAGTGTAAAGGAAACGAAACCCCATATTTCAGAGCCAGGAGCCTGGGTTCACATTCTGTCTCCTGCAAGAGGTGGTTTAGCAAGGTCAGAAGGCCCTGTCCACTCGGTAGCAGCCAGGCTTGGGTGAAATCACTTTCTTTCAGCCTCAGCTTCCTCACCAGTTAAATGCGGATGACAAAGATTTGTCCCACGATTTTTGTAAAGAACAAAAAGATATGTTCGCAGAAAAAACACTCTGTAGATAGTACGTAAGCGACAGTTCCTCGGTTTGTCCTTCCATGGATGCATGGAGCATCTAGCCAACTCAGCAGATGACCCCTCTCCAGTGTTTCAGCATCTGCTTCTCCCACAAGCCCGTGAGCTGGTGCAGGAAATTCTCCAACAGGTTCTGAACAGAAAAGCATAGTGCCTGGCACCTAGTGGGTGCTGCATAAATGAACAAATGACCCCAGGTAAGTCACTCCTCCCATTGGACCTCTTTCTTCTAAGTAATCTCCCTTCCTTTTCCAGGTCCATGATACTTATTTGCTTTTTTAGAACAGGCCTAGGAGTCACATTTAGGGAAGGTAGGTGGCTGTGAAGACACTTTGATTAAAAGGTTAATGCACATTTTTGGTTTCCACTTTCGAAGCTTCCAGAATTTATTTTTGCCTAGTTAATAAAAAAAGAGCCATGTCACATTTCTTTAGCTTGTCTTCTGGGTTCCTTAACAACAACAACAAAAAATTAAAGTCTTTATTTTAAGCCGCCTACTCCAGCCATCCCAGGACGCGGCGAGGAGGGGGCGCGGACAGGTGGCGCGCGAGCCCGGGAAGGCGGGGGCTGCACCGGGCCGCGGGCGGGGCCGTGCACGCCGAGCCCCACTTCCCCAGCGCGGGCCGGGGGCGGGGCGCGGCGGCAGAGTTCGGGGGCTTCTGCCGAGGGCAGTCCCACGTGCCCCTCCGCGGGAGACGTCTCCTCTCCGACGCCCAGCACGCTGGGGGGCTCCCGCTTCCTGCCTGCCCTCTCTACTGCTTGCCCTCTCACCTCCCAGCGGCTTCCGCCGCCCCGGCCAAGCTGCACGGCGCGTCCCGGGCCCTAGACCCCCACCCGCCAGGCACCAGCCCCGGCCTGTCCCCTCGCGCCGTCAGCCCGCGGCCCACCGCCCGCGCGCGCCCGCAGCCCAGCCGGAGGGAGGGGCAGGGGCGGGGACCGGCCGGCGCTGATGTAATCCCGGCACCCGGGCGGAAGGATATGGAGCGCGCCCCTGGTTGGCGGGGCGCTGAGGCCAGTTGCCGGGTAACGGAGCGGAGCGGCTCCCGGCGCGCCGCCTCCCGCCCTCCGCGGAGTGGCGCTGGGGCCGCCGCCGCCGCTTTACGTAAGGCGCAGGCCAGGGCCGCCCGGCGCTCGGCAGCCGCCCGCAGCCCCTCGGAGCCAGAGGAGAGGCGCCCCCGCCGGCCGCCGCGCCGCCCGGCAGCCTCGGCAGGTACTGCGGGCAGGCGGCGGGGAGGGAGGGCGCGGAGCAGCCCCTCGGCCGGGTGGGCGCGGGCCGGGGAGGCCGGACGCTCGCCGCCGTGGGGCTCCGGGGCCAGCCCGAGGGAGGCCGGGCCGCAGCCGAAGGCTTCGGGGTCAGCCCAAGGGAGACAGGGCCGCCGCCGTGGGCTCTGGGGCCAGCCTAAGGGAGGCCGAGCCGCCGCCGAGGGCTCCGGGGCCAGCCTGAGGGAGACCGGGCCGCCGCCGGGGGCTCCGGGGCCAGCCTGAGGGAGGCCGGGCCGCCGCTGATGGCTCCGGGGCCAGCCTAAGGGAGACCGGGCCGCTGTTGATGGCTCCGGGGCCAGCCGAGGGAGGCCTGACCGGCCCCGATCCTGGTGGTGCCCGGGCGTGCGGGTGAGCTGTGGGCCCTGGGACCCCCGCCCCGACCCCAGGACGCCGGGACACCAGCTTGCGGCTCTTGCGCCCGGGTGGGCTGTGGACGATGAGTCCGCACAATGGGTTGCCGTTGGCTGCCTCCTGCCTGGGGCAGGTGTCGCCGCGCCGGGGCGGCTCTTCTAGGGGAGACGAGGCGGGGGTGCTTAGACTTGATAGGACGTAGAGCCCCGAAAGTGGGCGCGGGAGGAAGGCTTCGGCCGGTGGGAGGCGCCCGGCGTCCCCGGCAGCGGGGTCAGGCCGGCAGCCTGGGCCGCTCGCTCGCGTTCCCTCCGTTCCCCTCCCCTCCAGCATTGTCCTTTTGGGGCCCCGGGAAGGGAAAACCGCCGGGCGGGGGAGGAGGGCCGCAGGCGGGCGGGGCCGGGAGGCCGGCTGAGCGACTGGCGCGCCGGCCTATGGCGCGGGGCGCGGCGCGGGGGGCGGGCCTGGCGGGCGGGGCCGGTGCGGCGCAAGGTTTGGCGAAGGTTACAGCTGGAGCTAGGAGTGACAGGCCCACAGTCATCCGTGCGCTGCGCGGCAAACCCTGTCGCGAGGGCGCCCCGAGTTGCTGCGGGGCCTGATCCGGCTCCTTTCCAACAATACGCGTCTGCAGCCGGCATTTCTAGAGCTCTCTGCTTCTTCCCGCTGGAGAAACCAGTGTGTGTCGTGTTGGAATGCTTCGTCTTGCCCTAGAATTCAGCTTGCGTCTTGTGGTGCGCAGGTGACAGGACCTGCCGAACTCTTGGTACAGACCCCTAAATCATGGCAGAACTGTCTTGATTTCTTTTTTGCCACCTTTCCGTTTTTGTCCTCTATAGGCAAGCTATAAAGATTTAACCCAGTTAAAAACAGGAGGGAGATTCAGCGGAGAGGAGGCATGCGAGATTCTTTGGAAAAAATTATATAAATGTAGTTCTTGCTAATAATTACCTGGGTTGGATACTTTGACTTACTGTTCAAGTTCCTAAGAAGGGATTTTACATTTCTGGGTCTTGTTTTAAAAACTGTTAGAAAGCTCGTGAGGGGGTAGGGACAAGCAGTTTTGGTAATAGGCGATGCTGTGGATAAAACTGTGCGGTAAAATGCCCAAGCTAGATTCTTCCTATGCAAAATAAGACCCGTTCCAGAACACTTTGACCATTTCGTGGACTTAGAATTTAAAGGCGGGTGAGGGCGGGGGGGGAGGAGGAGCGGATTCTATCACTCTGCATCCTCAAGGTCAAATATTCTTCCATCAGTTATTTTGGATTGAACCATTCTTAAATAGGTCTCAGGATCTCTATGTCGCTTCCTTATGACAGAACCTATTTCCGAGAGTGTGCCTTTGCATATCTATAGAAGCTCCTTTCACTTAATATATCTTATAACTCAGATTCAATTGCTGTACTTGCTAAATAATGCATTTTTAATCATTCAAAAAGTGGTTTACAGCTTCCTTGGGTATAATGGTTTTTATGTAAGCCCGTTACATCAGTGAAATGCCAGTTTTTAAACATTGAAGGGAAGGGAGAATATTATTCTTATTTATTTCCATAGGAAGTAGAATTCAAAGTGCAGGTGCTTTTTTGTTTGCTTTGGAGAAAAAGTATAGGTCTTTAACATGACGTTAACAGAAGTCAAATCTAAGGATAATTAGCTTGTTATGCAAGTTGCAAACATTTAAGAAGATCAGATGAATTTTTTTTTTTTTTTTTTTTGAGACGGAGTCTCGCTCTGCCGCCCAGGCTGGAGTCCGCGATCTCGGCTCACTCACTGCAACCTCCGCCCGCCGGGTACAAGCGAGTCTCCTGCCTCAACCTCCCGAGTAGCTGGGACTACAGGTGCATGCCACCACCCCCGGCTAATTTTTTGCATTTTTAGTAGAGATGGGGCTTCACCGTGTTAGCCAGGATGGTCTTTCTCTCCTGACCTCGTGATCCGCCTGCCTCAGCCTCCCAAAGTGCTGGGATTACAGGCGTGAGCCACCGCGCCTGGCTGATTAGATGGATTTTTAACACTTCCAGTGGTAATATAGGGTAATGTAGCTAGCCTACTCTGTGCTATGTTGTACGGTAGCACTCTTCAAAAGAAATTAGATTGTTCTTGTTCTTTATTTTTCATTGTGTGGAAAAGTGCTGAGCCTGCGCTTTGTCCTTGTTTTTGTAGCATTTGACTTGGCAGTTAATGGCTTGTGAGCTAATTTCCTCATCTGTAGAATGGGAAGATTGATGACACCTGTTTCACAGAATAGTTGGGATGATCACTTGAGGGAAGACGTGAAATGTCGTCAAGACTCAAACCCTTTAAAAATACTCGCCTAGTGTAAGTGTTAAAACCTCAGATTACTTGCTTTGCTTAAAGTTTTTAACTTTGTCTTCAGGCTCCTCGCCACCCCTTCCTATCCATTCTTTGCCTGGCTGCCAGAGTCATCTTTCCTGAGCTCAGATCTTGTCAGTCTCTGGCTCAGTAGGCTTCTAAGACTGCCTGTGGTTTGGAGCTTAGAATTCAGAGATACCAGCATCACAATGCAGGCCCCTTGCAGTCTGGCCCCCAGTCATCTCTGTACTTTATCTTGTCCTCTTTGTCCCCTTTCCACACTGTCCAGCTAAACAAGACTGCTCTTGGTTCTCTGAACATGCCAAGCTATTTCAGACCTTCTTTGCTTATATTCTTTTCTCTTATTGGAATGTCCTGTCTCACTCCCACTCCCTCCAGTTCTTAAAAGTTCATATCAAATATTCTGTTCTCTCTGGAGTCCTTTGGAAGTCCTATTACAATGAATTATTCCTTTCCTCAATCATAGTTCTCTATTTTTCCTTCATTATTGTCTATATCATGTTGTATTATAAATTGGTCATAGTAAACTCTGGCTGTGGTGTCTATCCTATCATTTTGCCCCCAACACCTTGCTCAGGCGTTTAAACATAAGTGCTTAATGTTAAATGTAAGTGTTTAAATGTTTGCTAAATAAAGTCAAAGTCTGTAATCAACCTTAAAGAGTATGTTAATATTATAAAGTATATTTATTTTTATTTTTTCTGACCCTGGCTTAAGTCTGCAAATAAAGTTTGTTTGTTTTTGAGACAGCATCTTGCTTTGTCACCCAGGCTTGGAGTGCGGTGGTGTGATCGTGGCTCACTGTAGCCTCAACCTCCCAGGCTCAAGTGATCCTCCCACCTCAGCCTCCTGAGTAGCTGGGACCACGGGCATGCACCACCATGCTCAGCTAATTAAAACAATTTGTTTTTTTGTAGAAACGGGTCTCCCTGTGTTGCCCAGGCTGATCTCGAACTCCTGGGCTCAAGCAATCCTCCCACCTCAACCTCCCAAAGTGCTGGGATTACAAGCATGAGCCACCGCACAAGACCCAGATGAAGTATTTTTAATAAACATCGGTGCCCACAACAACATTAGAAATGTAGTTTTACTATGTTGAATATAGTTACTATTTAGAATATTTCTTTACAGTTATTTTTGGTCTTTCACATAATCACATAAGTGGTATTTTATACAAAGTAAAAACTGTCATCTTTCCCATTTGTATCTAAACTTGTAGGGTCTAATGAAATAGATGAAGTGCCTGCATTGCTGACTGTGAATCACCGACCCATTTTTTGGGCAGAGGGAACCAGAGCACAAGGTTAAAAATATTCCTTGTATTGGCCGGGCGCGGTGGCTCACGCCTGTAATTCCAGCACCTTGGGAGGCCGAGGCGGGCGGATCATGAGGTCAAGAGAGTGAGACCATCCTGGCCAACATGGTGAAACCCCATCTCTACTAAAAATACAAAAATTATCCGGGCATGGTGGAGCACGCCTATAGTCCCAGCTACTTGGGAGGCTGAGGCAGTAGAATCTCTTGAACCCGGGAGGTGGAGGTTGCAGTGAACCAAGATCACACCACTGGACTCCAGCCTGGCGACAGAGCAAGGCTCTCTCAAAAAAAAAAAAAAAAAAAAAAAATCCTTATATTTGAAGTATAATTTAATTCCCAAGAGATTACATGCTTTTTCTTTAAAAGTTTTCTTTTTTAGAAATTTATTATATGCATCAAAAGCAATTGCGTTTGAGGGGGCTTCTTAAAAGAATATTAGAACTGGATTTGAAAGACTCAGGTTTGCTTCTTGGCCGTGAACAAGTTTGTTAAATCCCTTTGGAAGTCAGTCAGTCTTTATTTGGGAACTGAGAACGGTTATTCCTGTTGCTTTGTAGTACATTTAAAGAGGCTATGCTTTGTGTACTGCACATCCTTACACAGATACAAGGTAATCAGATGTTTTGCTTTATAGCATTTTTGTCCTACTTGTTACCCAGCCTGGAAACCTTTAGAGACTTCCTTTCTTGACCAGATTTTTACCAGGTTTGCCTCCATGAGTCTTTTCCATCAGTCTTTTTCTTTACTCTTTCATGTTTCCTCTGCCCCTACCCTCCCTGAAGCTCTTACTCCTTATGAAGATAGTTACTGTAGTCCTCCAACTGGCCTCTCTTTTTTCTGGTCTCTCCTCCTCTGTTCTGTTGCCAGAATTATTTAATAGGCAAATCAAATCATATCATGACCCATTTCCCAAGTATACACCAGAGGTTCTCAACATTTCCCTCTATTCCATCACACCTGAGGGATACGACAGTTTTGTTGGTAAGGTTATGGGCTTTCTCCTCCCAAGATTTTTACCTTGGAAGTGCTACCACACTCCTCCCCTGGTTGAGAATTAATGTTAAAGAGTTAGGAAATCACTGTAAGATCTTTGCTATCTAGCCTCATTCTTACTTTTAGCTTAATCTTTTATTGGATCTCTTCTTTTTCGTTTTTGTGTTTTTGAGACAGGGTCTTACTCTGTCACTCATGCTGGAGTGCAGCGGTGCCATCTTGGCTCACTGCAACTTCCACCTCCCTTCCTCCTGCTGCCTTGGCCTCCTGAGTAGCTGGGACTACAGGCACATAACGCCTGGCTAATTTTTTGTAGAGATGGGGTTTTGCTCTGTTGCCTAGACTGGCTTCAAACTCCTGGGCTCAAGTAATCTGCCCGCCTTGGCCTCCGAAAGTGCCGAGATTATAAGCACGAGCCACCACGCCCAGCCTGCATCTCTTCTTGTCACCTTATATTTCAACACAAGACCTCTGGCCACTTCCGTTATTGGCAGACTACTCTGAAATATCCTTTCCACCTTTCTCTCTCTTTCTGAGTCTTGGAGTCTTGGCTTAAATGCTGCTACTTCTATTTCTGTAACCTGATTTTCAGAATTAACTCATTATTTTTCTCCCACACAGTGCTAGCCTGATACCTCTACTTATCTATTTTTTCCTTATGACTTTTTAGTTTATATACATGAAGGTCTTTCCTGGATTATAAACTCCTTGAGAGATGTAGAGGAAAATCTTAATCATTTCTGATTTCCTCTAGTGTGCAATATAGTCTTTTACATAGTACTCATTTGTTAAATGTTTGACTGAATTAACTCAAAATTTACAGTCTCTGATTTCAGGAGGAGGAGGATAGAGTTGGAATAACTTTGTATGAGAACTTAGTGAATCCACGTGACACACTCAGAACAGGGCCCAGCATATAGTAAGTGCTCAGTAAGTGGCAGCTTTTAGCTATTAATTTGAATAGGTGGAGACGACACTAGTGGTTGGATACACTGGTTAATTGTATATGCTAGTTTATTATGACAGTGTTCACATATTTATTTCTGGTGTGTGTGTAAAGAAAAAAATCTCATTTTCTTTCTTTTTTTTTTATTTTTATTTTGAGACAGAATCTCGCTCTGTCGCCCAGGCTCGAGTGCAGTGGCGCGATCTCGGCTCACTGCCAACTCCACCTCCTGGGTTCACGCCATTCTCCTGCCTCAGCTTCCCGAGTAGCTGGGACTACAGGCGCCCGACCACAACGCCCGGCTAATTTTTTGTATTTTTAGTAGAGACTGGGTTTCACCGTGTTAGCCAGGATGGTTTTTATCTCCTGACCTCGTGGTCTGCCCGCTTTGGCCTCCCAAAGTGCTGGGATTACAGGACTGAGCCACCATGCCCGGCCTTTTCTTTTTTTTTTTTTCCCGAGACTGAGTTTTACTCTGTCACCCAGGTTGGAGTATAGTGGCGTGATCTTGGCTTACTGCAACCTCTGTCTCGTGGGTTCAAGTGATTCTCCTGCCTCAGACTCCCCAGTAGCTGGGATTACAGGTGCGTGCCACCATGCCCGGCTAATTTTTTATTTTTTAATAGAGACGGGGTTTCACCATGTTGGCCAGGTTGGTCTTGAACTCCTGACCTCATGATCTTCCTGCCTCGGCCTCCCAAAGTGCTGGGATTACAGGTGTGAGCCACCGTGCCTGGCCAGTCATCTCATTTTCAACTTGCATCTACGTTCTTTCATTAATTTTGTGACTGAGTTGGAGAGGGCTTTTGCATAAACAGATTCATGATGGTGGTCCTAAATTATTCTGAAGACAGGCAAACCTGTCTGTAGATGAGCAGGTTTTTTGCATATGGCTTAAGAAAGTCTGGAAAATTGGCCAGGCATGCTGGCTTGCCTATAATTCCAGCACTTTGGGAAAGCGAGGTGGGAGGATCACTTGAGCCCAGGAGTTTGAGATGTGCCTGGGCAACATGGTGAAACCCTGTTTCTACAAAAAAATTTTAAAAATTAGCCAGGTGTGGTGGCACATGTCTGTAGTCCCAGCTACTTAGGAGGCTGAGGCAGGAGGATCGCTTGAGCCCAGGAGATCAAGGCTGCAGTGAGCCATGATTGCACCACTGGACTCCAGCCTGGGTGACTGAGCGAGACCCTGTCTCAAGAAAAAAAAAAGAGTGGAAAATAGAAATTGTCAAAGTTTACACTATACAGTATGTTATTTTCAGGAAAGCGAATGTTTTCACTTTAATCTTACATCTTGTTAATATACATTAAGCAGTAGAAACTTCCTCTTTGGTATTTGGAATGACTGTTGAGATTTCTGTTTCTGACATCTTCCCTAAGTGCTTACCTGTTGCCAGGCTTTCTCCATATCTGTCTCTTCCTCAGTGTTGCCCCTGGTTGAATAGGGAGAAGATAGGGAAAACCAGCAGTAATTATTTCAGAATTGTTCACCCAGTTTGGAGATTTTTTTCAAGCCCTTCCTTTTTTTATTTAATTTTTTTTTTTTAATTAAAAAAGGTCTTTTTTTTTTTTTTTTTTTTGAGGCAGAGTCTCACTCTGTCACCGAGGCTGGAGTGCGGTGGCACGATCACAGCTCACTACAGCCAGGACCTCCTGGGCTCAAGTGATCCTCCTGCCTCAGCTGGGACTACATGCTCATGTTACCACTCCTGGCTAATTTTTATTCTTTTTATGTAGAGACAGGGTTTTGCCATGTTGCCCAGGCTGATATCAAACTCCTGGCCTCAAGCGATCCTCCCGCCTTGGCCTCTCAAAGTGCTGGGACTGTGGGTATGAGCCACCATGCCAGGCAAGCCCTTTATTAGATGTCTGATTAGTATGTTGCTCCTTGCTAGCATTTTCCCTAAATATTTTAATGGAGAGAAAGTTGAAATAGAGTAGACATGTTTTTAATTCTTTCTTTGGTTGTTTTCCTTGCCACTGCTTTCTTTGGTTAGTTACCATCATAGATAATTGAGTCCTGATTCTACTTTTGTTAATCTTTTGCCAGTACCATCTGAAGGAGTTTCTTGTTTTTATATACTTTTTTTTTTTTTTTTTTTTTTTGAGGCAGTCTTGCTCTGTCACCCAGGCTGGAGTCCAGTGGTACAATCTTGGCTTACTGCAACCTCCACCTCCCGGGTTCAAGCGATTCTCCTGCCTTGGCCTCCTGAGTACCTGGGACTACAGGTGTGTGCCACCATGCCCAGATAATCTTTTGTATTTTTAGTAGAGATGGGGTTTTGCCATGTTGCCCAGGCTGGTCTCGAACTCCTGAGCTCAGGCAGTCCGCCCGCCTTGGCCTCCCAAAGTGTTGGATTACAGGCATGAGCCACCGTGCCTGGCCTGTTTTTATATACTTTAAAGTTTAAATTAAACTTGTTAAAGTATGTGTTTTGTATGATTTGCCAAAACATTGGAATACAAGTAGCTGTCATAAAGCCTTTTTTTTTTTTTTTTTTTTTTTTTTTTGAGACAGGGTCTCATTCTGTCACCCAGGCTAGAGTGCAGTGGCACAATTATGGCTCACTGTAGCCTTGGCCACCTCCCAGGCTCAATTGATCCTCCCACCTCAGCTTCCTGAGTAACTGGGACTACAGTTATGCACCACCACACCCAGCTAATTTTTAAATTTTTTGTAGAGATGGGGTTTTACCACGTTACCCAGGCTGTTCTGGAACTCCTGAACTCAAGCGATGCTCCTGCCTCTGCCTCCCAAAATGCTGGGATTACAGGCGTAAACCACTATGCCTGGACTCAAGCCGACTTTTTAACATGAACAATAAGTCTCTTTCTTCATCTCCCTTCCTATCCTGTATTCATCTTGCCTTGAAGACCACAGATAAATTTTAAAAAATGGAATCATGGTAAAGAGTGTTCTTGTGTCATTATTTAAACAAACACTAAACTTTGTATCTTGGAATGCTTTCCATATCAGACATACAGATTGATACGGGTTGGCTGTGTCCCCACCCAAATCTCATCTTGAATTCCCACATGTTGTAGGAGGGACCTGGTGGGAGGTGATTGAATCATGGGGACAGGTCTTTCTCATGCTGTTCTCATGATAGTGAATACGTCTCATGAGATTTGATGGTTTTAAAAAGGGGAGTTTCCCTGCATAATCTCTCCTCTTTTGACTGTCACCATCCATGTAAGAGGTGACTTTGCTCCTCCTTGCCTTCTGCCATGATTGTGAGGCCTCTGCAGCCACGTGGAACTGTAAGTCAATGAAACCTCTTTCCTTTCTAAATTACCCAGTCTTGGGTATGTCTTTATCAGCATTGCAAAAACAGACTAATACACAGATCTACTTTAGGTACAGATTTGCTTTACCATGTTCTTTTTTTAATATGCCTAGTATTACCTTGTGTGAAGGTGCCTGAATTTATTTAACTAGTTGATATGAAGAGTTTCCAGGTTTTTGTTATTTGTAACACAGTGCTACAGTAAACATTTTTGTACATATGTCTTAGTGAACTTTCATGAGTAACCACCTTACTCTCAGCAGCCTTAAAAAAATTGACCAACAAGTTTCTAACTACTCTGAATAATCATTTGTCATGTTAAAAATTTTCTTGGTGGCTATATTAGTTTTACTACTTTTGTTAAGGCCGGATGTTTTGTTTTCTGAAGTAGTCCTGTGAGATAATTTCATACAATTAAGCACAGATTTTTTATATTGCATGTAGAATATTAAGCTCATAAAGTTTATAAAGGCACAGGGTTGGCTTTATGAGCCTGTAATTGCATCATACAGGGCCCTTGCTTGCTTCAGTGATCTGCTGTTGTAGTCTTGATAGTCTTAGGTTTTTTTTTTTTTGTTTTTTTTTT
Source organism: Homo sapiens (assembly GCF_000001405.40). Classification (NCBI taxonomy): domain Eukaryota; kingdom Metazoa; phylum Chordata; class Mammalia; order Primates; family Hominidae; genus Homo; species Homo sapiens. The sequence continues at coordinate 6,792,706 of NC_000004.12, forward strand.
TTGAGACAGAGTCTCACTCTGTTGCCCAGGCTGTAGTGCAATGGCATCATCTTGGCTCACTGCAAGCTCCGCCTCCTGGGTTCACGCCATTCTCCTGCCTCAGCCTCCTGAGTAGCTGGGACCACAGGTGCCCACCACCACGCCCGGCTAATGTTTTTGTATTTTTAGTAGAGACGGGGTTTCACCATGTTAGAATGGTCTCGATCTCCTGATCTCGTGATCCGCCTGCCTCAGCCTCCCAAAGTGCTGGGATTACAGGCATGAGCCACCGTGCTCGGCCATTCTTAGTTATTTTTGAACTCAGAACCCACATTATTGTTCTGCACTGGGTCCCACAAATTATGTAGCCAGTCCTATGAAGACTTCATAAAAACTCGTAGTAAGAACCCCTCATCCTCTCATCTCCTAATCCTGTTCCCTGTGAGTGACTACCATTAACATTACCTAATGTTAACTAATTAACTAATTACCATTAGTTAATTAAGTAATTACCATTAGTTTATCCACTTGGGGACTTTTTAGAATGTGTATATAAACAACATTGCATATTATGCTTGAGCCATTAAAAAACAACTGTTTATTTGAAATCCACACAGAGTCAGTATGTATTTTCCTGAAAAACTCCATAATGGATCACGAATGCTACAGACTTTCAGAACATAGAGGCTCTAAAAAACTTAGCCTTAAGAAGTTGGTACTGAACTGTAGTTTTAGATTTTGTATTGGTTTGTGTTTGAAAAAGTATGCTTAACTTGAAGCTTTAGCGAAACAGCCTAAGTTTCAGTGTTAAGATAGCTATCTCTGAGATTTCACCTTGTAAAATGAAGTAAAACCTTAAGCTCATCATAGGCGAGTCAGAAATGAAAATAAAGTTTATTCATCAGTCAGGTTCAATTGAATAAGAGATTCACTAGGATTATTTGGTGCTTTCTTAAAAAGTGGTCAGAATTCTTGGTGAAGTAAAAGGGCTAAGGATTCTTAGAAGTAGCTACAGAAAATGGATAAGGGGAGAGTGAGCTAACACTGGTTAACCGTTCTAATCTGTTAGGGCGTTGTGTTAGGGACCTTAGATAAACCATTTAATGTAAGCCTCCTGAGAACTCTGAGAGAGATGGGATGGTTGTCATTTTACAAATGAGGAAGCTACAACTCAGAGAGATTCCGAAAAACTTCCCTGTGGTCACAGGTAATATATGGCAGAACAGGAGCCCAGACTTCCGTCCTTCCAACTTAAAAGTTCATGTTCTTTCCGCTTCCCTACTCTACCTAGAGATCTATTCATTCATAAAGTATTTGTTGACTGCCTACACTGGGCTAGGTACAGATGCCAGGATGGATTAGACATCCAGGAGGTTTATTGGGGGAATTAAGGGTAAGGCGAGAGGAAGCAGGAGTAGTATGTAGGAAGAGCCTTTTGACTTCCACTTGGTCGGATTCCCGTGAAGAGAGGAGAGGAAGAGTGGCTAGGAACAGCCTCAGGTCACTGTACAGTTCTGAGAAAGTCTTGACCAAGCTGATGGGGAATTCTCATGCTGAAGCTGTGCATCCTGCACCGGACAGAAAGGCCTGAGTCTGTTATCCCTTTCGGATTAAACCATTAGTTGGGGGCAGCCTGATGGAAGCATGGCTTGGTGTCAGTGCTGTTGTGGTTCTGAACATGTAGCAACTTGAGGCTGTCAGCTTAGTTTCCTGTAGCAGCTTCTCTTGAAGGGTGATCTGAGCAGGGCACCTTCATAGTGGCTGCACACGGTCCTGTCCTGGTGGGTGTGGGTAGAAAGACTGATAATACAAATAAGCAAGTAGATGCATATGTGAAGTGAAAATTAGTGCCAAGGGGAAAAACAGAGCAAAAGATGGGGTGTTGCATCGTATGTGGTGGACAGGGAAAGCCTCTGTTGACACTTGAGCAGAGACCTGAAGAGGAAGAGAGAAAGATGTGGAGATACCTGAGGAGCAGAGCATTTCGAGGGGTAGAGGAGAGCAAGTGAAAGGCCTTGGTTCTGCATCCATGATGAAGGTACACCTAAGAGGGTTTGCTGATGGACGAGATGTGGGATGTGCGAGGAGGAGCCATCATAGCGTGGGGTTGCCCTTGACTGACATGGGGAAGGTCATGGCAAGGGTAATGGTGGTGAGAATTCAGGGTTGTGTTGTTTGGCTTTAGACATGTTATAAGTTTGAGATGCCAGTCAGATATCTCCTTGTCTAGTAGCTTGGTAGCATTAGAGTTCTGGAATTAAAGAGAAAGAAGCAGGGTAGAGGGAAAGGATGGAGCAGTCTCTGCATAGGTGGTATTTATAATCATGGGACTAGAAGAGGTAAGCCAGATTGCGCAGTTAAATAAGGCAGCCACAAGCCACATGTTTTGTTTTGTTTTGTTTTTGAGATGGAGTCTCACTCTGTCGCCCAGGCTGGAGTGCAATTGCATGATCTCGGCTTACTGCAAGCTCCGCCTTCCGGGTTCATGCCATTCTCTTGCCTCAGCCTCCTGAGCAGCTAGGACTACAGGCACCCACCACCACGCCTAGCTAATTTTTTTGTATTTTTTAGTAGAGACAGGGTTTCATCGTGCTAGCCAGGATGATCTCGATCTCCTGACCTTGTGATCCGCCTGCTTCAGCCTCCCAAAGTACTGGGATCACAGGCGTGAGCCACCGCGCCCGGCCCACATGTGGCTTTTGAACTTTGCATGCAGCTAATCTGAATTGAGATGCGCTGTGTCAATTATGTACCAGATGCCAAAGACAGTGTGAAAAATTACAATGTAACATATATCATTAATTTTTACCTTCATTATATTTGGAGTGATATTATTTTGGATATACTGGGTTAAATCAAACATATTAAAGTTAATTTCACCTGTTTCTTTTTTAATATGGCTACTAGAAATATATTTATTTATTTTTTGAGCTAGGACATCACTGTCACCTAGGCTGGAGTGCGGTGGTACATTCACAGCTTCTTGCAGCCTTGGTCTCCCAGGCTCAAGTAGTCCTCCCATTTCAGCCTCCTGAGTAGCTGGGACTATAGGCATGCGCCACTGCATCCAGCTAATTTACTTTTTTTGTAGAGACTGGGTCTCACTATGTTGCCCAGGCTGAGCTCAAACTCCTGCTCTCATGCAGTCCGCTTGCCTTGGCCTCCGCAAGTGCTGGGGTTACAGGAATGAACCACTGCACTTGGCCTAGAAAATTTTAATTACATATATGACTGGCATTATTTTGCTCTTGAAGGCACTGGTGGAGGAAGCGAATGGAAATAGAGAAGTCCAAGGGCAGAGCCTGGAAAGCTGGGAAGAGGAGGAGCAGCCAGCGGAGGAGCCAGCGAGGGTGTGGACTGGGTGAGGAGAGGATGATGAGAGGTGTGGTTTGTGCGTAAGTGAGCTGCACTAAAATTTGATTAGAACTTGAGTAAAAGGAAAGTATCAGAAACTAGGTCTAATTAATATGTAATATGTGGAATTGGTTATTCGTAGAAGTGAACGAGTCCTGGAGATGGTCTGTAGGATCAGGATAGGATTGAGATCCTTCCCTATATTGTTCTTTTTTTTTTTGGAGACAGAGTCTTGTTCTGTCACCCAGGTTGGAGTGCAGTGGCACGATCTCAGCTCACTGCAGCCTCTGCCTCCTGGGTTCAAGCGATTCTTATGTCTCAGCCTCCCAAGTCACTGGGACTACAGGTGTGTGCCACCACCCCTGGCTAATTTTTGTATTTTTAATAGAGACAGCATTTTGCCATGTTGACCAGGCTGGCCTCAAACTCCTGACCTCAGGTGATCTGCCTGCCTTGGCCTCCCAAAGTGCTGGGATTGCAGGCGTGAGCCACCACACCCGACCATATTGTTCTTTTTTAAGTGAGTTTCATGCCACCTGTTTAAAGAAAGCTCTAACATAGCCTATCTGAGGAATCAATCATGATAGTAGAAAAGGAAGCACACATTTATAAGATTTGACACAGTTAGTGCAAGAAGGTGACTCTTATGGCCCTTAAAAGTTTGGTCACACGGTTTTCTTTCAGCTTGTAATCTTCACTTAGTAAAACTACCATAAGAATATCTTACCTTCCTTTTGCTCTTTCTGAGCTCGTAGGGTGTCTTTGAGAATGTTCAAGTAGGCTCCTTGAGTGGCCTTAGCTACCGTGATGGGAGGGCTTCGTTTCCATTCTTGGTTTTCTGGTTTATATGTTGGTCACTTGGTTATGTTAGTCAGCATCCTTTGGCACTGCCTTCTGTCCTGATCATCTCATAGGAACAGACTTTGGGACATTTACTGACAACAGTCAGTTGGAGAGCCTTCCTCATGCAGCACGTCGACTTCTTTTTAATATGTTGGTAGCTATAACAGTGTAGTATCAGGCAGATTGTTTTTTCTTTAGACATTATACTTTTTTCCTCTGTATTTTATTATTTCATTTCCCAAAAAACACACTTGCACATTTAAGAGCAGTGTTTTAACAGTTTTTTCCAAAGCCATGAGATAGAAACTGTCATGGAAACTGAAGCTCCTCTGACTGGAACTTACTTAGGCCTTGCCAGGGTGGGCAAAAGATGACGTTGAAAAAGATCAGGTAGCACCCTGCATTTTGCCATTGGCTAAAGTGGGGTCAGAGCTGGTTGCCATTTTCTCTCTGTCTTGAGGTTCAGGCCTGTCATCTTCTCAAAATGCCTCCAGGCCTGTTGGGACAGTGAACAGTAATGGCCAAACTAAAAACTTTAAGAAGGATATGATATGCTAAATGCAGGGAAAAAGACTTCGCTTTAACCCTCAACAAATGTATAAAGAGGGCCGGGTGTGGTGGCTCACATCTGTAATCCCAGCACTTTGGGAGGCCAAGGCAGGAGGATCGCTTGAGCCCAGGAATTCGAGACCAGCCTGGGCAACATAGCAAGATCCCATCTCTTAAAAAAAAAACCTAGCTGGGTGTAGTGGTGTATGCCCATAGTCCCAGTTACCTGGGAGGCTGAGGTGGTAGGATTGCTTGAGCCCAGGAATTCCAGGCTGCAGTGAGCCATGATTGCACTACTGTGCTCCAGCTAGCCTGGGTGACAGAGCCAGACCCTGCCTCTCAAAAAAAAAAAAAAAAAAGGCCGGGCGCGGTGGCTCACGCCTGTAATCCCAGCACCTTGGGAGGCCGAGGCGGGCGGATCACAAGGTCAAGAGATCGAGACCACGGTGAAACCCCATCTCTACTAAAAATACAAAAAATAGCCGGGCACAGTGGCGGGCGCCTGTAGTCCCAGCTACTTGGGAGGCTGAGGCAGGAGAATGGCATGAACCCGAGAGGTGGAGCTTGCAGTGAGCTGAGATTACGCCACTGCATTCCAGCCTGGGTGACAGAGCCAGACTCCGTCTCAAAAAAAAAAAAAAGAGAGACATAAAAATGTTTGAAGGAAAGGCTACAAGTTAAACGAGGAGTGAATAGTATGATAGAAAGGGCACCAGCTTTGGAGATAGGGCACATACATGATGGCCCTGGTTTTGACTCTCCATGAGACCCTAAATACCTGTCTAAATTTCTTAATCCATGAAATGGGAGGTTTGGCTTAGCTTATGCTTTTTCATGTTGTGAAAGCAGTGTTTGATGCTGAGTAGGTGCTCAGATGTTGATTAAATGAACAAGGAATAAAATAACTATAGAGAGCCTAGGTACTTAAGGCATGAGCCAGGGGTCAAGGTGATGGGTATTGGCCATCCCCTGCTCCTCACCTGTCCCACCTTAACCTGTGTAGTGTAGCATTGGCTACTACTACTTTGAGACATATTTGAACAACACTAGGTTAGGTAATCCCTTTCTAAGCTTAAATATGTCATGCTTCTGATGCTGACACCAACCCTTTTCTTTCTTCTCAGTTACATGCTTTATTTTTGAGACAGGGTCTCGCTGTCGCACAGGCTGGAGTGCAGGGGTGTGATTATCGCTCACTGCACCCTTGACCTCCAGGGCTCGAACGAGCCTCCCACCTCAACCTTCTGAGTCTCTTGGACTATAGGCATGTGACATTATGCCCAATTAATTTTTTATTTTTTTGTAGAAATGGAGCCTCCCTGTGTTGTCCAGGCTGGTCTCAAACCCCTGGGCTCAAGCCATCCTCCTGCCTCAGCCTCCCAAAGTGCTGGGATTATAGGCGTGAGCCACCGTGCCCAGCTGCTGTGTACTATTTACTAAGATAAAAGTTGCACGAGAAGAAATGCAGTTTCATCAGGTGTAGGGGAGGAAGTCAGAGGTGCTGTGTTTGTTTCCTAGGGATGCTACAACAAAGTACCCCAAACTTTGATGGATGGCTTTTAACAACAGAAGTGTATCTTCTCACAGTTCTGGAGGCCAGAAGTCCAAAATCCAAGTGTTGGCAGGGCTGGTTCCTTCTGGAGATTCTGAGAGAGAGCTTGGTCCATGCCCTACTCTTAGCGTCTGGTGGTTATTGGCAATACTTGGCATTTCTTGGCTTGCATTGGTACATTACTGCAGTCTCCGCATCTGTCTTCACGTGGGATTCTCCCCTGCATGTCTCTGTGTGAATTTCCCTCTTCTTATAAGGACATCAGATCATTGAATTAGAGTCTCTTATCCAATTTAGGTGGCTGATAATCTAGTATGACCTCATTTTAACTTGATTACATTTTCACAGACCCTGTTTTCAAATAAGGTAATGTTCACAGGTAATGGAGTAAGGACTTGAACATACCTTTTTTGGGGGAAACAGTTCAGTCCACAGCAGGTGTTAAAGTTGGGGGTAAACAATTTCTGAAAAATTGTGACTCATTTCCTCAAATTCATCTCTTTACATTAAAGCTAGGTCTGTCAGAGGAATTGGGATAAAACAAACATAAAATTCACGTCTACTAGAAAGTATCAATTTGGCCTCAAGTCAAAATCGTGGATGGCATAGCCTAAGACTACATAACTATTAGAAAGACTCTTATAATAGAGACTAAGAATTCTGTTTTTTACACATTGGGTTTTTGCTTTGAGATTAGTTGGGTTTTTTTGTTTTTTGTTTGTTTGTTTTTTGAGTCGGAGGCTCGCTCTGTTGCCAGGCTGGAGTGAAGTGGCACAATCTCGACTCACTGCAACCTCCGCCTCCTGGGTTCAAGCGATTCTCCTGCCTCAGCCTCCCAGGTAGCTGGGACTACAGGTGCCCGCCACCACTCCCGGCTAATTTTTGTATTTTTAGTGGAGACGGGGTTTCACCATGTTGGCCAGGATAGTCTCCATCTCCTGACATCATGATCCCCCCGCCTCGGCCTCCCAAAGTGCTTGGATGACAGGCATGAGCCACTCCGCCTTGCTGGCTTTTGTTTTGCATATACTCTGTTTTCTTTTTCTTTCTTTCTTTCTTTCTTTTTTTTTTTTTTTTTTTTTTTTTTTTTTTTGAGATGGAGTCTCACTCTGTCGCCCCGGTTAGAGTGCAGTGGCATGATCTCGGCTGACTGCAACCTCCATCTCCCGGGTTCAAGTGATTCTCCTGCCTCAGCCTCCCGAGTAGCTAGTATTACAGGTGCCCGCCACCATGCTTGGCCAATTTTTGTATTTTTAGTAGAGATAGGGTTTCACCATTTTTGCCAGGCTGGTCTCGAACTCCTGACCTCAGGTGATCTGCCTGTCTTGGCCTCCCAAAGTACTGAGTCATCGTGCCTGGACTTACGTATGCTCTATTTTCTTGATGTGTTCTGATTTTATTATATTTGAAAATTTGGGGCCAGATGTGGTGGTTCATGCCTGTAATCCCAGCACTTTGGGAGGCCAAGGCAGGCGGATCACCTGAGGTCAGGAGTTCGAGACCAGCCTGACCAACATGGAGAAACCCCATCTCTACTAAAAATACAAAATTAGCTGGGTGTGGTGGTATGCACCTGTAATCCCAGCTACGCAGGAGGCTGATGCAGGAGAATCACTTTAACCCAGGAGGTGGAGGTTGTGGTGAGACGAGATCATGCCACTGCACTGCAGCCTGGGCGACAGAGGGAAACTCCGTCTCAAAAAAAAAAAAGAAAATTTGGAGGAAAAGACCTTGCTCATTATACTTGTTTGAATTCTGTAAATGAAGTAAGCAGAATGGCAGAAATGTCATTTGGTAACATTTTATATAGTTTTGGGTCACATAGAAAATGCAGAGCCAGGTTGGCTCCTGGGCTCATCACTCTGAAAGGTTATGTGAGGGGGGTGATACGAAGAGCCCAGTTAGGAAGGGCAGGCAGGTTCTTAAGGGTTTGTTCAGTTCAGCAGTGCTTTTCCAACAGCTTATTAACATGGAATGTAGTGGGAATACAAATATAAATATAGACAGAGTTCTTGATAATTTGGTCATAGGATAATTTGTAATTTTCTTAGTTTGTAGGAAATTAAGTTCAGCAGCTGGGTATTGAACCAGGATGTGGAATTGTCAGCATTTCCCCAAATCTTGATGTGTTAGACCTGTTGTGTCCAGTAGAACTTTGTTTGATAATGGAAATGTTCACTGTCTTTTCTATTCAGTATCCACTGGCTACATGGGGCTATTAACACTGGAAATGTGGCTTGTGCCATTAAAGAACTGAATTTTCAATTTTATTTAATTTTAATTAATTAAAATGTAAATAGCCACTAGTGGCTACCATATTCATTGGACAATGCAGTTCTAGAGATTCATTTCACCTTTGTTCAGTTCACCTTTGTTCAAAGAATAAGTGGATGGTGGTTATAGGAGACTGAAAAGATGCCACTAGGCCAGGCATGGTGGCTCATGCCTGTAATCCTGGCCCTTTGGGAGGCTGAGGTGGGAGGATTGCTTGAGCCTAGGAGTTCGTGACCAGCCTGAGCAATGTAGTGCGACCCTATCTCTACCAAAGAAAAAAGCTGGACTTGATGGCCACACACTTGTCGTCTTAGCTACTCTGGAGGCTGAGGTGGGAGGATTGCTTGAGCCCAGGAATTCCAAGCTGCAGCGAACTATGATTGCTCCACTGCACTCCAGACTGGGTGACAGGACGAAAAGGAAAAAAAAAAAAGAGAAAGGTGCTATTAAGTGGCTTACAGTGCTTAGGACTTTAATTAGCATATCCATGTTTTTAAATGTAGAACATAGGGTTTTCATAAAGTAGAAACGTGGATTCTGGTTTATTTGCAGTACAAAGAAAAATACAGGGCCTGCGAGGATGATCATTTTGTGCATGTGCTGAAATCATACTCTTTTAGCTTTAGAAGTTATTTGTATACATGCCACCATTACCTTCCAGATAAAGTTTGTATCCCTCACTGTGTATTGCACATAATAAATACCCACTAAATGGTGGTGGGTATTTATTTATGCAATAAAGGGGCCCTTGATCCTGATAGGGCTGTTAGTTCCTTCATGAGTGTCACAAGTTGGGTTCTCTGGGAAGGCGGGTACTTTGGGAAGCAAATGCAGACAATTTAGCATGCAGAATGTTGATTAGGGCTTGCTCGTAGGGTCCAGACTCAGGGAATGGAGAAGTTGAACTACCTTGCATGCCCAATTATAGCATAGCCTTGGCCAACCCCATTAGAATAGCCCGTGGGAGCTGTCCCGGCTTGGGCTGGGTAGCCAGGCCTGTACGCTCTCTGAGTCAGTCAGGATGACTTGCCTGGAAGAGGGCAAGATGTCGGGTGAGGCAGTTCTCTGTAGCCACAGCAGTACTTGAAGGGGCTGACGGAGCACTCCCAGCAGCTGGGGCTGCATGGCCTTCAGTTGAGGGTCTGGGTTGTACATCACAGCGTGCCATGGTTGGACAATATTTTTCTTAGAAATTTTTTGATTGATTTCATTTGACTCATTGGTTGGCGTTCTGGAGAAATATGGGGTAAGTCTCTTTCTCTTTCTCTGTGACTCTTCTCAACCCCCCCCAACCCACCAGCCCCCTTACTAAATAACTATGTGTGTGTGTGTCTTATGTACGAACAGAGTTACAGTGCACAATTAACCTTTTCTTCTGATGGAAGTTGACTCCAACCAGAATGCTTCATCTTCACGTCTTCCCCAAGGACATAAAGACAGAAAGGGGATTTTGCTATAACATAGAATACAGAGTGGTGATTCAGGTATAGAGCAAGGTGTGGTATGTTGGTGATGTAAGGAGCACAGAGGAATGAAATTAATTGGTGTGAGGTTCTCTCAAGGAAGGAAAAAATGACAGAAGGTTGAAAGAAGAGTAATAGTCGAATATGAGTGCATATAGCTGGGGGCAGTGGCTCATGCTTGTAATCCCAACTCTTTAGGTGGCTGAGATGGAAGGATCACTTGAGGTCAAGAGTTCAGGACCAGCCTAGGCAACATACTGGGCATACTTGAGCAACATACTCTGTCTTGACCAAAAAAAAAAAAAAAAAAAAAAGCCAGGTTTGGTGGGTGCATGCTTGTGGTCCCTGCTACTGTGGAAGGTGAGGTGGGAGGATCACTTGAGCCCAGGAGTTCTAGGCTGTAGTAAGCTATGATTGTACCACTGCACCTCCAGCCTGGATGACAGAAGAATACTTTACCTCTTGAAAGAAATTAAAATGAGTGCATATATATATATATATATATATATGGACTTTCTCATATAAATTGAAGCCCAGCTCCCTTAAGTTCAAATGGAAATATTCCATGAGTAGTTGGAAATATAGATTGAGAAGACAAGGTAAGAGAAAGATTTGTAGGGGGTGACTTTTGATAAATTACACAAATCTTTGACATTATCAAACATGAATGCCAAACATTGAAACATGAATGTTCAAGGGTCTGTCACACAGCTCTCAAGTTATCTGGTTACTGGTAGTTAGGTAATAGTTGGAAGATTCCAGTAGTTACGTAGTTACTGGTAGTTAGAAAATACTTGAAGGATTCATTTGGATAAGATTACCCTGATTAAAATTTCAAGTATAGTAATTTCTTTCTAGAGTTGTCTAATTTCATATTCACTTAAAGAGAATACTTTTTACTAACCTCAGAGTCAAGTATTTCATGTTAAAGAACTTGACCAGAATTTATAAAAAAGGAATAACCAATTTTATATTTGACATGAGTCATTTGGAAGTGGATTTTTATGTTTAATGTTTGGATTGTTAGCTATTTTCTTTCCATGTTTGTTTTTCCTTTTCTGAGCCATACAGTGGGTATTTTTCCTACCTATTTTCTTCCTTTACATTTACCTTGTAACATAGTATTTGTGACTTGAACATATCTGAAATTTTAAGGAGATATCCTTATAGGGCTCTACAGATAGTCATTTTTGAGGGGAAAGGTTTTAATTAACATAAAATTCCAATCCAAGATGTATCACCTTTGTTAAGTGTGGCACTTTGCTGAGTATTTAAAATGTGTTTTTGAGAATGTTACATGTTAACCTGTCTTTAAAGTATTTGTATTTGAGGTTTTGAGAAATATATCTATTTTATTTATTTGGGGAGAGTTCCATAAGATAAACATCACAGCTAGTAGGAATTCTCAATGTGTTTCCCAGATTCAAGGATGCCTTAAAGTGCAATTAAATTTGGTAGCATTTCTAACACTTTTAGCAGCTGTACCTAATACTTAGCAAATGTTTGTTAAATACAGGTATTCCTGCTCTAGCGGGCCTCCCTCCACCAGCCCCTGGAGTGCTCCCTCTTGTTCTGGTACATGAACACTAGTGTGCCCTACTCTGCCATCCTCAGTTTAGAGCCACTGACCAGTTGCGTTCATTACCTAGTGGAAGCTCTGCCATTAACATCCCATTATCAGACAGCTGTCTTTTGGTCCATTAAAAACTGTGATTGCTTTGTAAAGTGTTAAGAAACCTAAGATCATTTTAATGATGGTAGGTACGTCTTTGATACTAAAATGCCTGCTTCACTGTTGTGTAGGTAGTGTACACTGATAAAGGTAGGGCGCGGTGGACTCTGCCCCTGTAACCGTTCCGGAGAATGCGTTGAGAATGAAGACAACCAGTAAGTCCCTAAGTGTATGTGGGAAATGGGAAAATGTGGAAGTTTCTGATACCATATAAAAGGGAATACTAATTGATTTACTGTATAGAATAGTACAATTTATGCAAGTTATTTAAAGGAAAGGAGATGAATATAATTAATGATCTTATTCCTAAATTACATCTTCAGTTTAACTTTTTAATCCTGGGAATTCTGGATATGAAAACCTCAGGTCAGGTGATCTATGCCTTGCTTATATTAATAACTTGGGCCTTGGAGAAAATTCTTTCTGATTAGAACATCTCCTGTTTCCCAAGCTGTGTTCCAAGGAAGCAAAACGGGTCAATGAATGAATGAATGAATGCTCTCCTTCTTGGAGGTTCCGGGTGCATATTAGCCTATTAAAGGTTTCAAGATGTCCTGCAATAAACCTGCTCTTGTTTCAGCTTTGATATTTCCCTAATTTATGCAAAATGAAGACGTTTATGGCAAAGGAATATATTTTTATATCACCCAGAGTATACTTTGGGGAAACTGTGTAGCAAGTTATCCTTTAAATGATGACACTGTTTATTTAAATATCTTCCTAGGGTCCAGAAGAATTACTATAGTTATCTTCAGAACCATATCTAAAGGCTTGATTTAATGTTGGAAGCATATAATTAATGGATGAGAAATGAACATATGTACTACTTTGATCCTATTCTGAGTTCTCTAGTGTGTATCTTTTTGCATAAACAGAAAATTTTATTTGGACTCTTTAAAATTTTTAACTATTAGGATATGAATCAGATAATCCATATAAACTTTTCATATAGAATTAGATTATTGACTGATATAAACACATTATTGAAGTATTGCTTCTTACCTAAGTCCGTTTTGGAGAACTATAATTTGTATTACTTGGCTGTGGCTTTTATAGTAATTTTAAAAATGTTAACTCACTGTCTTACCAGTGAGTTACAGAATTTTATGCTACCTTTACCTCACTCATTGAAACTCAGAAGATATTTGTGGTTTTGAGTTTAGTAATTGAAAGCTGTAGAATTTATATGCCCAGACATTTTGAGGACCAACAGTATCACATTGTAAAATTATTTTGGTACACTATGATATAGTATTTTATATGATAAAATGTTTCAACGTTGACAAAGTGGGTTTCATCATGTTGGAGCTTTTTGCATTTTCAAAAAGTGTAAAAATTACTTATTTTAGTTTTTTTCCAAGTAAGCTTAGGGTTTTTGAAATTTTGCATTTCTTAATCTGTAGATGTTTCCATTTTTCCTAATTGAAATTTTTAAATTTCTAAAATTTAGTTGTTTCGTCCCTTTTCCAACAATTTTTCCAAAAGCTTTTAGAATTTCATAATAATTTTGTTTTATCTTGTTTTTGCATTTTGTTTAGTTGCTATTTTGTTATCTTTTGCAAGGAAGGAGGAGGATTTGCTTCAGTTGTAAGTGTATACATTTTCCTCTTCCCCTTGGGCCCAAATGTTTTCTCCTTTTGTCCTGTAAAGTGTCTGCTGTGAGGTTTACCCCTGCTAGGTAAAAAAGGCATTTTTTTAAATCTCCATAACTTTTTGAAGGCATAAAAACTGCCATTTTGTAGCCCTGCTAAAGAATTTTGACATCTAATTGGTCTAAGTGAACTAAATGTCTACATTGGTTATTATAATTTGATAACCTGTAAAAAAAAATTTTTAATATGGCAGTCCAGCTTTTCAAACCAGAAATATTAACAGATGAATAAGAATCATCAAATAACTGGAATCAAGTATAAGTTAGACATAAAACAATGTAACTTTGCACAAGCAGTTCATCTCCATAGTACAATTAAACAATAAGTTCAAACAGTAACAAAACAATAAGAGGCCTGGCGGTGGCTCATGCCTGTAATCCCAGCACTTTGGGAGGCCGAGGCGGGTGGATCACAAGGTCAGGAAATCGAGACCGTCCTTGCTAACATGGTGAAACCCCGTCTGTATTAAAAATACAAAAAATTAGCCGGGTGTGGTGGTGGGCGTCTATAATCCCAGCTACTTGGGAGGCTGAGGCAGGAGAATGGCATGAACCTGGGAGGCGGAGCTTGCAGTGAGCCAAGATCATGCCACTGCACTCCATCCTGGGTGACAGAGCTAGATAGACTCCCTCTCAAAAAAAAAAAAAAAAAAAAAAAAAAGAATTAAAACAATAAGAACATACAGGCTGATCGAAACTTTCAGGTCTGTGAGCATTTGACAGTAGCATTTCCTCAGTAGAGGAAAGTTTATCCAGGTTGCATAGAAAGCTTTTCCCTTTTATTTAGTCTCATTACACACTAGATCTAGCTCTCATTTGTTTTGTTTTAATAGAAGTCTGTTTAGTACTTCTGAATCTATGTAGAACTGATCGCTTTCACCTACACTTTATCATTACAAAATTGGTTTTTCCTTTTTGTCTGTCTGTCTGTCTATCTATCTATCTATCTATCTATCTATCTATCTATCTATCTATCTATTTAAGACAGGGTCCTGCTATGTTGCCCAAGTTGGCCCTGTACGCCTGGGCTCAAGTGTTGTTCCTGCCTCAGCTTCTCCAATAGCTAGGATTATAGGCACACACCATGGCATCCAGCTTTTCTTCCTTATCTTTTAAACATAAAGATCAACCAGATTAACCAAATCTGTTACAGGCTTGCAATTTATGAAAATATTTGCTACTTCTCTTGCTATCAAGTAGTAATCTTATCTATAAGAACAATCCTGTTTATGAAAATATTAATAATTCATTTTAATTGTCACTGGAGCATATATACTTACGTGTTTATTTCTGATGACTAGTAAGCATGGAATTTCTCAATCTTTATGCAGTTTTTCCTCTTTTTGTAGAAAGAACTCAAGTCTCACACTAGTTTTGTTGATTACATTACTTTTTAAAAAGCCTTATTCATTTCCTGGGACTTGACACACTTCTAGAATGGGGAAGAAAACTGTAGGTCTGATTGTCCATTTCTACGTAGCTTTTCAGATACCTAGGGTAAACCGGTTTACATAGTTTATAGCCCTTGGTTCCTGTTTTCAGTGCTTGAATTCCAGTTTGGGTTGTAGATTCTTTATGGATTTTCTCTTCTGGCTGTAGATTGGCTTTGGAGCCAGGCTACCTACTAAAGAGAATAAGCATTATCTTCAGTTCCAAATTCATGTGCTGAGATCAGAAAATAACAGACAAGGCCAGGCACAGTGACTCATCCCTGTAATCCCAGCACTTTGGGAGGCCAAGGCAAGTGGATCACTTGAGGTCAGGAGACCAGCCTGGCCAACATGGTGAAACCCCATCTCTACTAAAAATACAAAAATTAGCTAGGTGTGGTGATGTGCACCTGTAGTCCCAGCTACTCGGGTGGCTGAGGCAGGAGAATCCCTTGAACCTGGGAGGCAGAGGTTTCAGTGAGCTGAGATCATGCCACTACACTCTAGCCTGGGCAACAGAGTGAGACTATGTCTCAAAAAAGAAAAAAGAAAATAACAGACAAGAATTATTTATAAATGTATAACTACTTAATTGTATGTTTGCACTCTCTGGCTTGCCAGGCAAATAGTATTTAGGATTTTGGTGAAAAGTAATAGAGTCCAAAAGCCAGAGTCTTAATATTTCAAATATCTGTTTTCTTTATGCTCTTTTCTATATTCTTTCTTTTACTTTATGTTATATATCCTTTATGCCTTCCCCCTCAAGTCTTTTCCTTATGTGAAAGTCCTGTAAACACCCAAATTGAATAATTATGAAAAGACAGTTGCAGGTAATGCAGTGTCTTGGGTACTGAGCACACCAGCAATGTGAGTATGAACTTTGTAGTGAGAAAGGACCAGTTAAAAATATAGAGAGTTCAAGCATGACTTGCAGAAGTACCATACTAGATCAAAGGGAATGGTAGAGGGCTTCTGTGGGAAGAGTACAAGTTGCTTTACATAAGGCGAAAGCCTGCTAATACAGGATGGTAAATACCTAAAGGAAAATCCTGAGAGAGTCATGATTGTCTCGATATCACTGACACCAGGCACAGTGCCTTGTACACAAGAAACCTCTAGTACATGGGATCGTGAGAGAATGAGTTAAAATTCCTATGTTAGTTAGTCCCTGCCTGTGGACTCAGAGTGTGATCTGAGTTGGTTTTTTCTCCCACCTGCTAGTATTATGAATATCATTTTATTTACCAAACTTCTCTTTTTCAGAATTTATTCTCCTCCATTTAGATTTGGGAAGTAGTTAGTTCAGCACAGTTTTGATCACCTGCCAAGGCCTAAGCATTCTACTAAATGGTACATGTGGAGGATGTCACAGTTTGGCCTGAAGAACTTTAAGCCTATTTGATGAGGAACCCATTCCCAGGAGGCAGTTAGAGAATAGTATAAAAGGACATCATCACAAGGCAGCAGGTCATGAGGACAGCCAGCACTCTATAAGTGTTGGGAGGAAGACAGTGGTATGCCCTTACATAATTAGAAAGGGCTTCTTCAGGAAGGCAGGGCAGGAATGATTCCATTGCCAGTTGGGTGTTAGTGTTTCAGCCGTGTCTGTGCTTTCTGAAACTTTTATGATCCTATTATTATTGTCTTTGATAGTTTGTCTGTGTTTACCAGAATGCTGGTTTCAATAATGTTAGACTTCAGAGTTGTTTCCTTAATATTAACAGCCTCATATTCTACCCCTTGAAGTGGTCATTAGGGCTAGTGATACCTGCCCTATTAAAGTGAAGTGAGGCTAAGAGACTTGCTTTGACTCATAAAATGTGAGTAGCTCACTTCCAGGAGGAAGCATTCAAAGTACCAGTGCCAGCTTTGGTGCAGATCTTATTTTCTCTGGCCCCCTAGACTAGCAGGGTTCAAGATAATGGCCATTTTGTCACCCTGTGTCCCAGAATGATTATGATGAGTGATTACCCTGATCATCCCTGCCAATCCAGGATGAACACATAGTATGAGAAGGATATAAACCTTTGTGGAAGTCCTAGTAAGAGAAATTAAGCAAGAGAAAGAAATAAAAGGCATCCAAATTAGAAAAGAGGAGGTCAAATTATATCCCTGTTTGCCAATAATATGCTCTTATATCTAGAAAAACTAAAGACTCCACCAAAAAACCTCCTAGATTTAATAAGTAAATTCAGTAAAGTTGCAGGATACAAAATCGGCATACAAAAATCAGTAATATTTATATATTACCAATAACGATCTAGCTGAGGAAGAAATCAAGAAGGAAGTACCATTTACAATAGCTATAAAAAAACAAGGTACCTAGGAATACATTTAACCAAGGAGGTGAAAGATCTCTCCAAGGAAGACTACAAAATACTGATAAAAGAAATTGTAGATGACAAATAAATGGAAAAACATCCAATGCTCATGGATTGGAAGAATTAATATCATTAAAGTGACCGTACTATCCAAAGCAATCTACAGATTCAATGTAACCCCTATCAAAATACTAATGTCATGTTTTACAGAATTAGGAAAAAAATCCTAAATTCATATGAAATCAAAAAAGAGCCCTAATAGCCAAAGCAATCCTGACCAAAAAGAACAAAGCTGGGGGTATCACATTACCTGACTTCAAATTATATTACAAGGGTATAGTAACCGAAACAGCATGGTACTGGTGTAAAAATAGATGTATAGACAATGGCACAGAATAGAGAGTCCAGAAATTAAGCCACATATTTATAGCCAACTGATCTTTGACAACGCTACCAACAACATACATCAGAGAAAGGATACCCTCTTAAAGAAATGGTGCTGGAAAAATTGGATTGCCCTGTGCATAAGAATGAAATTGGACCCCAGTCTCTCACCATATACAAAAAATCAACTCAAGATGGATTAAAGACTTAAACGTTAAGACCTGAAACTATAAAAATACTAGAATAAAACCTAGGGAAAACTCTTCTGGACATTGATATAGGCAAAGAATCAGTGACTAAGACCTCAAAAACACAGGCAACTAAAACAGAAATAGACAAATGGGCCTTATCGAAACCAAAAAGCTTCAGCAGAGCAAAAGAAATCAGCAGGAGATTGAAGAGACAGCCTGTAGAATGAGAGAAAATGTTTGCAAACTATTTATCTGATAGGGAACTGATATCCAGAATATACAAGGAATTCAGACACTTCAACAACAGCAAAAACAAGAAGATCCCATTAAAAGGTGGGCAAAGACATGAATAGACTTTTTTTAAAAGAAGACATACACATGGCCTACACGTATATGAAGAAAAGCTCAGCATCACCAGTCATCAGAGAAATGCAAACCAAAACCAGAATGAGATGTCATCTTACCCCAGTCAGAATGGCTATTATTAAAAAGACAAAACAACAACAACAACAAAAAGAAAACAAGTATTTGCACGGATGCAGAGAAAAGGAAACTCTTAAAGATTTTTGGTGGGAATATAAATTAGTATAGCTTCTATGGAAAAGAGTATGGCGATTTCTTAAAGAACTGAAAATAGAATGAGCATTCAATTCAGCATTCCCACTGTTGAGTATCTACTTTGGGTAGATACTCAAAGGAAAAGAACGTGTCAGAAAGATACCTGTGCTCGTATGTTTATTGCGGCACTATTCACAATAACAAAGATGTAGAATCAACCTGAGTGTCCATCAGTGAATAAATGGATAAAGAAAATGTGGTCTATACACACAATAGAATGCTATTCAGACATAAAAAAAGAGTGAAATCGTGTCTTTTGCGGCAACGTTGGTGGAACTGGAAGTCATTATCTTAAGTGATAAGGCACAAGCCAGACATAGAAAGCCAGGTATTGCGTAAACCCTGACTTAATATGCAGTCTATGCATGTTAACAAAATTGCACCTGTACCCTATAAGTTTTGCTTTTTCTTTCTGAGACAGGGTCTCACTCTGTCACCTAGGCTGGAGTGCTTTGGCATGATCTTGGCTCACTGCAGCCTCTGCCTCCCGAGCTCCAGTGATCCTCCCATCTCAGCCTCCTGAGTAGCTGGGACTCCAAGCGCAAGCCACCATGCCTGGCTGATTTTTGTATTTTTTTGGTAGAGATGGGGTCTCACCATGTTGCCCAGGCTGGTCTTGAACTCCTGAGTTCAAACAGTCCGTCCGCCTCGGCCACCCAAAGTGCCGGGATTATTGGTGTGAGCCACTGTGCCTGGCCTAATTTTTTTTTTTTTTTTTTTTTTTTTAAGATATAAACCTTTGTGTTAGGCTACTGTAATTTGGGAGTTGTTTCTGTTGCATAATCTACCCTATTTTAACCTTTTCCCTCAGTTTGTTATTGACCCCTTATCCTAATTATTCTCAGTTCTCTCTTTGTTTTGTTAATAGGCTTTAGTTGTTCTTGTTATTCCATACAGTCTGACTTTGTCATTGAACCTTCCATGATTACATTGAAATGTAATGAAATTTGACCTTTTGAAATTTGAGACCTATCAAACATAAAGTAGATGTTTTCCAGTTCTCTCAAACAGTTCTTTCTGGGCACATTGTGTTATTTCAGAGTAGCTGTGATTAGTAGCCTTTCTTCCAGGTAGTGTCTTGGACAACCTCCTGGAACGTGGGGAGGGGCATATGAACTCCATTGAAAGAGCTAATGAGTCTTTATTAAGCTCAACATAGTCATTTGCTAGAGGGGAGAGGGTCAAAACCAGTGTCGTCTAGTAGAACTTTTGTGATTATGGAAATGTACTATATTTGCACACCGGCTCCATGAGGCTGTTGAGCACTTGAACTGTAGCTGGTGTGACTGAGGAACTGACTTTTAGTTTAAAATAGCCACATGTGACTAGTGGCTACCATATTGGGCAGTGCAGTAAGGGTCTTAGAACGCCATGGGGGTGACATAATGCCAGGTGAAAAAGGCAGAATATGAAAGTATATGTATGTTATTATTTAATATATAGAAATAATAAATTTAAAGTCCTATGCAAAGGAAAAAACACTAGTTAATAAGCACACCAAAATACTAACAGTGAATATTAGGTGCTGAAATTATGTATGAGTGTCTACTTCTATTTTTATGTTTTAAAAATACTTTAAAACTTTGCTAATAAAGATATATATGATAAACATGAGAAGAAAGAAAGAAGTGCTGTGGTACTAATATATATCGGCAAGTGAATATATCGGTTGAATAGAGCTGCCCAGATTTTTCTCCACAAGGTCCACATTTTACATTTTGCCCAGAGAAGCCCAGTTTGTGACTGTTTACTGTCTGGTGCTCTTTTTGATCAGTTGTGCTGTAACAAAAGTAAATTGAGAGAACAGTCCACAGATAGTATTTATGCAGCCATGTCAGAAAGAGAGTATGCTTTTTGAAATAATTTTCATATGTTGTAATCACACCTAAAATTATTTACAGTGTATTACAAAAAAGGGAACTATCTTAATATTTAAATTAACTTGGCCACATGTCTGCTGTACTTGAACACTAAAGAAACTGAACTATAGATAGTATGTCTCTTATAGCTTATAAGAAATGCTATTAGTGCACTCTAAATAATTAGGAACACCAATAGGAGTTGTAATTTGAATTATTTTTAGTAATATATGTCATATAGAATATAAAAAGATAGCACCATGTTTCTCGGAACATTATTACATAAGGGATGAGATTTTGAGAAGATTTGTGAACTTCTTCAAAACAATTCCTCACTGCTCCAAAAAACCCTTCATTATTAAATTACTTGTGTGAAGTGTGGCATTATGTTTGGTCTACTTCTTGGAAAGTATTTACTTATATAATAATTTAAGTACTTAGATCTGTTTTTTTTTTTTTGTTTTTTGTTTTTTTTGAGACGGAGTCTCGCTCTGTTGCCCAGGCTGGAATGCAGTGGCGCAGTCTCGGCTCACTGCAAGCTCTGCCTCCCAGGTTCACGCCATTCTACTGCCTCAGCCTCCCGAGTAGCTGGGACTACAGGTGCCTGCCACCACGCCCGGCTAACTTTTTGTATTTTTAGTAGAGATGGGGTTTCACCGTGTTAGCCAGGATGGTCTCGATCTCCTGACCTTGTGATCCGCCCGCCTCGGCCTCCCAAAGTGCTGGGATTACAGGCGTGAGCCACCGCGCCTGGCCAGGTCTGTTGTTTTTTTCTCCCCCTTAATGGACAAACCATTTGGGGTTTATTATATCACCCTGAAAACATGTAGACTAGATAAATAATTAAATACTTTCATTTAAAAATTTAGTTAAGTCCCTGGGCTGGTTATAAACTCTCATGCCCAGGGCTCTGACTCCTGGAGACCCAAAGTGGCATGTATTTAAACTTAGTGCAGGGTTTCCTGGGGGCTGCCATAGGAGTGAGCCTGGCTTGACGTCTGTTCTCGCCTTACTCCATCACACTGTCACTGCCGGGCAGCACAGAGCAATGTTAATATTGACCCCAGAGCCTGCATAGAGTTGTTCCAGCCTTTAGGGGATAATTTTCATTGGACCAAGGCTATTTTTAATCCTAAGGTCTTTAAAAGGGCTTGCAGTTGTGTACTAGGTGTACAACTGCAAGTATATGTATGTGCTGAGCTCTCTCTCTGGACTGCTTGGGGATAACGTAGTTTAAATGTATGGAGATTGCTCTGCAGATGTCTGTGTTCTAAAAACAAGTAGAAAACTGGACAGCAAAGAGAGGTTGTTGTATTTCCATATTCCTCCTCCTTTGCACTTAACCACCTTGGGTTCTTTGCACTGTCATATTAGAACTTTGTTGTAGAGAACTGCAATGTTACCTGAAAGAGGAAAGGCCCTGATAGGACTAGAACTAGATTATTATAAATGAAGATGATCTCATAGTTGGTTGTTTTTTTTTTTTAAGGATAGTAAAGAAATTGAGTATTTTGTTCTAAAAGGCTAACATATTTTAAATAATTACTATTCTTCATATAATCCTATTAGTAACAGAACTTGTAATACTAAGCATATAAAAACAATTTGAGTGTGGTAGTCTTTAACAATACCTTCAATTTGTATGCTATTTGGAGAAATGCACATACCCCAAAATACACAGATAGACTTTTCATTTTCCCATGCAACAGACTTGTGAGAGGTTGAAAGGTAGGAAGAGTCAGTATACATTATTCTGTTTTACAGATGAGAAAACAATGACCCTGGGAAGCTGTGGGCACAAAAGCCAGCTATTAAGTGGCAGAGGTGGGACTGTGTGCAAAAACCTAAGATACTATGATTGCTGAACTAGTGTACTTTCCACTCGCCATCCTACCTCCGTGAATTAAAGATAACTCAAATGATATATAAACTTTTATGGGAACTATCTATATTGTTTTTACATTTTTAATAGAAACGATTTAAACTTTAAAGTAAAAAAGACAAATTTTAAAATAAGTGTTTCCATGTGGGAATACACATGAATTAGGATGATTTGGGCTAATTTTGCATAAGAGAAAGATAAGATGATTTGAAGGTCCTTTTCTCTTGGCACAAGCCTCTGAAGAGGGAAGGGAACGTTAAAAAAAAAAACACTTGATATATAGTGGTGCTTTTTCTTTAAAACTTTTTTATAGAATTTAAACTAAAATTTAACTTCGTATTGACTAAATTCCATGTTTGGAATGAGTGTAAAGGCAGATAGACAGTTTGAAATTTGAGTGTTTGCCAGTTGTGTTCCTCATCATGCCAGGTGAATAAACATGGGTTTTTGCCTGTGCTTGTCAAAACCAGCACTGACCCTCAGTGCTGTGACCATTAGAGGTAAGTTTCACCACGGTGGATCATACGTGAAGTAAGTTTTAATTAAACAGATAATTCGTGAACCAACATACCTAGGAGTCTCCTTTCAGTTCACAACTAGAAATAGTCTCTAATTTGGTCAAATGTTTACCCCTCTACCAAAGGCTTGCTGCTTAGGTAGAGAAAGCTTAGTGCCCGGTATTCTGTACGTGGGTCATCTGCTAACAGTTTGAGTTAAAGCAAGGAGAATGAATACTCTTTAGCTCCAAGAACATTTAGATCTGTCATTATGGTACAGGAAGAAGCCATCGTGTGGTTGGTGCTTCTGTCTAAAAACCCCAGTTATTACTATCCACTGAAAAGTACTGCATAGATGAATGTAGAGTAGTCTGAAGCTACTTGTCAGCCTTTACTTTCTTTTTCTTTCTTTTCCTTGGTCCTCTGCAGTCTGTACTGTGTAGATTTTAATCACTCATGACTATAGATATAACCAGTTATTTTAAAATTTCATGCAATCAGATTTTGGACAAGTTGTAAGAACGGTTCTCTTAAGGATAATAATGCAAGCAAAGGTTTTAACCAGCTTTGAGATCATGTGGGCGTTCAATATGCTTTGCTTTATTTTGCCTTCGTATGCTGATTTTGTCTCACCTCCTTGAATCCTTTCACTTGGCTAAATAAATGTGAACTCTCTATCGACAACAAAAAGAATCTTATGGTTGGCTTGAGATCACATTTTAAAGTAAACATAATAAAACTAAAACAATATATCAGTCTTTACAGTGAATCCAATCTTTCATGGTGTCAATTTTTAAGGCCTTTGAGTTGTACAGTGAAACGAATATTTTAGAGGTTCTGTGGTAGACAATTGTGTAGAACAGCATTCTTCTGATATCCTTGTATCCTCTGGGTTTGATGTATATATTATTGGATTCAATTACCTGAAAATTTGTGTAAAATTTTTGCATCTGTACTCATGAGGCATATTGGTCTTCTTTGTTTCTTATAATGTCTTTTTTTTGTTTTTTTTTTTTGAGACGGAGCCTCGCTCTGTTGCCCAGGCTCGAGTGCAGTGGCGTGATCTCGGCTCACTGCAAGCTCTACCTCCCGGGTTCACGCCATTCTCCTGCCTCAGCCTTCCGAGTAGCTGGGACTACAAGCGCCTGCCACCACGCCTGGCTAATTTTTTTGTATTTTAGTAGAGACAGGGTTTCACCGTGTTAGCCAGGATGGTATCGATCTCCTGACCTCGTGATCCACCCGCCTCGGCCTCCCAAAGTGCTGGGATTACAGGCGTGAGCCACCTCGCTCAGCCTGTTTCTTGTAATATCTTTATTGGCTTTTGGTATCAGTTTAATGCTGTCTTCATAACATGATTTGAGAAGTATTGGGAAAGTTTGTATAGAATTGGAATTACGCTTTTCTTAAATATTTGGTAGAATTCACCTTTGAAACTATATGGGCCTAGCAATTTCTTTGTGAATTTTAAACTATAAATTCAATTCCCTTTATAGATATAGGACTGTTCATTCTGTTTCTTCTTGAGTAGGCTTTGGTAGTTTGTATCTTTCAAGGAATTTTTCCATTTCATTTAAGTTATTGAATTTATTGGTATAAAGTTTTTCTAATATGCCTTATTCTCATTTTTATACCTATAGAATCTGTAGTGATCTCACCTCTCTCATTCCTGATACTGGTAATCTATGTCTTCTCTCTTTCCTGATCAGTCTGGCTAGAGGTTAAAGAACCTGTTTTTGGTTTTATTGTTTTTCTGCTTTCTATTTCACTGGTTTCTGCTCTGAGCTTTTTTCTGCTTAGTTTAGGCTTCGTTTGCTCTTCTTTGTCTAGTTTCTTAAGGTGAAAACTGAGATCATTGATTTAAGACCTTTTCTAATGTAGACAGTGCTCTACATTTCTTTCTCAGGACTGCTTTTGTGGCATCCTAAAAATATTGATAGGTTGTGTTTTCATTTATATTCAGTTCAAAATATAGTACTTCCTAATTGGCATGATCTCGACTCGCTGCAGCCGCCTCCTCCTCCCAGGTTCAAGTGATTCTTTCACCTCAGCCTCCCAAGTAGCTGGGACTACAAGCGTCCGCCACCATGCCCGGCTAATTTTTTTGTATTTTTAGTAGACGGGGTTTCACCGTGTTAGCCAGGATGGTCTCGATCTCCTGACCTCGTGATCCGCCTGCCTCGGCCTCCCAAAGTGCTGGGATTACAGGCGTGAGCCACTGTGCCTAGCCTCCCCTATTGTTTAGAAATATGTTTTTAGTTCTCAAATGTTTGGAAGCTTTTCCAGACATCTTGATGTTACCAGTTATAATTCCATGTGGTCAGAGAACATGCATGTATGATTGAATTCTTTTAAGCTTATTGCACCTTTTCTGTGGCCAAAGATACAGTTTATCTTAGGTCAAGTTGGTTAATAATGTTGTTCTCTCTATATCCTTACTGGTTTTTTTGTGTATTTCTTCTTGCAGTGACTGACAAGGAGGTTTTGAGATCTAGTGTAATTGTGGACTTGTTTATTTATCTTTGCAGTTCTACCAATTTTTGTTTCATATGTTTTGCAAGTATGCTGTTAGATGTATAATATAAAGGACTGGTATGGCCTTTTGATACATCTATCCCTTTATCATTATGAATTGACCTTCTTTATCTCTGTTAGTATTTTTTGCGCCAAAATCTACTTTTGTTAGAAACTGATGTAGACACTCTAGCTTTTTTATTAATGTTAGTGTAAAATTTTTTCTCCTTTTACTTTTAACCTATTTGTGTCTTTATATTTAAAGTGGATTTTATACACCTATAACATTCAAACCAAGAACCAAATCAAGAATACATTCCCAGGCTGGGTGAAGTGGCTCACGCCTGTAATTGTAGCACTTTGGGAGGCCGAGGCTGGTGGATCACGAGGTCAGGAGTTCAAGACCAGCCTGGCCAAGATGGTGAAACCCCGTCTCTACTAAAAATACAAAAATTAGCTGGGCATGGTGGTGGGCATCTGTAATCCCAGCTACTCGGGAGGCCGAGGCAGAGAATTTTTAGAACCCAGGAGGCGGAGTTTGCAGTGAGCCAAAGTTGCACCACTGCACTTGAGCCTGGGCAACAGAGCAAGACTCCGTCTCAAAAAAAAAAAAAAAAAAAGAATACACTCCCTGGACTGGCAGTAGTTCAGTGATTCCTTCAAGAGAGAACACTCCCATTTACAATAGACACACACACACACACACTACCTAGGAGTACATCTCACGAAGGAGGTGAAAGATCTCTGCAAGAAGGACGATAAAATCATGGATAACACAAACTAATGGAAAAATATTTCATGTTCATGGACTGGAAGAATTGATATCATTACAATGGCCATACAGCCCAAAGCAGTCTACATATTCAACACTGTTCCCATCAAACTACTAATGTCATTTTTCACAGAACTGGAAAAAAAAAAAAACTATTACAAAATTCGTGTGGAACCAAAAAACAGCCAGAGTAGCCGAAGCAATCCAAAGCAAAAAGAACAAAACTAGTGGTTTCGTGTTACCTGACTTCAAACTATACTGTAAGGCTACAGTAACCAAAACAGCATGGTACTGGTACAAAAACAGATATGTAGACCAATGGAACGGAATAGAGAACCCAGAAATAAAGGTGTACACCTGTAGCCATCGAATCTTCAACAAAGTTGACAAAAATAAGCAACAGGAAAAGGACTCCCTATTCAATAAATGGTCCTGGAATAGCTTACTAGCCATATGCAGAGGAATGAAAATGGACCCCTACCTTTCAGCATATATAAAAATTGACCCAACATGGATTATAGATACTTAAATGTAAGACCTCAAACTATAAAAACCCTAGGAAAAAAACTTGGAAACACCATTCTGGCCTTAGGAAAGAATTTGTGACTAAGTCCTCAAAAGCAATTGCAACAAAAACGAACATTGACAAATGAGATCTAATTAAGCCAAAGAGCTTATGTACAGCAAAAGAAATTATCAATAGAGTAAACGGTGTACAGTATTAATAGATACACCATTTCATATACAGACCACCTACAGAATAGGAGAAAATATTTGCAAACTGTGCATCTGACACAGGTCCAATATCCAGAATCTATTGGAAACTTAAACAGTTCAACAAGAAAAAAAAGACCCCACTAAAAAGTGGGCAAAAGACATGAACAGACAATTTTCAAAAGAAGACATACAAGCAGCCAACAAATGTATAAAAAAAGTTCCACATCGCTGATTATCAGAGAAATGCAAATCAAAACCACAATGAGTTAACATCTCACAACAGTCAGAATGGCTGTCATTAGAAGTTAAAAAACAGATGCTAATGAGGCTGCAGAGAAAAGGGAACACTCATGCACTGTTGGTGGGAATCTAAATTAGTTCAGCCACTGTGGAAAGCAGTTTGGAGATTTCTCAAAGAACTTAAAACAGAACTACCATTTGACCCAGCAATCCCATTACTAGCTACATCTCAGAAAAGAAATTATTCTACCAAAAAGACACATGTACTCATATGTTCATCACGGCACTATTCACACTAGCAAAGATACGGAATCAACCTAGGTGCCCATCAACAGTGGATTGCATAAATAAAATGTGGTACATATATACCATGGAATACTATGCAGCCATTAAAAAAAGAATGAAACCATGTCCTTTGCAGCAACGTGGATGCAGCTGGAGGATAATATCCTAAGTGAATTAACGTAGGAACAGAAAATAAAATACTGTGTGTTCTCACTTAGAAGTGGGAGTTAAACATCAGTTACTTGTGGATGTAAAGGTGACAGCACTAAACACTGAAGACTGCTATAGTGATGAGGGAGGGAGGCAGTAGGTGTTGAAAAAACTAACTGTTGGGTACTGTACTCAGTACCTGGGCAATGGAATAATTCATACCCCAAACCTCAGCATCATGCAACATACCCAGGTAACAAACTTGCACACGTACCCCCTGAATCTAAAATAAAAGTTAAAAAGAAAAAAGAAGACGCCACATCTTACTTGGGTAGAGCAGGTAGAGAAGTTTGGGGAAAAGCTGGCATGTTTAGGCTACATCTACCAGATTGACATTTAGGAATATAAATTTGAATTCTGTGGAAAAAATTAAGTGGAGGGTTTGTTTTTTAATAGGCAGCATATAATTAGGTGTTGCTGTTTTAAAATTCAGTGTATCTCTGCCTTTTAATTGATGTGTTTAGGTCATTTACATTCATTATTATTAACAGCTATGTTATTAGAATTTGTCTTCAAATGATAAACCATTTTCATACAAGAACTTAATAATAGTATTCTTACATTTCCCCACTCCTGGCCTTTATCCTACTGTTGGCTTATGTTTTACTTATATGTATGTTATTAAATAAAAGCTCTACAATGTTTTGTATTATTTTTGTTTAAGCAATTGTCTTTTAAAGATATTTAAATAATAAGACAAATGTTGTTATTTCTGGTGCTCTTTGTTCCCTTGAATGGATCCACATTTTGTTCTGTCTTAGTCTGTTTTCTGTTGCTATAACAGAATGACACAGATTAGGTATTTATAAAGAATAGTTTATTTGGCTCACAGTTCCTGGAGGCTGGGAAGTCCAAAAGCATGGCACTGGCCTGTAGTGAGGGTCATGCCATGGCAGAAAGCATCACATGATGGGGAGGGTAAGAGGAGGCGAGAGTGCTTGAGACAGAAATGGGGCTGAACTTATCCTTTTATCAGGAGCCCACTCCTGTGACATGAAGTTGGAGCCCTCATGACCTAATCACCTCTTAAAGGTCTTACCTCTTAATACCATCACAATGGCAGTTAAATTTCAACATGAGGCTTGGAGGTGATATTTAAATCCATAGCATTTGCTGGCGATAAATTCCTTCAGTTTTTGCATATCAGAGAAAGCATTTGTTTCACTTTCATTTTGAAAGTTTTTAATTTTTTGCTTTTTATTTTTATTTTTTATTTCCATAGGTTTTTGGGGAACAGGTGATAGTTACATGAGTAAGTCCTTTAGTGGTGATTTCTGAGATTTTGGTGCACCCATCACCTGAGCGGCATACACTCTACCCAGTTTGTAGTCTTTTTATCTCTTACCCGTCTCCCACCCTTTCCCCCTGAATTTCCAAAGTCCACTGGTATCATTCTTATGCCTTTGCATCCTCATAGCTTAGCTCCCGCTTGTGAGTGAAAACATACAGTGTTTGGTTTTCTATTCCTATATTACTTCACTTAGAATAATGGTCTCTGGTTCCATCAGGGTCACTGCAAATGCCATTACTTCGTTCCTTTTTGTGGCTGAGTAGTAGTCCATGGTGTATATATATACACACATATATACACATATCTATATATATATACGTGTATATAGATACGTGTATATACGTGTATGTGTATACATATATACATGTATATATGTGTGTGTGTGTGTGTGTATATATATATATGTATATACATATACCACAATTTCTTTATCCCCTCATTGATTGATGGGCATTTGGGCTGGTACCATATTTTTGCAATAGCAAATTGTGCTGCTATAAATACGAACGAGTGTGCAAGTATCTTTTTGAAAGACACTTTCAATGAGTATAGAATTCTAGGTTGACAGTTTTTTTTTCTTTTAGTACTTTAAAGTTTTTGCTCCATTATCTGCTCACTTGCATTGTTTCCAGCAAGAAAACTGAGGTCATACTTATCTTTTGTTTGCTATATTTAATGTTTCTTTTTTCTCTGAGTGCTTTAAAATTTTTCTGTTTATGACAAGTTTGAGTAATTTTATTATAGTGTTCTAGGGGTCGTTTTCTTCATATTTCTTGCACGTCTCCAGAATTGAGTGTGTTATTTAATTGACAATATCTCTGGCATCCTGAGATCCAAATGTTAAATGAATTATGGAAAATGTTTTGAAAGTCAGTTGGAAAAGTTCAGCTGGTGAAAGTTACAGAAAATCTTCGCTTTAATTTATCTAGTTGTCATAATTCAGAAAAGATAATATAGTAGAGAGGATTTTAAAAGTAGCAAAACATGTATTAGTGACACATTAATTTAGTAACTTAGTCCTGCGGTGAACTTAAAACTGTTGTCTTTATATTTAATGTGTGTAAAATTTACTACATAGTGATAGATAAATGCAAGAAACTCAGTCTTAAATCTTTGGGTAATGGTATTTGTCTTTCTGACTTGATGCTTTTACTAACATTTATTAACAATACTTTGAAAGTAATTTTTGGTAGCCCTCTTATTATCTGTTAAAATTCATGCAAAAGTTGAGTTTAGGAGGTTTACCTTTCATTACATTAGTTTTCATTTTCTAGTGGTTTGTAAATTAACCAGAACTCTAATATAAAGAATATTATGATTTAATAAAGCCATTGTTAGATTACTTTCACATATTGAAAGTATGTTAATTTGGGGGGAAGCCATTAAACTGAAAGTGTGTCATCTGTCATAAAAACTAAGAAATTCAACCTAGGTATATAAGAAGACAAGTTTCTTTTTTTTTTTTTAATTTATTATTATTATACTTTAAGTTTTAGGGTACATGTGCACAGTGTGCAGGTTAGTTACATATGTATACATGTGCCATGCTGGTGCGCTGCACCCACTAACTCGTCATCTAGCATTAGGTATATCTCCCAATGCTATCCCTCCCCCCTCCCCCCACACCACAACAGTCCCCAGAGTGTGATGTGCCCCTTCCTGTGTCCATGTGTTCTCATTGTTCAATTCCCACCTATGAGTGAGAATATGTGGTGTTTGGTTTTTTGTTCTTGCGATAGTTTACTGAGAATGATGATTTCCAGTTTCATCCATGTCCCTATAAAGGACATGAACTCATCATTTTTTATGGCTGCATAGTATTCCATGGTGTATATGTGCCACATTTTCTTAATCCAGTCTATCATTGTTGGACATTTGGGTTGGTTCCAAGTCTTTGCTATTGTGAATAATGCCGCAGTAAACATACGTGTGCATATGTCTTTATAGCAGCATGATTTATAGTCCTTTGGGTATATACCCAGTAATGGGATGGCTGGGTCAAATGGTATTTCTAGTTCTGGATCCCTGAGGAATCGCCACACTGACCTCCACAATGGTTGAACTAGTTTACAGTCCCACCAACAGTGTAAGAAGTGTTCCTATTTCTCCACATCCTCTCCAGCAAGAAGACAAGTTTCAATAGTTAAAACAGTATAGCCTGGCTGTAAAACAGATTGGTACTCCACCTTTATTTGTATGAAATCAGAGATGACCAGTCCTAAAGTTTCGAGCCTTACAAAGTAATTGATTACTTATATAAAACATAAAGAACTAATTTTTTTACCCATGTTTCAATGAAATTACTCTTCATCTACTTATTTCCGTTATACTTAGATATGAACTAGTGATTTATTAGTTGTTTTTCAGCATTACAGAAACAAAATTTTACTAGTCCAATCTCTTGAGATAGCAAAAAAAAAAAAAATTGGTATAATTGAGCAGAAGCAGAGCATCAACTCCTGAATTTTCATTTATTTTAAATGATACTAAGCTTTTTAAAAGTTCACAATGTTGTTTTAAGTTTTTTTAAAAATTTATTTATAAAGACAATGTCTCAATATGTTCCCCACACTGGAGCGCAGGGGTTATTCATAGGTACAGTCATGGTGCAGGACAGCCTCGAACTCCTGGGTTCAGGCAGTCTTCCCGCTTCAGCCTTCCAACTTGCTGGTACACAGGAAGGTACCACAGTGCCTGGATTCATTTTAGAAGTTTAAAATATCAAAGATGATGGGGGGAAAAATCAGTGTTCTAAGATACCAAAAATATTTTAATAAAGAGGGACAGTTTATTTGATTTTTTTTCCTCAAAAGGTCAATAATTTATTATTTATATATAATGCATACTTTTTTTCCTCTCTCATTTTTGTAGGTTCTGCCGGAGACTTCCATTTGGCCTCAATGTGAAATTAAAGTAGAAAATCACATCTACATGCATGTTGCTATCAGGATGTTGATTCATTAGTCATGCCTGAAGAGGGAAAGTCTGTTTTAGGTGGCTGACTACCAGCAAAAATAAATGCTTATCCTACATGTCAAGCATCTCTACTTTTTACTGGAGTGAAAATCCCCTCCAGATACCAACAGAATATCAACTGCAGAAAATGCTTCACATTTTAAGGATGTCGGCAACCTAAATTCATGTACCCTATCTGTACAGTTGTTGTGGATGGTTTGCCATCTGAAAGCTCCTCAAGTTCTTATCCAGGCCCTGTGTCTGTTTCTGAAATGTCTCTGCTTCATGCTTTGGGTCCAGTGCAGACCTGGCTGGGACAAGAGCTCGAGAAATGTGGCATTGATGCCATGATTTACACTCGGTATGTCCTCAGTCTTCTGCTGCATGACAGCTATGACTACGACCTGCAGGAACAGGTATTTACATATTTTAAGTGTTTTCTGAAAACTGATTGTATCTGTATGTATACATTCCTCTTAAACAAGCACTTTTATACTTTAAAACTGAGCTATTCATGTGTGTGTGCAAACATTTAACCTGTCAGTGACCAGATGGTAAGATTGCCTTGGAGTGTCAATCAGCCTGTGTCATTGAGCACCCTGTTAAGTGCAGTTATTTTCTCCATAGTTAGACTTTCTCACTGTTGGTTACGTTTTGGCATAGACTCCAGATCTTGTCATGGACTGGTCATAGTTTGGTGACCTGCTGCCTTTGAGTAGCAGTGCTCTGGAATGTTGATTTCTACTATTTAGAAAACTCACACATTATGAATAGATATTTAAACATTGCGTCTATTATACTTCTTGCCTTCCAAATTTAATATTGTATTTTATCTGCAAGAATGATGTTTATCTGCTTATTAGTCAGTATGTATGACAAATCAGTAGACTTAAAGTTCAGTAAAGCACACAATTTTGCTATAAGTCAGGATGTGTCACCTTGCAAGTTGGTCATTACACATTTTATTTGACTTTGCCGCTGAGTTTATAGTGAGAAATTGGGCTGGGTGTGGTGGTTCACACTTAGAGTCCCAACACTTTGGGAGGCCGAGGCGGGAGGATCCCTTTAAACCAGGAGTTTGAGACCAGCCTTGGCAACATAGAACCCAGTCTTTACAAAAAGTATTAAAAAATTAGCCAGGCATGGTAGCATGTGCCTGTAGTCAGTCCGTAGCTACTCAGGAGGCTGAGGTGGGAGGATCACTTGAGCCCAGAAAGTCGAGGCTGCAGTCAGCCATGATTGCGCCATTGCACTCCAGCCTTGGCAACAGAGCAAGACCCTGTCTCTCTCTCGCACGCATACACGAGAGAGAGAGAGAGAGAGAGAAAGAGAAAGCAAGAGAAACCAAATACAGGTTCTTGAAAAAAATGTTAACCTCAGTCTCATTCTTAAGAGGAGCTACTGAAAGTGAGGCCTGCCAGAGGGAACCAGAGTCATCAGTACTGAATAAATGGGCTCTGGGTGACTTCTATCTACAAATTTCACATAAAATCTTTTGGTTTTTATAGACAGTAAAAAGAAGGAGGTATTTTGTGGGCAGTTTTTGTTGCAGTTTTAAACCATCGTTACCCACACTGAGAGCAGGAAGGGTTTCATTGTCAGGAGATATTGGCTTTGCCCCTCCAGACCACACAAAAAAACTTCAAAGTCCTATAAATAACACATACAGAGGATTTCACCAAGATGCTTAACTTTTTTTGAGACAGGGTCTTGCTCTGTCACCCAGGCTGGAGTGCAGTGGTGTGATCATAGCTCACTGAAGCCTTGAACTCCTGGGCTCAAGCAATCCTCCCACCTCAGCCTCCCAAAGTGCTGGCATTACAGATGGGGAGCTACTCTTTCCAGCCAGCTTAACATGTTTTATACCTCAGTTGTGCAGAGCATGTTTGATGAGAGGGGTTTCTCATCATGTCTAGCTGGACACAGCGGCATTTTTCTTGCTTCCAGGTTGCTTGCTGCCTTGGCTGGCATTAGGTCAAGTAAGGTTTTGAAGGGATTAACTTATAACCTAATAATCAGCAAATGTGTTATTTTGGTGGTCAGTATTTTGTATAATTTCCTTACCAGAGCTCTGTTATCATCTTTCTGGTAAATGTCAAATATGCTCCTTTACAGGCAAGTAAGACGTTAAATCTACAAACATAGAAGGACTTTAATTTCCAGAAATGAGGAAAATATTTCTCATCATTCAAAAATTATGTACTTTATTGTAAGCATGTACTCATAGGGAATGATTTTTTTTTTTTTTTTTTTGGAGACAGGGTCTTGCTCTTTTGCCCAGGCTGGAGTGCAGTGGCGTGATCATAGCTCACTGCAGTCTTAACCTCCTGGGCTCAAGCGATCTTCCTGCCTCTGTCTCCTGAGTAGCTGGAACCACATGTGTGTGGCACCCCACCCAGCTAATTTTTAAAAAACTATGTCTCTTTCTGTTGCCTAGGCTGGAAAGAATAGTTTTTTAGTAGGACTTGAACTTCTCATTTCTTAAGAGTTGTATGTCAGCTATTTTCAGTCTACAATATTTAATCAACACCAATAAATTTACTAGCACAAAGTATGTGCTGGGTGCTACAGGACATATAGGATAAAACAGGCCAGATGTTAATAAGATTATAGTAATAACATCTCTGATCAGACTTGTGAATCCTCTGGTTTCTTTACTAACTCTAGGGGGTTGTGGTCAGAGATAAGATGAACTATCAGTATCTGCAGCTGTGTTTGATCCTCCCTCCAGAGTTCCGGTTCGTTCCTCAGGACACAGGACAGATAAAGGTTAGGGAAAACATAACATGTCTGGAGTTACAAGGAGAATCCGTAGGGAAATAAAAGGCCCTAAAATATTTTTCTACTTGGTCCAAAGTAACAGCCATGTGTGCCAAGTCCCACGCCAATGAAGAAGGTCAAATTTTAAATACCTGTTTTAGTAAGACATGACTTGAGAATCCTTTATCCCCTGCATTGCTTTTCCGTGAAGTTACAGTCCCTTGTTAAAGGTGGCAAAAGCCAGATGCCTGACTCAAAGGGAGGATGTACTTACGGTTTCCCCAGGCAGAGAGGATGCGGAAGACAAGGATGGTTCTCTTCTAGCAAGAGTAAGGAGAGTGGAAGGGGCCTTAGCTTCTGTCATCAGAACTCCAGCTAACAGCAAGGCTGACAGACCTGGGTGAAGATGTGTGCCACCTTTCCTGATCTCTGGCTCATGCCTGTGATAACGCAGCCCCTCGAGTGGAGGCCAAACCACTGTACTCCTGGGTGTTCATTTCCTCACATCTTCGCTCACCCCTTAGTCCTTGAGTTAGTCTAGCCATGAGCGGCCAGTTTGAAGACCCATCACTTTTCTGTTTTAGGCTAAAGCAAACACGCAGTGCTCTTGAGTTCTAAAACAGATTTTATGCATCAGTTTGGTCTCAGTTGTGCAGGATAAGGAAGTAAAGCTGATCAGATCCTAGTCTTGTTTAAGGCTGAATCATCTATAAACCTCTAATTTGGGCAGGGTTATAAACACATTTGTGGTGGTGGGCTGGTTACAATGTAGTTCCAGAGAACCACTGCCTTGTAATATGGAGATACGGTCACTGTGCCAGTAGTTTTATTTCCATAAATGTTTCTTCTTTCTTTTTTTTTTGGTCATGATTACTCTGTCTGGGAAGTATATTCTAAGATAATCAGGAAATCACTACATATCACTTTTATTTTATATAAACTGCTTTTCTCACCCATCTTTCAAAGCGTAGGTCACCTCTGTCTCTGAAACTTTTTCTGATAATTTCTGATGAAAGCAATGTCTTCTACCAAACTTGGTAATATTTTACTGTAAAGCTTTTCATTATCGTTACTGGAATGTATTCTGTTTCTCAGTAGGTTATAACATCCTTATGGGCAGAAATCATATATTAATCTTTTTTAAAAAAGTTTAACCAGCCTGGGCAACATAGTGAGACTCCATCTCTTAAAAAAAATTATCTGGATGCAGTGGGGTTTACCTGTAGTCCCAGCAACTTGGGAAGCTGAGGTAGGAGGATCGCTTGAGCCTGGGGGGTGGAGGCTGCAGTGAGCAGCGATCATGACGCTGCACTCCAGCCTTGGAAACACAGCGAGACCCTGTCTCTTAAAAAATAAATAAATTTAACTTTTTAAAATGAAATAATTTCAGACCTCACTAACAGCTAGGATAGTACAGGGAGCTCTCATGTTTTCTTCAGTCATCAATTGTTAGTATTTTCACACATTTGCTTTCTTTTATTGATATATAATAGTTGTACATATTTGTGGGTATTATGATTTTTGATACATGAATATAAGATGTTATCAAATCAGGGTATTTGAGTTACCTGTCTCCTTAAACATTTATCTTTTCTTTGTGTTGGAAATAGTCCAATTCTTTTCTCGCTATTTTGAAATATACAATAAATATTATTAGCTGTAGTCTCCCTACCATACTGTTGAATACTCGAAGTGACTCGTTGTTTACGTGTATGTTTGTACCCTTTAGCCCACTTTTCTTCATCTTCTACTTTTGCTTTATTTCTGTCTTCTCTTCATGCTGACCTCTCTGAGTAAACTAGCATGTACTTTTTAAGATCAAAGACTTTCCCTTAGTCATATTACAATTACAAAATTCAGGAAAATTAGCATTGATGAAACTTTATTGTCAGATATACAGTCAATATTCAGTTTTTGTCACCTGTCCCGATATTGTTTCTCATTGCAGTTTTCTCCCTCATCTAGTATCTAGTTTGAGATTATGCATCGACTTTAATGGCCACATCTCCTTAATCTCCTTTCATCTGTAATAATTCCTTGTTTTTCCCTGGCATCTCATGACATGGACACTTTTGGAGAGTCCAGGCCAGTTTTGCAAAACATCCCTTAATTTGGGTTTTTCGGATATTTCCTCGTATCTTTAGAGTTGGCTTGTGCATTTATGGTAGTAGCATTGCATAATGATGTTTTCTTTTTTTCTGCATATCACATTAGAGGGCCAGTGACGACAGTCTTTATCATTCTTGGAGACGCTGACTTGGTTTATCATGGTTCAGATGGTGTCTGCCAGGTTTCTCCTTGTAATGAATAAGCGATCTGTGCAGGGAGACTTTGATACTTTTACCATCCATTGATGTTCCTTGCCTGAATCAGTTATTAGTTGGGTGGTTGAAAAGTGGTGATTTTCCTAACTCAGTGATCCCCTCTACATTTAGTAGTTGACATTTTACTACAGTGCCTTCCATCTTTTAAAAATCAGTAGCCTGGTCACATAAGGAACATCACAGCATGTAAGATGCAGCACCAGCCACTTAATATGTAAGGATTGCCTTATTCAGTCTGCAAGCCAAACCTCGAAAGTAAGTATTAAGCTCCCACAGCCTGAAAGTGAATGGCATGGCAGTGTGCATTGACTGGTGACCTGGAACATTAAGCTTAGATCCTGTACATCTTACAACACATTTGTTACATTAGTTTAAAACATTTTACAGTCTTACTCAAAAAATGACTAAAAGGAGAACTTCAGTAACATTATAACTTAAAATGGGAGTTAACTTTTCCTGCCCAGAAGTTGTGCTAGACTGATAGTTGACAGTAGGTCTCCCCATGATCTGTCACAGGTGGGAAGGGATGCACTAGCAGATGAGGGTGTGTTTCAGTATTGTTCTTATAACCCCAAATATGCTTTCGTTTCCTTTATAGCTAATTAAACTACCATTGAGAGTTTATTAAAACTTTTCTTGTTATACATTGATGTTCTCAGCATAATGCATTCTTTGTTTATTATTCTTATTAGGAGTCTGTGATGATAACAGAAAACCCAGCTCAATCTGGCTTAAACAGAAGTAATAGTAAAAGCAAACACATATGTATCATGTGCTGTGTGCCAGCCACTGTTGAAGGCACTCATTTTCCATTCACGGTAACTCATTTAATCTTCCTTACACCATCCTGTTATTATTTGTATTTCATAAGTGGAGATAGTGACAGTGGTTAAATAGCTTGCCCAAGGCCACACAGCTAGTAAATTTTGGAGCATTTACTGGTTTAAAAAACTTGAAATATCTGGGAATTAGGGCTGACCCCAGTGGCAACTTGATCCAGGGCCTACAGTAAAATCAGTGCCCCGTCTTTTAGCTTGCCTTCTCTGTTGTCTTTTTTTTTTTTTTTTTTTTTTTGAGATGGAGCACTCACTGTGTTGCCCAGGCTAGAGTGCAGGGGCGATCTCAGCTCACTGCAGCCTCTGCCTCCTGGGTTCAAGTGATTCTCCTGCCTTAGGCTCCTGAGTAGCTAGATTACAGGCGTGCATTACCATGCCTGGGTAATTTTTATATTTTTAGTAGACACAGGGTTTCACCATGTTGGCCAGGCTGGTCTCGAACTCCTGGCCTCAAGTGATCCACCCACCTTGGCCTCCCAAAGTGCTGGGATTATAGGTGTGAGCTGCCATGCCCGGCCTGTTTTCTTTATTCTCAAGCTTCACCCCTACCCTGCCCGCTGTAAGCTCAGACTTACACCCTTTTTTGTGTATGTGTGTCCAGCAGAAAGAGCAGGCTTCTCATCCTAATAGGTCATCTTTGCTATGGAACTGTTCCTGACCTGATCACTGCAGTGACAAGACTTGGGTGGCTAGGGTACAAGCACCTGGAACCACAAGGACTAAGAATTGGAGAGGATGATTCTCCAAGGGAAATATGGAATGAGTAAGTAGGGTGCTGAACCACCCCAAAAAAGTCCTGTCTAACTACCTTTGTACAAAGTAGTGCTTTCTTTCTCTTTTTTTTTATTTTTTATTTTTTAAAATTTATTTATTTATTATTTTTTTGAGACGGAGTCTCGCCCTGTCGCCCAGGCTGGAATGCAGTGGTGCGACCTCGGCTCACTGCAACCTCCACCTCCCAGGTTCAAGCGATTCTCCTGCCCCAGCCTCCCAAGTAGCTGGGATTACAGGTGCGCGCCACCACGCCCAGCTAATTTTTGTATTTTTAGTGGAGACAGGGTTTCACTATGTTGGTCAGGCTGGTCTCGAAGTCTTGACCTCGTGATCCGCCCGCCTCGGCCTCCCAAAGCGCTGGGATTACAGGCGTGAGCCACCACACCTGGCCGATTTTGTTGTCTTTTTCTAGAAGTTTTTTCTTTGCAGACCACCTCCAAAAGTATCCTTTCGTGATGGCCCCTCCATCTGAGTGATGGCTTTAGGTGGTGTTGGATGGTTAGATTTCTTTTTTTAGATCTTAGGACTCCCAGAACTTTACTAACTGTTCCATATAGAGAACAACCATGGATTCTGTACAAGAATAAGAGGTTTTTTTCCCTAAACTTTTTATTGAGGCATAAAATGCATACAGAAAAATGTACAACTTGATGAATTTTCACAAAGATCATATCCCTGTAACTATAGCCACACACAGAAATGGAAGATTACTGGCAACCCAGAAGCCCCCCTCGTGTCCCACACAGCTTTAGAGTTCCTCACATGCTCAGAGGGGAGGCCAGCAGAGTGCCCTCTGCTTCCAACCCCTTCCTCTTGCTTGGACCTTGGCATCTGTATCTCAGGTGTTCTCCCTCTGGCCCTAAGAGTTCACTCCAAGTTCTGCTGCTTTCTTTGCCTCTTCAAAGGGCCACCTTTTTCTCAGCCTCTTGTCCCGGACCTAGGTCAGCATATTTCCCCAGGAAGGAAGCAGCTGCAGATGTCAGTGCCCTATGCCCACACCTACCTTTCCCTTGGCACTCACTGTCTTCTCAATGCCTGGCACCTCAGCAGGGCTCTGATGCCCTGCAGAAGGTGATGTAGGTTTGGTTTGTCTTTGTGTCGTTATTGGCTTTTCTAGTTAATCTAGGCAAGAGAGTTGTGCTGCCACCAATTACTTTTTAAAAGAGAGTATTTATTTGTTTAATGGCATAGTTTGGTTTTGATATATATTTTGTCTTATCCTCAGTCTTTCCCTGACCCACTGTATTTAAAATAGAAGCCTCCCATTCTCAGCCCTCTTACCTAATTTATTTTTCTTCATGACATTTTTTATTACCTGAAATTATATGATTACTTGTGATTTAATTATGTCTCCCCTACTGGCATATGTAATTCATGAAGTTGGGGCCTTTTTTTTTTTTTTTGGAGAGGGACTCTTGCTGTGTTGCCTAGGCTGGAGTGTAGTGGCGTGATCTCGGCTCACTGCAACCTCCACCTCCCAGGTTCAAGCGATTCTCCTGCCTCAGCCACCCGAGTAGCTGGCATTACAGGCGCCCACCACCACACCTGGCTAATTTTTGTATTTTTAGTAGAGATGGGGTTTCACCATGTGGGCCAGGCTGGTCTCGAGCTCCTGACCTCAAGTGATCTGCCTGCCTTGGCCTCCCAAAGTGCTGGGATTACAGAAGTGAACCACCACGCCCAGCCAGAGTTGGGGACCTTTTCTGCTATGTTTTCTGTTGGATTCCCAGCCCTTAAAACAGTTCCTGGAATATACAAGAGGCTCAGATACGTATTAGACAAATGGATAGCCACATGTTTCTTTCTCAGGTCTGTGACTTGTGTGTAGGAGGGAAGCATGCTAGGAGTGGGTGTAGACCCCATAATCACACACTGGGGCCTGCCCTGCAGAGAAGTTACTGTTGCTTGTTTTAAATCCCCTAATCAAATTGTATCTACTAGCTCAGAGTCCATCCTTCTAGAAATGTAACTGGATTATTACATTATCTGTATTTGCCCACAGGTTGTATAAATAATAATCCCAGTCCTGAGTGCTAGGTGAGACTCATCCCTTCTTCATTCAACAGACCTTATTTGCTCCTTCAGCCTATTTGTAACATACTCCTGTAGCGTGTCCCGTTCAGCATTACGCTTCTTGAAAAGCTAGCATCTGCGGTGTTTCCTGTTACAGTTTATTAGAATCTTTAACAATAGGAACTGTAAAAGTCTGACCATAAAGCGCTCCTCGTGTGTGTCACTGCATACACTGTATTTCAACAAACATTCAACAGACTTTAATTAAATAACCTTCTACATCACAAGCATTGTTATTTGCATTTAAACAACACTTCCTATTTTTATTCTCTTATTTCAAATCAGCATTTCAGAGCTCCAGGAAGAAAGCCAGGAGTATCTTTCTAGAACCTTCCCTATCCCTGAAAACTTCCTAAGAATTATTCCATGCTATTACTTGAGCCCAGGAGTTTGAAACTAGCCTGGGCAACATGGAGAAACCCTGTCTCTACAAATAATACAAAAATTAGCCAGGCATGGTGGTGTGTGCCTGTAGTCTCAGCTGCTCGGGAGGCTGAGGTTGGAGGATCACCTGAGCCCAGGGAGGTCGAGGCTGCAGTGAGCCATGATTGTGTCACTGCACTCCAGCCTAGGCAACAGAGTGAGACTGCATCTCAAAAAAAGGAAAAAAAGAAAAAAAAAGGAAGAAGAAAGTGTTCATGCTACTGATGGAAGAGTATATACATGCCAGTATTCACTTTGACTCCCATAGTGACAAAAACCTTTCTGGGTAGTAGGTATGAAATAGCATATACATCACTGGATAATTCATGAAGAATTAAGCAGGAGATATCAGAAGGGTTATAGGGTGAAAAAACTTGTACTACTGACCCAGACCAAAAGTTCCTTTAATACCACCTTGACTTTTATCCCAAGTGACTTTCAGACCTGCAGTCTCCTGTTCTCTCTTTCCCTTTTGAGATTTCCCCCGCTTACTGTAAGTCAGTATCACATTGTTAAGAACATAGGCCTTGGAATCTGAAGACCTGTGTTCTAACCCCACCTTCTTCACTTTCCAACTTAGACCACTGACTTGGACAAGTTAACATCTCTGTGCCTGACTCTCCATTTCTTTTCTTATTATTATTATTATTTTAGAGATAGGGTCTTGCTTTCGCCCAGGCTGGAGTGCAGTGTTTCTCAGAGCTCACTGAGCCTCGAACTCTTGGGCTCAAGGGTCCTCCTGTCTCAGCCTTCCAAGTAGCTGGCACTACAGCTGTCTTTTCATTTATAAATTGTACAAATTATGTGCATATCTAATATCGTTACTGAGGATTAAAGGAGATTCATTTATTGACCATATAGGTGCCAGGCATCATTTTATGTACTGATAATATAGTTAGAGGAATACTAGACACAAAGTAAGTGCTCAGTAAATATTGACAACTATTGCTATTATTGTTGCTATTCATACAAATATTTCCTTCAAATAGTTATTTTCCTATTAACTACTCCTCTTCTAGCAGGTAGGCTAATGCATTTGTTAGAGGCAAAGATAAGCTGCTGATACAGTATTTCCAACATTTACCCTAACAATCTCAATTTGAAATATTTAGCCCTGCCATATATCCTAATTATGCATTCAGCAAACATGGTCACTATAATATTTCTGGATGTAATTATTACCTTTGACACAATTGGGTCCCTTGAAAAGGTGTTCTTTAAGACTGACAAATTCCAGTGGCAATTACTCTTATTTTTTGTGACATGATGACCAGGTTAAAAAAATAATAAATTTTAAGAAACTAAAGTAAAAATCTTTTGATGGTACATATAGATAGAATGAACCTGGATTTGTTCACTGTAAAAGTTATAATGGGAGGGGTAGGGGTGGTTCTCTTGAGTTTAAAAGAGAGTTGTTTAGCACAAAAGAAATACTTTTATTTGTGGTAAGAGTGTTGTTGCCCAAGAAACTGCCCCAAAACTTAGTAGCATTAAAACAACAACAACAACACGATCATATGACAGAATCTGTAAGTAAGGAATTTGGGCAGGGCTTAATTGGGTGATTCACCCAAAGTCACTCATTGGTACTCAGCTGACAGACAGGCTGAGCTGGAAGGCCCAAGATAGCTTTACTGACATGTCTGTCATCTTGGCAGGTGTGCTAGAGGGCTGGACTCAGCTGGGATTGTTGACCAGAGCCTCTTCATGTGGGTCAGGAAGTAGCTAGGCTTATGTGGTTGGCTGGGTCCCTCAAAGCGAGTAGCCCAAGAGAATCAGGTAGAAGCTTAAGGCCTTTTACCACCGAGCCTTGAAAGTCACATAGAATCACTTCCATTGCACTCTGTTGAGCCGACTGGAGCCCACACAAGTTCAAGGGGAAGAAGCATCACTCTCTTGATGGTAGAACCACCACTCTGTCAAGGTTTGGTTTCAAAATTTTAGACCACCAAGTACAAAGCTACGATTTTTCCAAAGAAAAAACAAGCCTTACCCAAAGAATTAGGATTTCTTTTTATTAGTAGTATACTTTAAGTTCTAGAGTACATATGCACAATGTGCAGGTTCGTTACATAGGTATACATCTGCCATGTTGGTTTGCTGCACCCATCAACTCGTCATTTACATTAGGTATTTCTCCTAACGCTATCCCTCCCCCAGCTCCCCGCCTCCCAACAGGCCCCCGGTGTGTGATGTTCCCCTCCCTGTGTCCATGTGTTCTCATTGTTCAATTCCCGCTTATGAGTGAGAACATGAAGTGTTTGGTTTTCTGTCCTTGTGATATTTTGCTGAGAATAATGGTTTTCATCTTCATCTGTGTCCCTGCAAAGGACATGAACTCATCCTTTTTTATGGCTGCGTAGTATTCCATGGTGTATATGTGCCACATTTTCTTTATCCAGTCTATTATTGATGGACATTTGGGTTGGTTCCATGTCTTTGCTATTGTGAATAGTGCTGCAATAAACATACATGTGCATGTGTCTTTATAGTAGCATGATTTATAATCCTTTGGGTATATACCCAGTAATGGGAATGCTGGGTCCAATGGTATTTCTAGTTCTAGATCCTTGAGGGATCGCCACACTGTCTTCCACAATGGTTGAACTAATTTACAGTCCCACCAATAGTGTAGAAGCGTTCCTATCTCTCCACATCTTCTCCAGCATCTGTTGTTTCCTGACTTTTTGATGATGGCCATTCTAACTGGTGTGAGATGGTATCTCATTGTGGTTTTGATTTGCATTTCTCTGATGACCAGTGATGATGAGCATTTTTTCATATGTCTGTTGGCTGCATAAATGTCTTCTTTTGAGAAGTGTCTATGCATATCCTTT
Organism: Homo sapiens; assembly: GCF_000001405.40. NCBI lineage: Eukaryota > Metazoa > Chordata > Mammalia > Primates > Hominidae > Homo > Homo sapiens. The sequence goes on from NC_000004.12 coordinate 6,836,296, forward strand.
GCCCACTTTTTGATGGGGTTGTTTGTTTGTTTTTTGTTTTGTTTTTTTTTTTTGGCTTTGCAAATCATATATGTATATTGAAAATTAGAATACACAGTTTGGTGGCTTTGAGTCCTAACACTTTCCCCCCATTTCTTGTACTTGTAGAAATATTGTTCTCACTTTTTCCTGATTTCTTTGTTTCTCACTCTATTGTGCTTAATAATTGTATTAAGGGTTGTTTGTCCTTTTTCTTTTTTTTTTTTCTTTTCTTTTTTTTTTTTTTAGTATTTATTGATCATTCTTGGGTGTTTCTCGGAGAGGGGGATTTGGCAGGGTCGTAGGACAATAGTGGAGGGAAGGTCAGCAGATAAACATGTGAACAAAGGTCTCTGGTTTTCCTAGGCAGAGGGCCCTGCCGCCTTCCGCAGTGTTTGTGTCCCTGAGTACGTGAGATTAGGGAGCGGTGATGACTCTTAAGGAGCATGCTGCCTTCAAGCCTCTGTTTAACAAAGCACATCTTGCACCGCCCTTAATCCATTTAACCCTTAGTGGACACAGCACATGTTTCAGAGAGCACGGGGTTGGGGGCAAGGTTATAGATTAACAGCATCCCAAGGCAGAAGAATTTTTCTTAGTACAGAACAAAATGGAGTCTCCTGTCTATTTCTTTCCACACAGACACGGTAACAATCTGATCTCCCTTTCTTTTCCCCACACTTCCCCCCTTTCTATTCGACAAAACCGCCATCGTCATCATGGCCCATTCTCCATGAGCTGTTGGGTACACCTCCCAGACGGGGTGGCGGCCGGGCAGAGGGGCCCCCACCTCCCAGACGGGGCAGCGGCCGGGCGGGGGCTGCCCCCCACCTCCCGAACGGGCCGGCTGGCGGGGCGGAGGGGCTCCTCACTTCCCAGGCGGGGCGGCTGCCGGGCGGAGGGGCTCCTCACTTCTCAGAAGGGGCGGCGGGTCACAGACGCTCCTCACCTCCCAGACGGGTTGGCGGCGGGGCAGAGACGCTCCTCAGTTCCCAAATGGGGTCGCGGCTGGGCAGAGGTGCTCCCCACATCCCAGACGATGGGCGGCCGGGCAGAGAGGCTCCTCACTTCCTAGACGGGATGACGGCCGGGAAGAGGCGCTCCTCACTTCCCAGGCTGGGCGGCCGGGCAGAGGGGCTCCTCACATCCCAGACGATGGGCGGCTGGGCAGAGACGCTCCTCACTTCCTAGACGGGGTGGCGGCCAGGCAGAGGCTGCAGTCTCGGCACTTTGGGAGGCCAAGGCAGGCGGCTGGGAGGTGGAGGTTGTAGCGAGCCGAGATCACGCCACTGCATTCCAGCCTGGGCAACATTGAGCACTGAGTGAGCGAGACTCCGTCTGCAATCCCGGCACCTCGGGAGGCCGAAGCTGGCAGATCACTCGCGGTCAGAAGCTGGAGACCAGCACAGCCAACACGGCGAAACCCCGTCTCCACCAAAAAATACAAAAACCAGTCAGGCGTGGGCGGCGCGTGCCAGCAATCCCAGGCACCGGGCAGGCTGAGGCAGGAGAATCAGGCAGGGAGGTTGCAGTGAGCCGAGATGGCGGCAGCACAGTCCAGCCTTGGCTGGGCATTAGAGGGAGACCGTGCAAAGGGGAGAGGGGGAGGGGGAGGGAGAGGGAGAGGGAGAGGCAGAGGCGGTTGTTTGTTTTTTTCTTGTAAATTTGTTTAAGTTCTTTGTAGATTCTGGATATTAGCCCTTTGTCAGATGGATAGATTGCAAAAATTTACTCCCATTCTGTAGAATTAGGATTTCTAACCTGTAGTGTTGCATTTGAGAGTCTATGGAGCAATACCTTTCAGATTCTGAGAAAAATTATCTCCATTCTAAAAGATCTTACCCGAACTAGTAAGTATGAGGGTAACAAAGATAGCTTTTTTTTTTTTTTTTTGAGACAGGGTCTTACTCTGTCACCCAAACTGGAGCACAGTGGCGTGATCTCTGCTCACTGCAGCCTCCGCCTCCCAGGCTCAAGCAATTCTCCCACCTCAGCCTTCCAAGTAGCTGGGACTGCAGGTGGACACCACCATGCCCGGCTAATTTTTGTATTTTTCTTGGAGACAGAGTTTCACAATGTTGGCCAGGCTGTTCTCAAACTCCTGGGCTCAAGTGATCTGCCCACCTCTGCCTCCCAAATTGCTAGGATTATAGGTATGAGCCACCATATGCCCCACCTAAAGATAGCTTTTGACAGATGAGGCTTCTGAGGTTACTGGGAGTATTCTAGGTCTGACTGTTACCTGATAGATATATTATTATTCTTAAAACTGTACATTTACATTGTATATACTCTGCTATGTGGGATAAATTCCACATTTAAAATAAATCTGTTAAGATATATGCCAACTGTTGACAGTAGTTACCTGTGAGGATTGATGTTGGGGTGGAACTGACTTGTACTTTCAAAGCAGCTTTTTTTTTTTTTTTTTTTTTTGAGACAAAGTCCATTTCAAAATTGTTATAAAGGTTGCTTGAAGCTAATACATGTTTTTGGTAGTTTATGAATTGATACGTTTAAAATAAATAAAGCTGGCCAGGTGAGGTGGCTCACGCCTGTAATCCTAGCACTCTGGGAGGCCGAGGCGGGCAGATCACTTGAGGCCAGGAGTTCAAGACCAGCCCAGCCAACATGGCAAAACCCCATCTCCACTAAAAATACAGAAATTAGCCAGGTGTGGTGGCGCATGCCTGCAATCCCAGCTACTCAGGCTAAGGCACGAGAATCTCTTGAACCCAGGAGGCAGAGGTTGCAATGAGCCAAGATCACGCCACTACACTCCAGCCTGGGTTACAGAGCAAGACTCTGTCTCAGAAATAAAATAAATAAAGCTAAGGATTCTTCCTTTCAAGCTTCTAGGAATGACATTGATTAATAAGATTAATTTTAGCTCTTATATGAAAATTGATTAAATTTTTTCCCATCACCGTCAGGTTTAGATTTTGCATTAGCACTTACGTTAGGCAGAAGAAAATATATAAAATTTTACATATAAGGAATATGAAAATAATTTCAGAGTGAGAGTTGGTGCTAATGATGGGTACACAAATTCCTATACTTCCCAAGACACCATTAACACTTTTTGTGTGTGTAAAATGTTCTCATGGAATAGAGAAGTTTTAAATATAAATATCCCATGTTTTAAAACTGACATTTCTGCTTTTATGTGCAAATGTGAATGCATCAATACAGAGAAAACTAGGGATGGTCCCTGAGTGACAACTGCCAGTTTAGGAATCACCTTGAAGGAAGAATAAAGGAATAGTGTGTATAAAGGAATAGTGTGTACAAAGACACAGAAATAGGAGGGGCCTGATGCTGTAAGGTCAGAAAAGAGTATGCTGAGGAGGGGGTAGTCGAAGGTCAGAGTGGGGCAGGCCCGCAGGAAACAGACCCTGAAGAGACTGATGTGCTGTGTGAGGGCATTTCTAGTTATGTCCTAGAGACAAAAGACCTGTAGATCGAGTTTAGCCAGCAGGACTTAATGGCATGGCAGTGGGCAGACAGGTAGGTCAGTGAGGAGGTCATCACTGTGGGCTGAAGACCTAGTAGGAAAAACAGGAATATAGTTAACCTGAAATTATGCTTGTTTGATTGGAGCGGCTCATTTTTTAGGGGCAAATAGGGGTTATTTTGAGCAATATATCAGTGGATTTATTACTGAATGCTCTCCTCAGAATCTGACTGTATCTCATTCACAAGCAACCCAAAGTTTGGCCTAAATTGGCTTACGGGGGAAAAAAGACTCAAATAACTAAAAGTCCAGAAGTTGGGCTGGCCCCTGTTAGGTTTGATTCAGAGCTTCCCAGTGTCATTCAGGCTTCTGCTCTGCCTCTCTGCCTACCTCTTTTTGTCAGCTTGGTTTTGCAGCCAGCTCCTTGTAGGGTAAAGGGTGGTGACAATGAGCATGCTTCTGGGATCATATTCTCACACACTGTCCAGAGGTCATGTTCCCCGCATTCCCAGCAAGGACCATGAAATGTGCATTTCTGATTGGCCACGTGCCTCTCTCTGAGCCAATCTTTGTGGCCAAAGGGATGATGGGGGTAGTGTTAATCCCATGCAGACACATTGTGGTTTTGGTCATTTAGGCACTGTGAGGCAGGGGCGTATGCTCAGCAGCTAGCCTCCAGTGACTGCTGGTGTATTTCCAAGTGGCGTGTGCTTTTTCTCCCCCAGTTCCCAATCTCCCTTTTGATAAAGACAGCATGGAAAAGTCAATCAGAACTCTAGCCTTACGTGACCTCCCTGTAGTGTCTAGAAAAGTACCTGATAATAGACTCTCATGCTGGGGAGTTCCTTAGTTGTATCTGCTTTTGGTACTTGATAATTATGTTGTTTCTTTAAGATTAGGACTGAGTAACTATTTGACAAATGTCTAATATTTTATGTTTATGTATAAGCAGACTTTTTTTTTTTTTTTGAGACACTCCTAACCTCGTGATCCACCCACCTCTGCCTCCCAAAGTGCTGGGATTACAGACATGAGCCATCGCCCCCAGTCATAAGCAGACTTTTAATAGTACAGGATAGGAGACTAAAAGGATAACAATAAGTGAGATAGAAATATCTTGGTTCTTTTTATACTCATTTCTTTAAGCTGTGATTAACAATTCAATGCTGTTAAATTTTGGTTAAGTTATGGTACATTAACGTAGTACATTAAGCCTTAAAAAAACAGCATGAGGGACCTCTCAAATACAAGTATAAAGAACAGAATGCAAACAAGTGTGTGTGATATATACTGTTGTTTATGTAGCTTTTGCTACAGATGTGATGTTTCTTAATTCAACCTAAATAATGTGATAAAGTCACTCTAACATTATTTGAATCATAAATAATGTCAGGCTGCTTCATACATTTTTTGTTCTGTCAAAAGTTAAAACAAGAAGTGAAATCTCCATCCCCACACAAATTTATCATGGGTAAGTTGTCCAGGCTCAAACTGCTCTTCCAGCAGCATTTTTCATACTGGATACGCAGTGCAAAGGAAATTTCTTTATCTCAAAATCTATTTGCCTACTTAAGTTAGCAAGGCGCTTTCATTAACTTTCATTCCTTAGTATTAATCTACAATATACTGACATGCTAGAAGGCAAATATCAAGATACAAATTTAACAGAATTCTATAAATGCCTTCTAACCAAATATGTTCAGTTAAACTCATGCTTGTGGATTAATACCAGCATTTGGCAATTTCTATTTGTGTGAAGACATTTTCAAAGATGAAATACATAAACTTTTTTTATAAATCAGCATTAAGAGGGCAGTTAGGTAAGGAAAAGACATACAGATTGAAAAGGAAGAAGTAAGACTCTAGTCACATATGACATGATCTTGTTTAGAATATAGAGAAAATCCTAAGGAATGAAATTAAGAAAAAACTCCATTTGCAATAGTATAAAAAAGAATATGCTTAAGAAAAAATTTGACAAAAGTGCAAGACTTGTGCACCAAAAACTATAAAGCATCTTTGAAAGAAATCAAAGAAGACCTAAATAAATAGAAAACATCCCATGTTTGTGATCAGAAAACAATACTATTAAGATGGCAGTACACCCCAAGTTGTTTTATAGAATCAAGATAATCCGTCTTGGAATGCCAGCTCCCTTCGTCGCAGAAATAGACAAGCCGATCCTAAAACTCGTATGGAAATGCAAGGGGCCTTTTTGTGACTGAGTGTGTGTGGTAGGTGGAACATAGTAGTGTCCAAGTTAGCCCTGGTCATTTAACCTGGTGCAATTTCATTGCAGGAGAATGACATCTTCCTGGGCTGGGAAAAAGGAGCTTATAAGAAATGGGGAAAGAGTAAGAAAAAATGTTCAGATCTAACTCTAGAAGAAATGAAAAAACAGGCTGCTGTCCAGTGTCTTCGATCTGCTTCTGATGAAGTAAGTTTACATTTTGTTTCTAACACTTAAGAGAATAAAAGAAGGGGTGATTTAAGTTTACAAATATGACAACTTGACCTCCAAAAACTGGGAAAACAAAGTACTTATTTATTTTACCAAGTAACATGAACATTACCACTTTTCCTTTATGGTATTTTTCTATATTTTCTGAAGTTTTATATGCTTTTCTTTTATATGTGCTACTCTAATTAAGAGTATACACAAAATTTTATATCCTTTTTCCAACTCGACTATTTCATCCTGTTATTACATTGTCTTTATTCTTTTTAGTGGCTAAGTTGCATTTCATCAAATAATATTTCAACAGCAGTATAATATTATAATATAATCTTTATTACTGGATGTTTACCTTGCTCTTGATTTTTTTTTTTTTTTTTTAAGACAGTGTCTCACTCTGTCGCCCAGGCTGGAGTGCAGTGGTGTGATCTCAACTTACTGCAACCTCTGCCTCCCAGGTTTAAGCGATTCTTGTGCCTCAGCCTCCGGAGTAGCCAGAATTACAGGCACGTGCCACCATGCCTGGCTAATTTTTTTGCATTTTTTAGTAGAGATGGGGTTTCACCATGTTGGCCAGGCTGGTCTTGAACTCCTGATCTCAGGTGATCTGCCTGCCGTGGCCTCCCAAAGTGCTGAGATTATAGGCATGAGCCATCGCGCCCGGCCCGCTCTTGATTTTTCTGTTATGCAGTCTAGAATATGTTATGTGGGGTTTTTCAGTGGTCTGTATTATTACATTTGGATACATTCCTAGAAGGGAATAGCAGTTCAAACACTTCAAAAGTACTGTATTGGCATATGATTTATATATTTTTTGTTTTTAGAAAATATTACAATATTATTTTATTCTTTTAGCATTTCATATAAAATATTTCTCATGTCTTTCAGTTTCCTGAAATAACAAAATAATTAAAAAATATCTTTTGCAGTTAATATTATGAATTCTTATTTTATTATTCACTCTAAGATGTTATCTGTGAGATCGTAACTACTGAAAGAGTCATTTTGCTTTGACCATACTATTTGAGAAGGTATGGTTTAAGTACCTTTATGATGCAAGGCGAAATTGAGTGGATTCTGACCTCCAGAAACTTCCTTCCTGGACTAATTGTTGAATGGTCTAGTGTTGCGATCGTTGGCTTTGTTATCTTTGACAATCTGCAGAAGTTTATTCTGTCTGGCTGCCACTGATGCAAACGGTTTTTAAGGCTTGCTTAGTGTTTCCCACCTTTCTGTTCTCATCCAACTCCTAATTATCTCTGAGGCCAGGAACAGTGGCTCAACACCTGTAATCCCAGGACTTTGGGAGGCCAAGGCGGGCAGATCACCTGAGGTCAGGAGTTCGAGACCAGCCTGGTCCAACATAGTGAAACCCCATCTCTACTAAAAATACAGAAATTAGCTGGGCATGGTGGTGCATGCCTGTAATCCCAGCTACTTCGGAGGCTGAGGCAGGAGAATCACTTGAACCTGGGAGGCAGAGGTTGCAGTGAGCCAGGATCATGCCGCCGCACTCCAACCTGGGCGACAGAGGGAGACTCCATCTCAAGAAAATAAAAAAAGAATTGTCTCTGAAAGCCTGACTCCCCTGGCCATATACTCATGATACATTGTGTATACCTCAAATAACATGGCCTTCACATCCTAAGTTGTAATTATTCATTTGACTGTGCTCACTGGGCGCAAGGACCGTGAGTTACCCATCTTTTTTTTTTTTTTTTTTTTTTTTTTTTTTTTGGCGGAGTCTTGCTCTGTAGCCCAGGCTGAAGTGCAGTGGCGCCATCTCGGCTCACTGCAAGCTCCGCCTCCTGGGTTCATGCCATTCTTCTGCCTCAGCCTCCTGAATAGCTGGGACTACAGGCGCCCGCCACCACGCCCGGCTAATTTTTTGTATTTTTTAGTAGTGATGGGGTATCACCGTGTTAGCCAGGATGGTCTCCATCTCCTGACCTCGTGATCCGTCTGCCTCAGCCTCCCAAAGTGCTGGGATTACAGGCGTGAGCCACCGCACCCGACCAAGTTACCCATCGTTTTTATCTCCTACTGCCTAGCACAGTGAGTGCTTATCACATGAAAGGTACTGATTTTTTTAAAATGAATCTAACATTCATTTTTAAAAAAGCCTACCCTTTCATCCAATTATTTTTTCTCTTCCCAGCTGTTTTCTTCTCCCCCACCTCTGATTTTTTAACTTCTTAATTTCTTTTTCTTTTTCTTTTCTTTTTTCTTTTTTTGAGACGACAGAGTCTTACTCTATTGCCCAGGCTGGAATGCAGTGACGCAAACCTGGCTCACTGCAACCTCCTGGGTTCAAGCGATTCTCCTGCCTCAGCCTCCCGAGTAGCTGGGATTGCAGGCATCCGCCACCACACCCAGCTAATTTTTGTATTTTTAGTAGAGATGGGGTTTCACTGTGTTGGCCAGGCTGGTCTCAAACTCCTGACCTCAGGTGATCCACCTGCTTCCACCTCCTGAAGTGCTGGGATTACAGGTGTGAGCCACCGTGCCTGGCCAGCTTCTTAATTTCTTGAAATTGTTGCTTCATACAGCATGGGATAGGAGTTTGGAAGTTACCACTTATACATACAGCTATCTTAGGCACCATTTCATTACAACAATTAGGAACATAATTAACCTGGTTTAAGGAAGAATAGAAATATATGTAAAGGATACAGGGATATCTCACTGAAGCCAAGTGCTAAAAGTATAGCAGCCTCACGAGAGACCTGAACTGGGAATTATGTGATAGACAAAGTCACTTTCGGTAACAACCAAGCTACAATCTCTCATTTCCTTCTGTACCTGAGTCAGGGTCATTCCCTCTCTGTCCAAACTCTGGTTTTCTCTGCTTTAGCACATAGTGAAGAATGGCCATTCCAGCTTCCAGCCCAGCATGACCATGGAACTCTACTGTCCAACACCATTCATCTAGAGAGAGAATCTGATTGGCTGGGCTTGAGCCAGGTGATTGAGCCTGGGCTTAATCAGGCTTGAGCCAGCCTGATTTGATAAGCCCTGGTGAGGGGGCAGGGCTGCCTGGAGGTTCATCACTTCAGCAGGGGCTGTGAGTGACGTGCCCAGAGAAAACTTGGCAGAGAAAACTTTGTGGTTAAAATGGTGGGTTTTTTGGTTTTTTGTTTTAATTTTAAAAAATACAGGGACAGGGTCTCCCTGTGTTGCCCAGGCTGGTTTTGAACTCCTGGGCTCAAGACATCCTCCCGCGTCGGCCTCTCAAACTGCACGGTACAGGCCTGAGTCACCACGCCCAGCCAAAATGGTGTTTTCTTTATGACACCTAAAGGGAGTAAATCGATAATTTGTAGATTGATAAGTAATTTAGAGCTTTTAAAGGAATTCAGAATGCAGATTTTTTTTTTTTTAACAAGCGAGAAGTTAATTCAGGTAAATTATTTGAGCAAAATCCAAAGAAGCTGCTGAGTTATAGTCGGAAAGAAAATATGGGTAGTGCAGGTTCAGACTGAGAAAGGATCTTATTTCTTCTTTGGACCAAAGTTGCTGAGAAATGAGCCTAGCCTTTGACTCACGGTTAAGCTGGGGAAATGACAGGGGCAGCTGAAATCAACTGAAAAGATGAAGGGTATAAAAACCTTCTATGAGTAATGCAAGACCCTTCTCCTGTAGCTTGTTGAATTTGCGTGTAATTCATGCTAGCCGAGTATGTCGTGTGATGTGAAGAACTTAGTATGAGGTAGAAACAGTGCAAGGGAATGGTTGTGGCTTATAAAGATCTTTGATTCTTTAGGTTATTGCTTTGGGAAAATGCTTTCCTTTGCTTGGCTGTCATAGGCAGGATTTTTATTTTCAACCCCAGTAAAGCATATTTGTACTTGTATTGCTCTTTCCTTCTCATTTTATTTAAAAAAAAAAAGATTGTTGGATTGCTTTTTCATAACAACGATTTTTAAAAATCTCACCAAATTAAAATTAGCTGAGGAAGTGAATGTGCCAGGCATAACCAGATGCTCGGTAATTACTTATGGAATGAATGAGGAGAGTCTTCAAGTCCCAGTCCCTGCTCCAGAGCTGTTGTTTGTGCATCAATCTATAGATCCCTTAAACCAGGTGTCCCCGACCCCCGGGCCATGGACAGGTACCAGTACTTGGCCTGTTAGGAGCTGGGCTGCACAGCAGGAGGTGAACAGCGAGCAAGCTTTACCGCCTGAGCTCCGCCTCAGATCCGTTGTGGCATTAGATTCTCATAGGAGCACAAACCCTATTGTGGACTGAGCATGCGAGGGATCTAGGGTGAACGCTCCTTATAAGAATCTAATGTCTGAGGTGGAAGTTTCATCCCGAACCCCATGCCTACCTGCTTGGTCTGTGGAACAGTTGTCTTCCACGAAACCAGTCCCTGGTGCCAAAAACACTGGGGACCACTGCCTTAAACCAGCTCACTGGCCTCTTGGGGAGCCAATGAAAAGAACCCTCTTTAACTATTGCCTGCTGCAATAGAAAGAATCAGTGTGTGGTAGTTTATGAATGGTAGGCCATCTGTGTGTCCCCTGGGTTTCTTTTTATAATCTGTCTATTGGCTTCAATGGAAAGAAAGGAGCAAAGAGGACCTACATCGAAAATTATAATGCACAATTTTATTTTGTGTTTTTGTCGTGAATGTTTGCATATAAGTATGCTCATTTCCTGAGGATGATCGTGTTTGTGGTACTGTGTGCTATGCTTTCCCATCCAGTCCAAATGCCCTCTTAAAAGTGCTTCTCAGTACAGCTCTTTAGACAGTCACTACTAATTGGTCACAATCAAAAACCACTAACAGTTCAAGTTTATAATCTAGTAGATTAAAATGCTAATGGCAATTAAAAGACAATAATATAGGTTATATTATTATATTAAATATAAGTATAGGTAGGAAGTACTGGTGATGTTATGCATTACATGTGAGATGAATTATTTTCTCATTATGTGTGTGGCTATTATGTGTGTGTGTGACACATGTGACCATGCGTGTATGTGACTGTTATAGTTACAATGTGAACTGTTTCTATAAAAGCATCCATAGTTACCAGACTGTTCACTGGTGTCATGGTTTAAGGAGAATGGCTTACTTCTCTGGCTCCACTTACATACTTGTGATACTACACCGTGCCTCCACTTTATCCTTGTAACAAGTTGTACCCCACATTATGGCACTTCTCTTGGCCTGCTCAGCTCATTATTTTATGAGAGACATTGCCAAAACAGAAGGGCAATTCAGTTGTGTCAGAATTTAATTTTATACATTGATTAAAATTTGGCTGTCCCTGTGTAAAAGTTGGCAGAGCAGTTGGTGAATATTTCTCCAGGGAATCATGACCTTTGATGGGCTTTATTGGTTTTTAGGTCCCAGCTGAAAACTGCCTTGGCTAATTCCCTTTCATTTACATATGCAAATAACATGCAAGTTTTCGATAAAATGTTTTGCATATGCTTTGATTGCAGTTAGTAATGGGGTCTGTAAAGAGGAATGGTATTGTGAATCAGCCATAGGCAATTCAGCCCTCCTCCAGATGCATATTTTTTAGGTGATTATTATCCTAAGCTGTCTGTTTCATTCCTGTTATGACCGGACCTGGCATATACCTGGTATTTGTTAAATATATGCAAACCACTCTTCATTTCCCCCTTAAAAAAAAAAACTACTTATATTTGTTTTATTTTTATTGAGCCACTTAAAACTGAATCAAAGCTAGTACTTTATCTCCCACTTTGAGGATGGTTAGAAGATTAGAAACTTAATGAGGCCCTGTTTGAGGAGTAAATAAAGTTAAAATGCAATAACTCTTCCATAATACCATTCTTTTGGGGTGTTAGTTTTGAAGGTAACAGCACTGCAGCTTACCCTGGGGAGCTGACCAGTCCTATTGTTATTTAAAGAGCCTTAGAGGACTTACACCCTAAGTAGAGTAGAGTCTTAACATTCACTTGCTTATATTCTCACATTGAGCTAAGTCTACCAGTAAAATTCTTTTTGCCAGTAAAAGTACAGAGTACAACTTAGTATTTTGTATATGCATTATTTATATGCTGTACAGGGTTATATCTACAGAAAACCATGTAAAGTATGTCACGGCAGTGTTTACCTTCAAGGTTAATTTTGACCATATACAATTGGCCCTTCATACCCATGAGTTCTACATCTGTGGAGGTAACCAACAGTGGATCAAAAATATTTGGAAAAAAATGGATGATTGTGTCTGTGCTGAACACATACAGACTTTTTTCCTGGCATTCCCTAAAAAATACAGTATGACAACTACACCCATAGCATTTACATTGTATTAGGTATTACATGTCATTGAGAAATAATTTAAAACATACAGGAGGATGTGTGTAGGTTATATGCAAATATTATGCCATTTTATATAAGGAACTTGAACATCCACAGATTTTGGTATCCTCAGGGGGTCCTGGAAGCGACCCAATATAGGGATGACTATATACTGTGTCTTGACACATGGACTGTTGAACCCAACCTTTTCTGGGTAATACTAAGAGCATCAATACAATGATAACATTTATTGAGCACTTAAAATGTGTAAGGTGCCTGTCTGAATACATTATGTACATTGCAGGAAGTGATGCTGTGCTCTCTCTACAGACCAGAACCCCCTGGGAAGAAGCCAGTGATTACAAAAGCTGAGAGTGCTCACAGTTGTTGTGTGATCACAGCCAGTCCTGCCTGAGGAAGCCTAAGTCCTATGTCTTTGGGTATATAGATGGCAGTGGAGCTGGAGCATTTGAGGACACACGGGCCATGCTAGGGACTTGGGCTTTTCCCCTGAGCAGCTGTGAAGTGTTAGGGTTTGGAGAGGAGTAGTGCAACCTGACTTACTTGCCAATCAGATGCTGATCAGACCATACTGGTTGCTGCACTGAGACTAACTAAACACGGTGAGTGAGCTGTGCTGGAGGGACAGAGGGCAGATTGTGAGCACCCAGTGAAGATGCAGTTGCAGGGGTCCAGGAGGCAGATGGCTGGGGGATTCTGCATCTGTTTTCGAAGATGGAACTGTCAGGATTAGATGTGGGGTAGAGATAAGGGGAGGAGACAAGGAAGACAGCCAAGGGTTTTGATCTGAGCAACTGCAAGAATATAATTCCTGGCCCGGCACAGTGGCTCATGCCTGTAATCCCAGCACTTTGGGAGGCAGGCAGGTCACTTGACGTCAGGAGTTTGAGATCAGCCTCGCCAACATGGCAAAAACCTGTCTCTACTAAAAATATAAAAATTAACCGGACGTGGTGGCGCCCACCCATAATCCCAGCTACCTGGGAGGCTGAGACAGGAGAATCACTTGAACCCAGGAGGCAGAGGTTCCCGTGAGCTGAGATCGTGCCACTGCACTGCAGCCTGGGCAACAGAGCAAGACTCCATCTCAAACAAAGAAAAAATTAGCCGGATGTGGTGGTGCATGCCTGTAGTCCCAGCTACTCAGGAGGCTGAGGTGGGAAAATTGCTTGAACCAGGCGGTGGAGCCAAGATCACGCCACTGCACTCCAGCCCAGGTGACAGAGCGAGACTCGGTCTCCAAAAAAAAAAAAAAGTAATTTCTATTTACTAAGGAAAAGGAACCTAAGGAAGGAACATCTTTGTGGTATGAATAAGGATTAACATATGAGATGCCTCCTAGGAGACAGCTAAATGGAGATTTTTGAACAGGCAGCTGAATAAACTGAATATGCATGTCTAGGGTTGGTGGGGTAGAGTGGTTTATGAGGACCAGGCAAGAAATAGCCCATTTTCTTTTTGTTAATCTAGCCCAGATCTTCTGATCTCTTTTTAGAAAAGGTAGAAAATTGGGATTTTTTAACAGGAAGTTTTCTGATCTTTCAAATGTTGAAAAGTGAGAATATGAGAGCAGACACAGAAGTGGAAGGGGCTGCTGTAAAAATCTGAGAGTGAGGCACTATAAAATAGACATGCGTGGGGTTAGGGGCTGGGGTATGAAAACAGATTAAGAGTTTGAGGACCAGAAAGGGCCAAATGATGGCCCAGTGAATCCCTGTGTGCCCACTGAAGTTGAAGAAGCCAGGTGTTGGGGGCACAGCTGGAGACCCATGTACGCTTTCCTAATGACTTTCCTGGTCATCCCTCTCAGGTCACCATCATACCCCGCTTGGTGTTTGTCTTTCCCATGCTTATTTTCGTATGTTTACTAAATACTGTTTGAAGGTGTACACAAATACAGCATGATTTTGCATTTTCTTAAACTTTCTATAAATTATACCATACTCTATATATTTTTGTAACTTCTTTTAGTTAAAAATTTTAAAATTTTTTCTATATTGTTAACATGATCTTATAATGTCTTCATTCTTCGTTCCTAAGTAGTTCTCCATTGTGAACTATGTAACACTGTTTATTCTCCTGGTAATGGGCCTTTCAATTGCTTCTCATTTTGGGCTATTAATAAAGAAAGTAGAAAGGAACATTCTTTTTTTTTTTTTTTAGACGGAGTCTCGCTCTGTGCCAGGCTGGAGTGCAGTGGCGTTATCTCAGTCAGCTCACTGCAGCCTCTGCCTCCTGGGTTCAAGCGATTCTCTGCCTCAGCCTCCCGAGTAGCTGGGACTACAGGCACATGCCACCACGCCCAGCTAATTTTTGTATTCTTAGTAGAGACGGGATTTCACCATGTTGGCCAGGATGGTCTCGATCTCTTGACCTCGTGATCCGCCCACCTCGGCCTCCCAAAGTGCTGAGATTACAGGCGTGAGCCACCATGCTCGGCCGAAAGGAACATTCTTACCTGCTTATCCTTGTGCGTATGTACAGTACTTTTTCTTGCATGTATACTTAGGCATCAGATTCCTTGACTGAAGTCAGTGTTTTTTTGTAACTGTCAGCCTTATAGACTGGAGTATTTGATGAAAGCTATGGCCCTAACCAGAATGTTATACTTAAACTTTTCTTATATGAATTACTTTGTTACATGCCCATTAGTGGCCTCCTTAAGAGTTCATCCTTCCTAGATTAAAAATAACTGGTCTAAGTTGTGACTATTCTTCTTAATTGAACCATGAAGTGAAACAAGTAGTATCCAGACATTCAGCTCATAGCTTTCTGAGCTTCTGTAGCCAAATATCCTTCAGGAAGTTTACTTGTTAGATATCTAAAGGGAAAAGAAACTGCCATCTCCATATGAAAGTAAGAAACAGGACTTTTTTGCATATCATAAAAAATAGGGTTTGCCTGGGTGCGATGGCTCATGCCTGTAATCCCAGCACTTTGAGAAGCTGAGGCGGGTGGGTTGCTTGAGCCTGGCAGTTTGAAACCAGTTTGAGATGGGGTTTTGCAGAAACCACATCTCTGAAAAAAAAACAAAAGAAAAGCCAAGTGTGGTGGCACACGCCTGAGTCCCCAGCTACTTGGGAGGCTGAGAAGGTGGGAGCAACACGTGAGTCCTGGAGGTCAAGGATATGGTGAGCTGTGATCATACCACTGCACTCCAGCCTGGGTGACAGAGCAAGATCCTATCTCAAAAATTAAAAAAAAAAAAAAAAAAAAGCGGGGAGGGGTTTGCCTAAATCAGTAAGGTGCTATAATGAACTAAGAAAATTGAAGGACTTAATTCAAGTTGAAGTATTTTCCTCTTTTTGTAAAATGATGAAATGGAGGCTCAGAAGTTAAATAACTTGTCCAGCTTCACACAGCACAGCAGGTCTCGTAAGTCCAGATCATGTTCCCTTTATGTTACATCACCCTGCTAAAGAGCGGGGTTACCTTTTTCTAAGCCTCGATTGGTCATATTATTTAATTATTATAACAGTTTGATATCCTCTATTTTTTGTTGAAAACTTTAACCTTCTTTTTTTTTCAGCATTCTAAAGAGTATATAATCTGTGCCCTAGATCATGTTTGAAGATATTTATCCATTGGATACTTCTCTCCTACTCTGTATCATTTTCTAGAGAGCAAATGTGCATGAGAGCTGGAGACAGGCCAATTTTTTTAGACCATTCCGTGTTCAAGGATAGGAATCACAGCTCTCATACAGGGGCCTTGGCAGAAACAGCTTTTTATTTAGAGGAGTTTTTTTTCACTTTGTATTGCTTCTCTGGCTATTGAAGGCATGAGTTTGTGACCCCTGGCACATATTCTCAGTCTTCTCAGTTGGTGCTCTTTTGCTTATTTGCTTAACATTAATTTAATTCTAAATTTTAAAAAGGTTTTTAAAACTTCCAGTCATTAAAGTATGGAATTGATCCTTTGCTTTCCAGTGAAACGATTACCATGATCACCAGTAGTCATTCTATCAGTATCTAGTTGGGTTTCCTACCACTAATCTTCCAACTCTGCTTTAAAGCTAAAGACTAAGATCTGAAAAACTGTAAAAGAGCTCCATGTGCAGGGCTGGGCTGAAAATAGGAGTGTTTGAAAGCCTGTGCTTCAGTTATTGCTACATGACTAAGTACCCCAAAACTTAGTGGCTTGAAACAACTATTTACCCACAATTCTGTGAGTTAGCTAGGGCTCAGCTGGGAGGTTCTTCTGCTGTTCTTGCTTGGGGTCTGTGATGGCAGGTGGAGCTGAAACATCCAGGATTGCTTTCCTCATGTGACTGGTGCTTCAGCAAGCATGGCTGGGAGCTGTGACCTTTCACCACATGGCAGATGGAGAACACTCAGAAGGTAGCATTCCAGGAGGGCATCTGTCACACTCGGCAACATCTTATTGTGAAACCCAGTCACTGTGGGAGGGGCCCAACCTAGGGGCAAGTGCAGGGAGGCACAGTTCATTGGGGGCCCCAGAGTAACAGCCTTTCCTCTGACAGTTACTTTCTGGAGAGATTAAGTAGACAGCTTCTGGACTTTGGGATACTAGGCACCCCTGAGGCAAAGCATGAGACACCATAATGAAAATTGGGGACTGACTGATTCCCCCATCCCTTTCTGGTGCCTGACTGACAAATAGGTTTATCTTCCAAAGATAGAAGTGTGGAAGATTTCTTAACGAGGAAGAGGTTGCTGGAAAGAAGAAACATTTGAGGGATGAGATGATCCTTTAAAAATTATAACCATGATAATAGAAATGAAAAACTCAATAGACGGTTTGGAAGGCAGCTCTGGAAATCTTCCAGAAAGTAGAACAAAAAGATGAAGAAATGGTAAACAGGTGACAAAAGAAATTAGGGGACCAGTACAGGAAATTCAGTAACCAGCTATTAGGAAATGTGTCCATAATACTAGCACCCTTTTCCAGATGTAGAAACTGAGGCTTTGATAGGTAAATGATTTATGTAGGGTCATGTGGTTAACCCTGGGGTGAAATTTAGAACCAGATCTCTTTGACTCCATTGAGCCATGTGCAAATGGAACAGGCAGTTAACACTGAGTATCATGTAGGTTAGTGATCACACTATGGCGGCACCTGTCCAGCATTTAGGGAATATCCAGTCTAAATGAACCCTCCATAAAAGAGAAACCTGTAAGATGATTAATATGGCACAGAAACCTTTGAGTATGGAGAGGAGAGATGAGGCAGAATAAGTCAAATTGCCTTTCTTTTACTTTACGCTTAATAACTAAGGTCCAAGTTGAGAAGGATGGGAAGTATGGAGAAGATGGAGAAATACTGGAAATGTTGTAGGGATGGGAAGTGATAGGAATTTGTCAGGGAACAAATAAGACCCTCATGAAGTAATAGGACACCAGTTGCTGTGTTTGACCAAGGCTCAGTCTCCATCATCATTTAACTCTTCAACCCCACCCCACAGCCAGGAGCAGAGAGTGTAGCAGTAGCAAGAACCTAGCGTTGGTCAGAGAGAGAAGGAGCAGGCCATGAAGTCCAGGGAGAATCCAGAGGGGTTTTGGTGGTATGCATTAGGTTAATTATCTTTTTACTCCTCCAACCTCAAAATCAAATCATAGCAAAAATTAAAGACATTTTTGAAGTGATGAATCAAAAAACAAGATTGTAGAAAATTAAAGACGTACAAAATCTAGAAATGACACCAACATTTAAGTGACTAAGGTGACAGGGACTCTGGATGCCTCACATGTGTCATGTTAGCTTTTTTTTACTGAATCTTGGGAGGGAAGTGGTGGCATTCTTGGGTCCAGAAAGAGGAAGTGGCACACATGCCCTTTGCTGCCCAGTGAATGTAGCAGGGCAAGAATTCAGACCCAGGCCAGCATGACTCCAAGCCCCAAACCCAAATACATTCCACTGAGTCCTCTTCTCAGAGAAATTAGAGTGATTATCATGTAAATCTCAGGAGGACAGGGGTCGTCATAACCATTTGTTCACTGGGTGCGTGAATGAGCCAGTGCATGGTAAACTAGTGGCTGGCTGTCCATGCATTCTGAGGGTTGCTCACTGAGCGTGTCCTGAAACTTGCCAGCGTCTGTATGTGGCTCGCCACTTTGCAGGTTTGGAGTACTGTAATTTGAATTTTAGAGTGCTCTTAACGGTTTGCAGAGTGTTTTACATGTGTTGGATACTGGAAGATGGGTGGATATTATCCATTTTACAGTTAGGAAAAGCAATTCATGAGTTCAGTGGTGGAATGGTAGCATTTTTTTCACCTATAGCTTGTGCTTCCTTAGAGTTGTTATTAAGATATAACTTAATCTTTCTTTGTTTTTTAAGATACTATAGGCTCTCAAAATATTATTGAATGGCCTTATGGATATGCTATGCTACTGAAATTTGATTATTAATATTTTCTAATGGTTTATATAATTGGGAAAGTGAATAAAAATTTCTCATTAAAACTGTAAATTAACACTTTGGAACACCTGCCAGGAGACAACAAAGGGTGATGACAGCTTCTGCTGTGCCTCTATGCTTCCCAGCTTGCTGTGATGGTGACCCAGGGTTCTCATGATTTTTTATTTTTTATTTTTTATTTTTTTTTATTTTTTTGAGACCGAGTCTCGCTCTGTTGCCCAGGCTGGAGTGCAATGACGCGATCTCAGCTCACTGCAACCTCCACCTCCTGGGTTCAAGCAGTTCTCCTGCCTCAGCCTCCCAAGTAGCTAAGATTACAGGTGCCTGCCACCACGCCCAGCTAATTTTTTTTGTATTTTTAGTAGAAACGGGGTTTCACCATGTTCGCCAGGCTAGTCTTGAACTCCTGACCTCAAGTGATCCACCCACCTTGGCCTCCCAAAGTGCTGGGATTACAGGTGTGAGCCGCTGCGCCCAGCTGATTTTTTAAAAAAATATATAAGATGCTACAGGTAGTCAAGAAAAGAACAGAAAAACCTGGTTGGTAGAGCTTGCTTTTACACAGAGAGTAAGGAGTAAGCTCTTATTTTGCTGTTTAAACATGAGAGCAAAAAAAATATATGTTTATATATGACAGCAAATATATATATATCACTCATATAGTATACATATTTACTCATATATTAATAAATATATGTGTGTATATGTAATTAATTTCTAAGACAAAGCATGAAAAAATACGTAGTCACTAGGTTGTAATGACCATTCTGATTAAATGGGACCCCATTTTAGAGTATTGGAAGACGTTTAATAAGTGATCCCTAGAGGTTCAGTGTTCTGCATTGCGAGACTAGCCCTAGGTTTAGAAACCTAGTGACATAGGCTTGCTGTACAGAACAGTATGCAGTGTGTCAGCTGACACTGGTGTTGGTTTCACGATCCGAAGGAAATGGAATATAATTGCCGTCCTTGTCACACCTTGAGCATTATGGTAAGCAGGTGCTTTCTGGTGCAACTGTTTGTGGTTGAACAGTGTTTATGACTAATATCTGCCATCGTTTTTAAGAGTGTTTTTAAAGGAAAGGGCAACTCTTGTCTGGCCTATTTTTCTATCTTCCTATTAAAACCTGTGGTATGACGTGGACAGAATGTAACTCTAGATGTTTACAATTAACTGTTTTCATTGTAATCTGTTTCTTGCTACTCAAACTGT
This sequence comes from Homo sapiens, assembly GCF_000001405.40. Classification (NCBI taxonomy): domain Eukaryota; kingdom Metazoa; phylum Chordata; class Mammalia; order Primates; family Hominidae; genus Homo; species Homo sapiens. Next base: position 6,856,121 of record NC_000004.12, read on the forward strand.
GTAACCGTGGGATTTCTTATGTAGGATATCTATAATATTTGTGCTGAGTCATTTTGAGTTAAGTGAATGGGGTAAAGTTCTATTTTTAGCCCGTCAAGGCCTAGTGAGGGCACTGGCTTAGCAGAACTCTCCATCACGCGCATCTGTTTGGGTTATGCCCACCAATAAGGACTTGATTCCAGTTTAAATAGGACTTTGGTCACTGAATAAATCTAAAGTTTCTGAGAAATACATTGACTTTTTTTGTCCACTGTAAAAAAATTTTTTTTTCTTCCTGTGAGAAATTGAGACTCTTAAAAGTTAAAGTCTACTAATGAAAGATTATTTGCTTGTGCCTGTTTTCTACATTCATTTTTCTTTAAAGGTTGACTCTTATTTTTACCCTCCCAAATCCAGACTCTTCTATGTACTCTCCTTAAATTTTAAACTCCCAAGCTTTGTATAGAAGTCGATAATCTGGTCCAGATGCTGAAAAGAAGACAAAGCTTTCACATTTGCAATATTGGCTTCATTTTCTGGACTTCTGTTGTTTTAATCATGAGTGTTCATGTTTCTTTAAAACAGAAAAAAAAAAAATCACCTTGTTTTCTTCAGGGTGTGAGCTCCTAGAGAACTAAGATGAGGTTTTGTGATTTTCCTTTGTTTTAAGTCTGGTATAAGATCTCGCTCACATAAATATTTAATACTCTTTTTGATGGTGACTGACTTTTGGTCGTATGATGGACATTTAGGCCCTTAAATCTGCCCCATGAGCAAGATGACACACCTTTGGAAAAACAGAAGCTATTCTGGGAGGTACATGAATATGTTCACATTTTATCACTAAGTTTCATTTAATATGCCTTATTAGTAATAAGCATGTATACCAATTTGTATCTACAAACCTATAATTTTTAAACTGTAGTATTCACGTAAATATTGGTAAGATATTTATTTTGGAATGTGGATGATTTGTAAAACCTGTGTATTAAAACAAAAGTATACAAATACCTGATTTGTACATACCTGGCTGTAACCTAATGTGTCTTTTTGTTGTCATGCAGAGCTCTGGTATCGAGACTTTAGTGGAGGAGCTCTGCTCCAGACTGAAAGACCTTCAGAGTAAGCAAGGTGAGGTCAAAAGCACTGTGCGCACACATGCCAGGATTACATCCCTGAGGAATCTGGATTGGGGAAAATCTTAGAATTGATCAGAAAAGAAAACAACCAGAACAAAGTCTTTGTGTCCAGTGTGTGTCACTAGGCCAGCCTCATGCTCCATCTGCAGCTCTGTTAGTGGCTTCTGTGTCAGACCCAGCAGTCACTCATAGAGATTCCTGCAACCAAGGGAGGGACTTAGTCCACAGGTGCCCTCAGAGATAGGAAACACTTCATGGTTTTCTGTTTTTTGGGTTTTTTTAATTGTTGTTGGCTTCAAGTTGAAGCTCAGAGATCAGGAACAATATTGTCTCTTTCCTTTCCCCATCCTTGCCCCTCTGTTAATATCTGCCTGTTGATGTTAAGACTGCTAAATTACGACATTAAATTAAGATGTTAAGACATGAATTACTTCAGGTTTGGAAGGGACTTCTGTTTTGACTCAGCTTTTTTGAAAACACAGACTTGGCAAGCTTATTTAGTTATTTCGATATATGAATCCTCCTCATACTTTTTCTAACTTGTTTGCAATCCCTAAGAACGAGACCTTCATATTAAGGGTGAGGATCCTTGTTTCCTTGCCCTCTTTATGGTCATTTTGCTGCCCACCAAGCCTTGAGCCTGCCTCTTAAGGGCACAGTTGATTTGTAACCTAAGGCAGTATCCTAGGCTAAACTAAGGGATAGCCCTTTTTCCTGTTTCAGTTGAAATAGCCCTTGCTCACCTACATGTTAAGTAATAGAGCAAATTGTAATAAAGAATATTCTTTACAGATTAGTTTTGGTCAAGATGAGTCAATGTAAAGTCTATGAGTGTAGAATTTTGTGAGAAAATAGTTTTGGAATCTAAACAGATGTTCTGTCCTTCTGGTCTAATTAATAAGTACACAGGGGACTTCAGTCTCTTAATTAAGTGCCTCTAGAGCACTGTATCAGTGACGAGATGAACAACTCTCACCTCTTGGCCTAATGCTAATGTGGTTTAATCGGAGAATTCCCTCTGGCACACTGAAAAAATAGATTTTTATTAAAAAGATCGGTATTGAGTTTGCCTTTTAAGCACCAAAGTCTCTATTTCTTGTTAAAATTAGTTGAGAAACTTTGAAATACATTAGCATTTATTAACTAGATATAAGACAAATCTTTCTTAATTTTTGTTTCATAACAGAAGAGAAGATTCACAAAAAGTTAGAGGGGTCTCCCTCTCCAGAGGCAGAATTATCCCCTCCAGCAAAGGATCAAGTGGAAATGTATGTAAGATTGTATTCGGTAATAAAGTGTGCATTTGTTAAAATCAGATGAATAACTGCTACATGGTTTCCGTTTTCTGTTTGTCATCTTGTTTAGTTTCATTATATATAATGTAAGAAACATTTATCGAGCGCTTATATGCTTGACACTGAGAATTCAAAGGTGAAACAAGATGGTTCTGTCCTTGGTGTTCATATTCAATATTTGTGGAACAAATGAGTGAAACATAGAAGGTTATTATTTGCTAAGTCTATGTATGTACTATTACCTTTAATATTCACAACAGCCCTTTGAGACAGCTGTGAGAAATTAGGATTATCAGCCGGGCACAGTGGCTCATGTCAGTAATCCCAGCACTTTGGGAAGCCAAGGCAGGTGGATCACCTGAGGTCAGGAGTTTGAGACCAGCCTGGTCAACATGGTGAAACCCAGTCTCAAATATTAGTTGAGCATGGTGGTACATGCCTGTAATCCCAGCTACTCAGGAGACCGAGGCAGGAGAATTTCTGGAACCCGGGAGGCAGAGGTTGCAGTGAGCTGAGACTGTGCCATTGCACTCCAGCCTGGACGACAGAGCGAGACTCTGTCTTATTAAAAAAAAAAAAAAAAAAAAAAACAAGAAAGAAAAGAAATGATTATCCATGTTCACAAGCAAGAACACTGAGTTCCCACTGTTTACTGCAGAGGGAACATAGGCAATCCTTGACCTGCCAAACCTGCTTCCTAAAGATACTTTTATTTTTTTGTTCGTAAATAGTCTTAAAATAATCTGCATTATAAACAGACTTCCCTATTATACATTTTATTTTAATCTTTCGAACCTCTGAAACCTAAGAAAAAAATAGCATTTCCTTGGTTTGTATAGACCTGTATTATCCAGCACAGAAGCTGTAAGCCATGTGTGACTACTGAGCACTTGAAATGGGGCTGGTTCAAACCGTGATGTGCTGTCAGTGGACAATTCTCATTGGATTTCAAAGACTATATATAAAAAAAAGTAAAGTATTAAACATTTTAAAGTATTGATTACATGTTGAAATGATAATATCAGGAGTTTAGTTAAATATATTACTGGAGTGCATTTCACCTATTTCTTATGTTTTTAATGTGCCTACTAGAACACTTAAAATTACATATGAAGCTCAAAATATATTTCTGTTGGTCAACTCTGACATAGACTGAGAAAGAGAATCAAGTTCAGGCCCTTTGAAAACATGGCCTTTTACCACTTCATGTGTGACCTTGAGCATTGCCTCTGAAACAACAGTCCCCAGTAGCCAATGTGACTTTAAATTCTGCCCTTTGCAATCTGTTCTGCTCTGAAATCTTCAGTGGCCCCCAGTTTCCTAGCAAATCAAAAATACTTTCTCATTTTCAAGCCCCCTGAAACCAGCCTCCCTGGCTTTTTCTACGCTGCATTTCTGGTGATCACAGCTCTAGTTAGTTTTCCATTCTGTGAGCATAACATGTGTGTCTTGGTGTCCTCACACAGGCTCTCAGGCCTCACAGGTAGTACTCACTAAACTTGTGGAATAAATCTGGAATTTCAAGGCTCAGTTGTGGCCCACTTTAATTGTTGTAGGCCTCACCGACATCCTCTTTCTGAATACTTGAATGTGATCATTCCTACCCTTTCTGAGGGCCTGCTTCAATGCCAGGCAGTATGCTAGCAGTTACGTAAGAAGCTGCTGTTCCAACTCATTTTGCATATTAATTCCTTTACTCCTCACAACCCTGAGAGGTAAATATTACTAGCTCTATTTTGTAGGTGAGGAAACTGAGCTATGGAGAGGTTAAGTAACATGCCTAAGGTCACACAGCTAGTAAAGCAGGCAGAGCCAGGATTTGACCTCAGAGAATGTGGCTTCAGAGCTCATACTCTTGACTGATTGCTACCGAGCTTTTTAACCGCATATATTTTCAACGCTCACAATAACTTTGGGAGGTAAGTCATAGGATCACCATTTTGCAGTTGAGGAAATAGTCTGAAGCAGTAAATAATGAGCTTAAAGTCGCAAGCAATAGTGACTTAGCTGAGATTCAAATTCAGATAATGCTTACTGAAGAGACTGCATTCTTTCTTCTACTATTTGTCCTTTTTGACTTCTTAATTAAAATGCAAACTTTGAAGATAAAAACTGTCATCTTACATATTTTCTCAGTAATCTTACAGTGCGTATCACAGTGCTGAGCAAAATGGTGCTTGATGCATGGGACTAATCTTAAGCATATTTTACTGTATTATAAATTATTGTAAAGTTAATGATTCTTGGATGATGTGAATGTTGACACTACTAAAATGAAATATTCCATTCTTCTGGTTGGTAATGTTGTTTTACTGTATCTAAAAAATCTGCATACTCGTGTTTTGAAGTCTTTACTCTGTTTTTCAGGTACTATGAAGCATTTCCACCACTTTCTGAGAAACCAGTTTGCCTGCAAGAAATCATGACTGTGTGGAACAAGTCTAAAGTCTGTTCTTACTCTAGCTCTTCTTCATCATCCACAGCCCCACCAGCTAGCACAGATACTTCCTCTCCTAAGGACTGCAACAGTGAAAGTGAAGTCACCAAGGAAAGAAGCAGTGAAGTACCCACCACTGTGCATGAGAAAACCCAGAGCAAAAGCAAAAACGAGAAGGAAAACAAATTTAGTAATGGCACAATTGAAGAAAAGCCTGCTTTGTACAAAAAGCAAATCCGACATAAACCTGAAGGAAAGATTCGCCCTCGCTCGTGGTCTTCTGGCTCCAGTGAAGCAGGCTCAAGTTCCAGTGGGAATCAGGGAGAATTAAAAGCATCCATGAAGTATGTTAAAGTAAGACACAAGGCACGAGAGATTCGAAACAAAAAAGGGCGGAATGGGCAAAGCAGGCTTTCTTTGAAGCACGGTGAAAAGGCTGAAAGGAACATTCATACTGGAAGTAGTAGCAGTAGCAGCAGTGGTTCTGTCAAACAGCTGTGCAAGCGGGGTAAGAGACCTTTAAAAGAAATAGGGAGAAAAGATCCTGGGAGCACTGAAGGAAAAGACCTGTACATGGAGAATAGAAAGGACACAGAGTATAAAGAGGAGCCCTTGTGGTACACCGAGCCAATTGCTGAATATTTTGTTCCTCTGAGCAGAAAAAGTAAACTAGAGACCACATACCGAAACAGACAGGATACAAGTGATCTGACATCAGAGGCAGTGGAAGAATTGTCTGAATCAGTGCATGGTCTTTGTATCAGCAACAATAATCTTCATAAAACATACCTCGCAGCAGGTACTTTCATTGATGGTCATTTTGTAGAAATGCCTGCAGTTATAAATGAGGATATTGACCTCACTGGGACCTCATTATGTTCTCTACCAGAGGACAATAAATACCTGGATGATATTCATCTATCAGAATTAACGCACTTCTATGAAGTGGATATTGATCAATCCATGTTGGATCCTGGTGCCTCAGAAACAATGCAAGGAGAAAGTCGGATTTTGAATATGATTCGACAGAAAAGCAAAGAGAACACAGATTTTGAGGCAGAATGTTGCATAGTGTTAGATGGTATGGAGTTGCAAGGGGAACGTGCAATATGGACAGATTCTACCAGCTCCGTAGGTGCTGAGGGCTTATTCCTGCAGGACCTTGGCAATCTGGCTCAGTTTTGGGAGTGCTGTTCATCCAGCTCCGGTGATGCTGATGGGGAGAGTTTTGGAGGAGACTCTCCAGTTAGACTCTCTCCCATCTTAGACAGCACAGTGCTCAATTCACACCTGCTTGCTGGCAATCAAGAGCTCTTTTCAGATATTAATGAAGGATCTGGTATAAACTCTTGTTTTTCAGTGTTTGAAGTGCAATGCAGTAATTCTGTTTTACCATTTTCTTTTGAAACACTCAACTTGGGAAATGAAAATACAGATTCTAGTGCTAATATGCTTGGGAAAACACAGTCTAGATTGCTAATATGGACCAAAAATAGTGCCTTTGAAGAAAATGAACACTGTTCTAATCTTTCAACAAGAACTTGTAGTCCATGGTCCCATTCAGAAGAAACACGTTCAGACAATGAAACATTAAATATTCAGTTTGAAGAATCCACACAGTTTAATGCCGAAGATATTAATTATGTAGTTCCTAGAGTCTCGTCAAATTATGTAGATGAAGAACTTCTAGATTTTTTGCAAGATGAAACTTGCCAGCAAAACAGTAGAACTTTAGGTGAGATTCCTACATTAGTTTTCAAAAAAACATCTAAACTAGAATCCGTCTGTGGTATTCAGCTAGAACAAAAAACAGAAAACAAAAATTTTGAAACTACACAAGTATGTAATGAAAGTCCACATGGAGATGGCTACAGCTCAGGGGTTATTAAAGACATTTGGACAAAGATGGCAGACACAAATTCTGTGGCTACAGTAGAAATAGAAAGAACTGATGCTGAGTTGTTTTCGGCAGATGTAAATAACTACTGCTGCTGTCTAGATGCTGAAGCTGAACTGGAGACCCTTCAGGAGCCTGATAAGGCTGTGCGGAGGTCAGAGTACCATCTGTGGGAGGGACAGAAAGAGAGCCTGGAGAAAAGAGCATTTGCTTCTAGTGAGCTATCAAACGTGGATGGTGGTGATTATACAACACCCTCTAAACCCTGGGATGTAGCCCAAGATAAAGAAAACACATTCATTCTTGGAGGAGTTTATGGAGAACTCAAAACCTTCAATAGTGATGGGGAGTGGGCAGTCGTACCACCTAGTCACACAAAAGGAAGTCTGTTACAGTGTGCAGCTTCTGATGTTGTGACGATAGCTGGTACAGATGTCTTTATGACCCCAGGAAACAGTTTTGCTCCTGGGCACAGGCAGTTATGGAAACCCTTCGTGTCATTTGAACAGAATGATCAGCCGAAGAGTGGGGAAAATGGGTTAAATAAGGGATTTTCTTTTATCTTCCATGAAGACTTACTAGGAGCTTGTGGCAACTTTCAAGTCGAAGATCCTGGACTTGAATACTCATTTTCTTCCTTTGACTTAAGCAATCCATTTTCACAAGTTCTTCATGTAGAATGCTCATTTGAACCTGAAGGGATTGCATCTTTCAGCCCCAGTTTTAAACCGAAATCAATCCTCTGTTCTGATTCAGACAGTGAAGTGTTTCACCCCAGGATATGTGGTGTTGACAGAACACAATACAGGGCTATTCGGATCTCTCCTCGGACTCACTTTCGCCCAATTTCTGCATCCGAACTGTCCCCAGGAGGAGGAAGCGAGTCAGAATTTGAATCTGAGAAAGATGAAGCAAATATTCCCATTCCTTCTCAAGTTGATATATTTGAAGATCCGCAGGCAGATCTCAAACCTTTGGAAGAAGATGCAGAGAAAGAAGGCCATTACTATGGAAAATCAGAGCTTGAGTCTGGAAAATTCCTTCCCAGGTTAAAAAAATCTGGGATGGAAAAGAGTGCTCAGACATCACTGGATTCCCAGGAGGAATCAACTGGGATTCTTTCAGTAGGAAAGCAAAATCAGTGTTTGGAATGTAGCATGAATGAATCCCTGGAAATAGATTTAGAAAGCTCAGAAGCAAATTGTAAAATAATGGCACAATGCGAGGAAGAAATTAATAATTTTTGTGGTTGCAAAGCAGGTTGTCAGTTTCCTGCTTATGAAGATAATCCAGTTTCTTCGGGACAGCTGGAAGAGGTATGTGTCTGCGTGTTGGTATTTGACAAAAGGATTTGATCAGAGTTTAACCCAAGAACAGACATGCCAGTCAATGAAAGATAGGGTTAAATTATTGGGAAATTAGCTTAAATGTCTTAAAACTTAAATTGTTCTAATTTTACATGTAAGGACTTAAAATGGATTTGATATTTATGAATTTGAACTAGACAGTAGAGTTTTTCTGGAGAGAAAAAGCTTTTAAAAATCACAGGATGTAAGATTCCTATGTGTTGTCTTAAGATGCATGTTATTGGCCGGGTGCAGTGGCTCACGCCTGTAATCCCAGCACTTTGGGAGGCCGAAGTGGGTAGATCATTTGAGGTCAGGAGTTCAAGACCAGCTTGGCCAACATGGTGAGACCCCGTCTCTACTAAAAATACAAAAATTACCCAGGCGTGGTGGCAGGCACCTGTAATCCCAGCTCCTTGGGAGGCTGAGGCAGGAGAATCACTTGAACCCGAGAGGCAAAGGTTGCAGTGAGCCGAGATCGTGTTCTGTACTCCAGCCTGGGTGACAGGGTGAGACTCCATCTCAAAAAAAAAAAAAAAAAAAAAATACATGTATTATGCTTAAAGCAAAAACCTAACATGAAAGTGTTCTAACATTCAAAGTTGATGAATCAGGAAGTGGCTGCTATTAAAGTGTAGCAAACCTGTCTAACTGACTCTTAGAAGTTGATCACTTTATCAAAACTTGTGTTTTACATATAAAACAAATTATATCTCTATGGAGTTCTCAAAAATACATTGTGGTACATGTAGAAATTCACCCACAGCCCAAATGCAACAAAATTTCTTCTACAGAACCTATACAGATGTATCTTGCTTTATACAAAGTACATATTCCAGAAGCTGTGTGGATTATATGTTAAGGCTATGGAATGAGGATCACATTAAGTTGTGTTAATGAGAGTCATTGTACCTCTCCACTGTATGCCCAAGAAATGGCTTAAGGTTAAACTGATTGTACAAGAAATAACACTTAAGACAATAAACTGTTTCACAAAAAAAGCACAGCAGTCTGCCCATTTTTCCACTGTTTTCGATATGTGAGTGCCTAGCCTTTCTCCAGAAATAGTTTATTTAATTTTGTTTTTGTTTTTGTTTTGTTTTGGGGACAGAGTCTCGCTCTGTCGCCCAGGCTTGAGTGCAGTGGTGCGATCTCAGCTCACTGCAACCTCCACCTCCCAGGTTCAAGTGATTCTCCTGCCTCAGCCTCCCAAGTAGCTGGGATTAAAGGCATGCGCCACCACGCCCGGCTAATTATTTGTATTTTTAGTAGAGACGGGGTTTTACCAGGTTGGCCAGGCTGGTCTTGAACTCCTAACTTCAAGTGATCCACCTGCCTTGGCCTCCCAAAGTGTTGGGATTACAGGCGTGAGCCACCGCGTCCGGCCCAGCTTATTGAAAAAAAGAGATGGAGGTGTTTAGAAGCCATGCCACCTGTGGCCAGAGAGCAGATGAGTGTTGCACTTCCTCCCAACTGTCCTGCACACCCTACCCACCATTGCACATCCAAATCCTACCCATACCATGAGACTTATTTCATATACCACCTCCTTCACTGACACTTTCCCTAATTCCCTCTCTCCCCTGCTCCAGCCCCACTCTGCATCAGAATTAATTTTGCCCCTCTCTTAATTTTCATGCACTTTATGCCTCTTTTTGATTGCATTTTTCATTTCTCATGAGTTATTTATATCCTGGACTATAAGCTCCTTGTGGCTGTGGACCATGCCTTACTTATTTGTCGCATCAGAGTGCCCAGGTGTGGGACTGCTTGCCTGTGATTCTAGGAAGCCCCCAGGCGACTTGAGAGGCACTGCTCTAATCAGCTACCTAGAGACCCGTAGAGGATGAATTTAATCCCATTGAAACACTGCTAAGAAAAAACCCAATAATATTGTTAGCCTTTATCTGTTTGTTTATTGCCCCATTTTTCATCCTTAAATATTCCTTTATGTACTTTGTATTTCACCTGGTTCCAGATTGGGAAGAAAGAAAAAGAGGAAAGAAGCAAGATTCTACATCATACCACTACCATATTCCTTCGCTTTCTAGTATGTTGATGTATTTATGTGTTATCAGAATTCCGGGTTTCCTTGAAAGGTCTTAGCTGCCAAAAAAATTCCCAGAGGACATTTTGGGATTGTCTGATAGTTTAGATGTTGTCAGCACTGCTCTCTCGGCAGCATTGTTATACTTTAGAAGCCAGGTTGAAGCTTACTTCATAGATTCATCTGAGATGTGCAGGAGGCTGAGTGACCTGAAGGGACAGTTTGGGGCCAGCCTGGGACTAGAACCTGTATCTTTCTGTTCTGTCACATTGCTTGGTCAGTCTGAAAGGTGCTTTTAAGAGGATGTGCTTCCGGCCCTTTTCCTGAGTCAGTACAGTCTTTTCAGGAAGCAATCTGGGAGGCCTGTTTAAAGATCAGTAGAACCCCATCTGTTTCAGACTTAGATGATGAAAATGTAGGATTTCCGATAGAACTGGTGTCTAAGAGCATGAAAATAATATGATTATTTTCAAAAGTTTAGTTCAATTCAGCAAACATTTAGTGAGTACCTGTTTACATGCCTGTTGCTAAAGTAGGTGTCCTGGATGAATAAGACTTTGTCCTTGCCCATACAGAATTCAGCGTAGTGAAGATGACCAACTTGTACCATGTTACTTATTTTAACTGAAATAGGTAATTTATTCATATGGTTCAAATTCAGAAGTTACAAGTGTATGTGTACATACACAGTGAAAGGTTTCCTCCCCAGCGGCAACCACTAGTGTGAGTTCTGATGTATTCTCCAAGGATATTTTTTGCGCGTATTAACAAGTAAATGTTCACATGTATTTCTTCCTATTTTTTCTTTTTGCTGAAATGGTACTTTATTGTAATCACCCTTCCTTTTTTTATTTTCTGCACACTATTCCATCGTATGGATATACCGTAATCTACCTAGTCAGTTCTTTATGTTTTAGGGCATTTGACCAATGCAGTTTTAGGTGCTGTAGGTAGAATGGTGGAGGGGAGCACAGAATGCTGTGGGAACCTGCAGGAGAACCCTTCCAGCCTGTGAAGGTTGAGGAAGGTTTCTTGAGCATATCTGAGTGTCCAGAGTAGAAGGACGGAGGCAGGGCAGTCCAGGCAGAAGGAACAGCAGAAGCAAGGGTAAAGAGATTTGAATCTGCTGATGTGTGCAGGGCAGCTGTGAACAGGGATCTCACGGTCTCTGGAGTATAAGCCATACGGTTAAGAGTAGCACAGATGAAGCACAGTGTGCCTTGGTATCTGGACATACATTTGTGGTGAAAATGTTCTTGTCGTTTCTTTGGTTGCCAACTTAGTACCAAGCACCTTGAGGCACAGAAAATAAGCAAAAGGCTTACTTGCTGTCTTCAGGGAATTTCAGTCCACTCAGGAGAGGAGCTCACTGTGCTGTGGAGGTCAGCAGGTCTGGAGGGACAGGAAGGCTCTGATGAGTAAAGAAGGAGTGAGGGTCAGGGGTCATGCTGGTGATGTGCCACCCGGCACATCTATGTAGAGGCTTCTGTCACCACTATCCTACTGGATGCCCATGTAGACCTCATGCGGTAGGTTATTTTCCCCACTTCTAAAGACACATAGGCTCTGAGAGGTGAGACAGCTGCCCCAGATCCCAGTGTGGGGGACAGGCAAAGCATTTTCCACCACTCTGCACCTCTGTGAACTGAGGAAGACTTAGACCAGCAGTTCTGTGTCTCTTGTTTGTCTCTGTTGCACTCAGTATCTCTTCATTGATGTTTCATTTCTTCCTTCCCAGAGAACAAGGTACATGGAAGTCTTGCTTTTCCTGGTGTGACCCAAATGAGAGCTGATTGTGGCAAAGGGGCAAGATTCCCAGAGTAAAACTAAAACCAAGCACCTTTCTCTTTACCCAAACTAGGAGTATTCTGTGAGAATTTACAGCTGTGAAGCCTTTGTTTCCTTCACCCAGCTTCCACCTTCTAAAGAATTTCTCAATTTTACATCTGTTGCTAAAAACATTTCTGGTTAGGCTTTTTGGATTAAGTTTATGTCTTCTTTTCACTGTTTCATTCATTCATCAAGTATTTCTTATGTACCTGCTCGGCCAGGTACTATTCTTGGTGCTGGGAATAAGTAACAAAGCTCTTGGTGCTGGTGGAGTCACATCCCACCTTGGGGAGCTGACAATAAACATGTTAAGTTATATAGTGTGTTACAATATAAATGCTGTTGGAAAGGAGGATCGCTGGACGAGGGGCATTGGGTTTGGGAGTGATGGCAGGAGTTTGCTGTGTTATGGGCGGTGTGAGAGCAGGCTTCCTCGCCAAGGTGCAATTTAAGGAAATACTTAGAGGTAAGAGAGTGAGCTGAGAGGATGCCTGGCAGGAAAGGGAGGGCAGCACTGAGGCCGCTGCTGTGCCTGCCTGTCCATGACAGCGACCTTCTGATCCGCTTTCAGCTTCCTCCATTGTCTCTTCATTCTTTTCATTCCCAGCCACAGCAGAAGTTGAATTAATACATTCGATGATGTATTAGATGAATATAGCATGATCCAGCCTAAAAGTTATAAATGAGTGGAGAGATGTCATAACAAGATGCATATTCCTTGAATATGTTTAGTATAAAACGGGACAAATAAGTCCCTGCCATAGGAATTGACATTCAAATGGAGGATGCAGAAAAAAGACTCCCAAATTTATGGTAGAAACTGGTGTGCCCTTCACAGTGGTTTCAGCAAGAGAGAGAAGAAATGATGTATGAGATAGTCAGAGACTGTTGGCCTGGCGGAAACTTTTCTTCACGTCAGCAGACACTGAGTATCTGCTTTGTGCGGGGCCCCATACTTGGGAATGCAAAGATGAGGAAGACGTGGTCCCGCCCCTCAGGAAGCTTACAGTCGGGTTCTGCTGGGATCTAAACTCGTCTTGGTTCATGCTGCCCCTGCTCCCAGGTTCCTGGCCCCTCTAGCCTGCTTTCCCTGACCTGTCCCATCCCCCACCATGAACTCACTCCCTTTCTTGATCTTAATCCTCAAGAAAGGATGAAAAGATAAGCAGTGTATTTAAACTGATCATTCCTGCAAAGAGCTTTTTCTTTCTCAAATAAGAACCTGTTAACCTCTAAATCCACTTATCTTCAATAGCGCCTTAGGGAGGTGATGGAGAGAGTTCTGGCTGGGGCACCTTCCTTGCTCCCCCTGAGTAGCACTAAGTAATCTCACAGGACAGGCAAGGCCTTTCTGAAGAGGTCTTAGAGTGCAGGGAATTGCATGACAGGTGCTGTTAGCCACCTTGGAAGAACTGCAGGCCTTGCGTGGTGCCACCTTGTTTGCGGGAAGCCCAGCCCTGTCCATTCCCCTGGCCCTAGCATCTGTTTATCTAATAGCAGTACCAATTTTTATTGTTAGGATAAGTTGTAGGAGAAATTAGCAAAGGTTAACTGACTGCTGTGGGTAGACAGTACAATTCTTCTTCAGTTTCTGACTTAGGAGTGTTTCCGAAAAGTTAAGTGAAAACAAAAGTTTGAAGTGTTTCCCTTTTAGTTACATAACAGACACTCATTACGGAATTGAACAGTTTTAGACCCATAAATAATTAAGTTAAAAGCATAACAAAATCCTGTTAGGAAACTGATGAAAAATTTGTTTCTAAAACACTTTAGATTTTAAACTTGAACACGTAGTGAAATGTCTTTTAAAACAATGAAGATGGGTGCAGTGTTCACAGGCCTCTCCACTAAGCAGATGTCTACTGAGAACACAGTATTAGGGGATGTGGGTGGTAGAAAGATGCAGTGGCCAAGCCTCACCCTGGGCGAGCTGGGGCAGGCTCACTCTCTCAGGCACAGTGAGGAAGGCACACTGAAGGGGGTTGCCCTGACTGCCAGCATGCCAGGTATACATGGTGACTGAAGCTGCCACAGGTCTTCTATTGACCACACTACAAGGACTCTTCTTGGTCACTGATGACAGCTGTTGTCTGTCTGCCATTGGCCACACTATCCAGTTCTCACTGGCCAAGCAGGTGGGCGGGGCCCAGCCAGGACTTGAGAATCCCACTGGGAAAGGACAGAGCCTGGGTTCAGGCTAGGTCCCTCTTCTGGGCCTGGGCAGCTTCCAGATGTGAAGGATATGAGTCTCTCCCGCTCTCAGGAATCATTCTCTCATCTCATTTGGATGGCTATCTCCTATTTTAAATTTGAATCATGGAATTTGAATTTGTAATTTGGTTTTAGCCTTAGTTTCCTTCTGGTTCGCACCTAAGCAAGATAATTTTAAGACACTTAGGTCAATAACTGTGCCTATAAGAATTTCCTTTGGGCCAGGCATGGTGGCTCACGCCTGTAATCCCAGCACTTTGGGAGGCCAAGGCGGGCAGATCACCTGAGGTCACAAGTTCGAGACCAGCCTGGCCAACGTGGCAAAACCCTGTCTCTACTAAAAATACAAAAATTAGCCGGGGTGGTGGTACATGCCTGTAGTCCCAGCTACTCAGGAAGCTAAGGCACGAGAATCATTTGAACACTGGAGGCAGAAGTTGCAGTGAGCTGAGATCGTGCCACTGCACTCCAGCCTGGGTGACAGAGTGAGACTCTGTCTTGGAAAAAAAAAAAAAAGGAAGTTTCTTTGATTCCATTTCTTCTTTTACTTACTTCTGCCTGAATGTATGAGGGAGAAGAGGGTTCCCCCTGTTCTCTTCAGAGCACCTCATGCCAGTAAAGGCTCAGGGCTTCCCCATTACCTGTATGCACTTGGGGAATCTAGAAGTTTGCCTTGCTTGGGAGCGTTTTTATTACATTATATTTTGGGCTTGTAAGAGTTTTTTTAGTTAAGATTTTCATGTCGCTTCCCATCTAAGTACTTCTTAAGCAATACTTTCTTTATACACTGTGAACACGCTGGCTTTTAAAATGCACTTTTTTTCAGAACATTATAAAAACTCACCAGTTGGCTGGGCATGGTGGCTCATGCCTGTAATCCCAGTACTTTGGGAGGCCAAGCTTGGCAGATTGCTTGAGCCCAGGAGTTCGAGACCAGCCTGGCCAACATGGCGAAACCCCATTTCTACAAAAAGCACAAAAAATGAGCCAGACATGGTGGTTCCCGCCTGTAGTCCCAGCTACTTGCAAGGCTGAGGTGGAAGGATCACTTGAGCCCTGGAGGTGGAGGTTGCAGTGAGCCAAGATCGTGCCACTACACTCCAGCCTGAGTGACAGAGCCAGACCCTATCTCAAAAAGAAAGAAAGAAAAATCAAAAAACCTCACCAGTTTAAAAGTTCTGGGTTTATAATCTGTAGTTAATAATGCTTGAATATTCTTCCTCTAACCTGAAAGTTTATAAACTTTTTCTGTATTTGGTTTAATCTAAACAGTTCCCTGTATTGAACACTGATATACAAGGAATGAATAGAAGTCAAGAAAAACAGACCTGGTGGGAAAAAGCCTTGTACTCTCCTCTTTTTCCTGCATCAGAGTGTGAAGGTAAGGAGACCTTTGTTAGTTCATTTATTCATTGCAATTTGTAATTTGTTAAGAGCAATAATTTCTTTTTCTATGAATATCAGTCCAAGAAACATTTACCAAGAGGTTTCTGTGTGGGTAGCACTTTGTCATGCACTGGGGACACAGGGAGGAATGAGAACTGGGCCCTGCTCTGAAACAGCCACAATCTGATGGAGGGGAAAGGCATGGAAATATATCCAAGCGTTACTGACCATGGATGAGGTGTGTATAAGCCACCACTGAGTCACAGAGGAGGAAACAGCGGGCAGTCCCTGTGAAGAGAGTTGCCTGCACAGAGGCAGGAGGGTCGCCGCCAGGGGAAAGCACAGGGCTCCATGGCTCAGCTGAGTTGTAGCTGACGCGGGAGAGACAGACAGGGCAGGAGCCTGTCAGAAGGTTTGAGGGCTTGGCTAGGTTAGGTAGCGTCTGACATGCAGGAAGGGAATGCCGTTGACAGGATTTAAATTGGAGGTTGTCAAGGTCAGATGTTGTTTAGAACAATTCTAGTAACAGAGTGGAAATGGAATTGAAAAACTGAAGGCTATTGGCCAGGGTTTTAAGCCCTTGCAGTAGTTTGGGAGGCATACGCTAAAGGTCTGGACTGAGGCAATCAAAGCGGGGACAGAGAAAAGGAAACAGGACCGAGAGGTTTTGTAGAGGAGGAGTTTGTTGGATTACTTTCTATGAGGAGTAGTTATGGGAGTCTAGGTAGAGAGGGAGACAGGAGTGGGCGCTGATGCGGTGAGGAAGATTTTAGTTTAGGGTATTTTTTGAATGAGCAGTCTGTGAGGCCTTCCAGGTAGACACCCAGAAGTTGTTAAGAAACCCTGAATTGAAATTTTGGGAGAAGTAGGAACTAAGGATGCAACCAGAATTGATTAGCTCAAGAAGTTCAGCTTGTCCAGATTGTGGTCTCCTGGGCTTCTATTGGCTACCACATTTATTTAACACCAGTCTCCTGTCAGAGTCCCGAAGGGGTTATGCAAATCTCTTGCATTTAAATTTACGGGTTCACGTGTTTGTCACATCCCCTCAGCTAATTTGTAGTTAGTGTGGAGCCAAGTGACTTCTCTCTCACTAGCCACGATGCCCTGCACACGCCTGTGTTGTCCTCGGAAAGCCTCCCTGGCATCCCTCGGCAGCATGGGCTATAGCTGATGGGATGGAAGGCCAGCTTGGCCAGGTTGACTCTTTAGGAGTGGAGCGTTTGCTGTTCTCTGGTCTGTAGCCACAGACAGCTTCCCAGGACCCTGCCTTCCTCCTTCCCAGAGGTTCATCTGGGTCATAAGGAGAGCGTAGAGCTGAGTCTTCACTGTTAGCGTCTTCGTTGATTGAACAGCGTTTATTGAAGGCCCGTTGCTGCTGCCGCCCTACCATTAGCTCATATCTGGACAGCCTTGGTTGCGTGCAAGGTGCTCTCAAGCTTTTCTTTTACATAATTCCCACAAGAACCTTAGGAGATGCCCCCCGCTAGTTTTCAGATGAGGAAGCTGAGTCTCAAGTTTAGTACTGTAATTTGCCCGAAATCACACAGTTAACTATTAAGCATGGGCTAGAATGTAGGTTGTGATTCTTGTGGTCCAGAAGTTTTGCCCTCTACAGCAGCTGCCTGCACTTGGTACCAAGGTAGATGCCAGGGCAGTAGGAGTAGGACACACAGAGCTTCCCTTCATGTGTGTCCAGTCTGGTAAACTGGGCAAGTACAAGACACAGACACAGTTAATGGAATGAAGGTGGGATGTGGCCACAGCTGTGCCACAGAGGACCTCTCAGGAAGAGCTAGGAGGGAGAGGAGGATGCCACCTTGTGGAAAAGAACCAATTCCTTGCAGTGGCATAGGATGATTTTGAGACACAGAGTTCATGTTTCTTTAGTAAAGGGCAACCTTAGCACCCTTAGTCCAGTTTTCTGTCATTAGTTAGTAAAGAATCCAGTTTCACCTCTTAGCTCTAGGTTCCTGGTTATCTGTACAGTCTCTTAGTGGATACTGGTGTTTGTACATAATATTTTTGTTTTTACAGTGAAGTGGTATATAGAGAAACTCTCAGTGCATAAATACTGGTAATTATTTCTTTTGAATGACCTTTAGCTCACACTGTGAGTTAAGTCCCTGCATATTTGCCCTGTAGCATCATGAAGCATCCTTCTTTAGCTTATGTGGGTTGGGGCATTTAGTCTCAGAAGGATAGCCAAGAAAACAGGTAGTCACTTACCTACTCAGCAGAAGTGGCTGGGGACTCCTAATGCTTCTAATATTGGATATGATTCATCACAAGCAGTTGCTGCTCTGAGCCAGGGGCTGACCTGGGAGCTCACAGCATCTCTGGAAAGGAAGAGTAGCATTGTCCCCTTTACAGTAAGGCGAGGAAACAGGCTCAGAAAAGAGGCAGCTTGTTCAGGTAACCATATAAGAAAGCCCCAGCTTTGTGCAGTCTGCCCCCTGCTGGCCTTGCTGCGCATTCATATGTGCATCCCTTCAGCACTTGGGTTAGGCACTGTTCTAGACTTGGGAATGCATAGGCAAACAGATCGTGTCCCTGTCCTCCCCCTGCTCAGGTACCTTCTCAACAGGGACTTGAGGAAATAGGGCACAGACCATGTGACAGCTGGGGCTGCCTGCAGGGAGAGGTGCCAGGCAGCAGTGGCTTGTGCAGGGACAGGAATGCATTGGGTATGCCCCCAACATGACTGGCAAAGAAGGGATGGCATGGGAGTGTGGTGGGGATGAGGCCAGCCAGGCAGCTGGGAGCCAGACCACAGAGGGCCTTGTAGACTCTGTGCACCAGGAGTGCCGTCCCAAACAGCAGTCTC
The DNA here is from genome assembly GCF_000001405.40 of Homo sapiens. NCBI lineage: Eukaryota > Metazoa > Chordata > Mammalia > Primates > Hominidae > Homo > Homo sapiens. The sequence continues at coordinate 6,874,515 of NC_000004.12, forward strand.
CACAGCTCACGCCCCTGGATTTTCAGTGCTTTCAAGACTCGAGTAATGTAAGCGTCTGGATGATTTTAGCATTAAAGACAGAGAGTCCTGCAGGGAAGCAGTACAGACAGGTGGTGAAAGGCCCAGGATTGAGAACTGTATTGGAATCCAGAGCTTCTTTCCCCAGCTATTAGGCTTTGGGTGCTGACTGAGCCTTTCTGTGCCTCTGTAGTCTGTATGTATAAAAGGAGGCTAGAAGAATGCCCTCATTGTAAGGTAAAGTGCCTAGAACAGTGGCTGGCATGTCATAGCCCGAAACAGGGTGGTGGTCAACTTGAGCATCATGAAGACTATCAGCAGCAGTTCAGCATCACCTTTTCCAAATACCCTGTGGCACAATAAAACCCTCTTGTATGTACAGAATTCCTAAAGCAGGAAGAGAAAATGAAGGAGTGGGGTGTGGAGATGGGCCTGCCTGCCTCTGAGCTATCCTTGTCAAGGAAACCATGTCCTATCCACTCCATGCCCCTCAGCCAGTATAAGTGGTGGCCATATGGAGTGGGCCATGGAGTGAGAAGTCAGCCAAGGAAAAGATGCCTCCTTAGGAGAGATGAAGCCAGGGTTCCTCCCAGCCTCAGCAGAGGACACATGGCATCCTCCCCAGCCGCCCTAGGGCAACCACGCCTCCAAGCCTATGGCTTTGATAAGCAGCGGTCATGGGTGCAATGTGTGTGCCCGGCACTGTGCTTGAGGCTTCACCTCTTTGAATTTGCACAGAAATGTAGGAGGGAAAATGGTGATGTTCTCATCTTAGAGATGAGGATACTAGGGCTCAAAGAGGTTAAATAATTTGTGCAAAGTTACATCACAAGTAAATAGCATGACCTGGAATTGACTGAAGTCTGTCTAATCCCAGAGCCTGGGGTATTCTCATGAACCTCAACTAGTAACTTGGAGTTCTTGGAGCCGTCAGAGAGAACAGCTGTGGAGAGTCTTCCATGTGGCCAGTGCAGCTGCAGGAAGCAGCCCAGCAGGGCCCAGATGGTCTTACCCTTGGCACAGCCTCGCTACTCTGTGCCAAGGTAGAAGGGCGCAGCAGTCACTTGCTCCAGCCTTGTCCTTTGGGGTGTTGTGCAAGGGGCAGGCATGTCATCTCGTCAAACTACCTTGTGGCAACTCTGTGGCAGGGGATGGGGGGTGTGATCTGGTTTTGAGGAAGTAGATGCTCAAGGGTGTTAAAGGACTTAATGCACCATGAATGTCAATGCCAGAGTCCAAAACCCTGGCCAAGTTCCTCCTTTTACTCTGCACTGTGCCTCTGCCCCAGCTATGTTTCTCATGGAGGTAAGGGGAGTAAGAGGCTGTTCTGGATGAAGACCAGCAGTTCTCAGTGCATTAGAATTGCCTGGGAGCAAATCTGCTTTTCAGAAAGTGCCCAGCCCCTGCCCAGGACAGTTCATTTGGAATCTCTGGCAGGAGTCTAAGCCTCTCTAAAGCCCCCAGATGATGAGAATATGCAGCCAGGGTTGAGAACTACTGGGCTCGTTGGATTTGTTTGATATCTTCTCATCCCAGTTTTTTTCCCATTTTGTGGGGCCATTTGCCTGATGGAATCGCTAGCACCATTTCTTTTTCCTATTCATAGATGTGATACATGGTTCAGTATGTTGTTGAGGAAGAACACACAAGGACGTGACCCTGTGTCGTTTCTCCATTGCGTTCCCTTCTGTCTGAGCTTCCTTTGTTCCTCTGTCCTATGAACGTGCTATGATGCACCATCTGTCTCCTCCATCCATTTGTTGTGGAGAGCATGGGCCCTGTGGGTCTCTCTGTCGTGTGTTCCCAGGGCCGATCACATTACAGGTGTGAATAGAAGCTTGTCCAATGAGTGCCTCCTGGTAGAATAACAGGAGTGTATGGTTATGCTGGCCTATTTCTTTTTTTAACTCACCAAACCAAGAATTTTTTGTCAGCATAGCGTTTTTTTTCTCTTACACACCTGCCTGGCTGTGCTTTTAGTGACGACTTAAAACCTCCGAAGGGTTGGGAGACCTAACTGATGTAGCTTTTTAGTGAAAAATGAAACAAGAATGTATGTTTCATAACTGTGTCTTAATGGAATTTCCCCCTTTCCCTCTTTTCCCTTCTCCATTCCAAATGATTAAGAATGTTACACAAATGCCAAGGGAGAGAGTGGTTTAGAAGAATATCCAGATGCTAAAGAGACACCCAGTAATGAAGAGCGCCTGTTAGATTTTAATAGGGTAAGTGGACTGTCCTCCTCCTCGTCATTAACTTACAAACAGCCACCACCTCCAGTTGTCACTGTAGTCAAAAACCTGGGAGTCATGTGAGTGGACCCCACCTCTCCCAGGAACCAGCCAGGCCTGTGGGTGCAGACTTCCTGTTCTCTGGCCTTTGTTCTGAGTCTGCATTCTCCCCCGCTTCCAAACCCCCTTGACTGTTGACTGCCAGTGCTTCCTGAAGAATCCCCAGCTCTCTCCCCAGTCTTGGCTCTACACTACTGCCCGAGGGCATTGCATTACAAATGCAGAGCTGACCCTGTTGCTCCTTGGGTGGGCACACTTTTCATCTTTTTTTTTTTTGTTTACCTAATAAGTGGGAGACCTAGCCTTGTCCTCTTTGAAAGTGCACCCTGAGGCAGCCTTGCCAGTGTGCTTGTTGCCGCTGTCCCGGCTTCTGCAGAACGATCCCGCCCTTTCCGTGTCCTCCTGCACTCTGTGCACGACTCTTCTTGCTGTAGCCAGAGCATGTACTTGCGTTCCGTTTCTGCATGTCTGCCTCTTCCACAAGCCTGTGGGCACCACGAAGGCGGGAGCGGGGCCTCCGCCTGGTTTAGTCTCGTCTTAGACCTTCCCCGGTTAAGAGGCAGGCAGGCAAATGAACCTAAGGAAAATTCTTTTTATTTGGTGTGAATTGTCAGTGTATTAGGGTTCTCCAGAGGGACAGAACTAATGGAATAGGTATATATATACACAAAGGGGAGTTTATTAAGTATTAACTCACACGATCACAAGGTCCCACAATAGGCCATCTGCAAGCTGAGGAGGAAGGAGAGCCAGTCCCAGTCCCAGTCCCAAAACTGAAGAACTTGGAGTCCGATGTTCGAGGGCAGGAAGCATCCAGCATGGGAGAAGATGTAGGCTGGGAGGCTAGGCCAGTCTAGTCTTTTCACATTTTTCTGCCTGCTTTATATTCTAGCCACGCTGGCAGCTGACTAGATGGTGCCCACCCAGATGAAGGGTGGGTCTGCCTTTCCCAGCCCACTGGATCAAATGTTAATCTCCTTTGGCAACACCCCCACAGACACACCCAGGATCAGTACTTTGCATCCTTTAATCCAATCAAGTTGACACTCAGTATTAACCATAACAAGTCCACCCCTTGTCAATTTGAACCCATACACATCTCCTGAAATTATATGTAATCTTCAAATAAAGACAATAAGGTCATAATTATACCTAACATAATACAGCTATGCTTCATACAACCGGAAAAGCACCAATCCCAAACCCAAGTACTATTACATAGAGTTAACAATACTTAAATGCTGATATGAAGTCAATAAATCTTATGTCAGCCGGGCGCTGTGGCTCACGCTTGTAATCCCATCATTTTGGAAGGCCAAGGTGGGCAGATCACCTGAGGTCAGGAGTTCAAGACCAGCCTGGCCAACATGGCGAAACCCCATCTCTACTAAAAATACAAAAATTAGCCGGGCGTGATGGTGCACCCCTGTAATCCCAGCTACTTGGGAGGCTGAAGCTGGAGAATTGCTTGAACCCAGGAGGTAGAGATTGCAGTGAGCTGAGATCGCACCACTGCACTCCAGCCTGGGTGACAGAGCAAAACTCCATCATTCATTCATACATACATACATACATACATACATACATACATAAATATATACATACATAAATCTTGTGTCACATGATAAAGGACAAAAAATAAAATGAGATTTTCTTAGTACAAGTGTATACATGCACAAACGTGTTTTTAACGAAGGAGGAAATACTCCTCAAGACAATTACAGTCCTGGTTTCTGCACCTGGTCACATGGTCGTAGCTGGTATTGATGACTACCTTCTTCTACTACCCATTCTGTATTCCCTTTGCCTTCAGCAAGCACCTCAGCAGGTTGTGGTTTTTTCCCGGTGGAGTGACCTAAACCTTCATTCCTAAAGAGTCTGAGCCATTTGTATCCTGTCTGGACTGGGCTGTTGTAGTTTCCCGTTAACTTGAATCACACGGCATGTGATCAAGTTGACACTCAGTATTAACCATCTGTCAGTGTCCATTCAAGTCCTGTGAGAACTGTCTGCCCAAGCACCTGTAGCATCATCGTCCACGTCCTGCTGCCCACTGACCTGTCCGGCTCCACACATGAAGGCAGATGTTTGAGGCCCCCACCAGCTCTCTCCTCAGTGACTAGTTCACATCATCCCTCCAGCCTCAAACCCCAAACTGAGACATATTCCCCAGTCCTCTCTCTCATCTTCCACACACAGTCTGCCTGCCAGTCCTGACCGTTCCCCGCTGTCAGCCACTTCGCATCTCCCACTTCTCCTCCTCTCCATCATTACCACTTTGTTCAAGCCACTGTCCCTGCTCCTGAACAGCTGCCATGGTCTTTTCATTGTCCTTCCTGCTTTCGTCATCCTTTCCAGCCTTCTCTCCACACAGCAGACAGAATGACCTCACGAGCAGTATCTTGTTCAGTCCTCACAACGACCCTGTGAGGTAGGTACTGTTGTCATGCCTGTTCTGCAAAATAGGAAAGTGAAGCACAAAAACATCAGGCGCCGTGTATCCGAGGCCAGAGAGCCACAGCTTCAGTGTGGACCTGAACTCTGAACCTCAGCAGTCTGCCTCTAGGACCCATACTGCTAACCATGATGTCACTTTGCTGTTGCATTTGAGACAGATCCAAACTCCCCGCCACGCCTCTACAGCCCTGTATGTTTTGCCCCCGTCTGCCTTTGACCTCATCTGTCTCTGCTCTCCCCTTACTCTGTGTGGCTTTTCTGTGCTTCTGCCTCAGGGGTTCTCAACCAGGGGCAATGCTGCCATTTGGAAATGAGGTGGGAGTGCTGCTAGTTACTATGGCAGGGTGAGGGGAGCTTTGTAATGACTGTGACTGAGGAGGGGCCACCACTGCATCTCATGTCCTGGGGTCCAGAGATGCTGACCATCTGGTGTAGGGGAGACAGTCCGACACCACAGAGTGTTGGCACCTCTGCATGGCTGGCTTCTCAGCTGAGCGGGCCTCTTCTCCAAAGAACTCCCTTCCCAACACACCCATCTGCAGTGCCCCCCCTCACCATCTGTACTGTGTCACTGCAAACTCCCTTCCCAACACACAGGTCTGCAGTGTCCCCTCACCATCTGTACTGTGTCACTGCAAACTCCCTTCCCAACACACCCGTCTGCAGTGCCCCCTCACCATCTGTACTGTGTCACTGCAAACTCCCTTCCCAACACACAGGTCTGTAGTGTCGCCTCACCATCTGTACTGTGTCACTGCAAACTCCCTTCCCAACACAGAGGTCTGCAGTGTCCCCTCACCATCTGTACTGTGTCACTGCAAACTCCCTTCCCAACACACAGGTCTGTAGTGTCGCCTCACCATCTGTACTGTGTCACTGCAAACTCCCTTCCCAACACAGAGGTCTGCAGTGTCCCCTCACCATCTGTACTGTGTCACTGCAAACTCCCTTCCCAACACAGAGGTCTGCAGTGTCCCCTCACCATCTGTACTGTGTCACTGCAAACTCCCTTCCCAACACACAGGTCTGTAGTGTCGCCTCACCATCTGTACTGTGTCACTGCAAACTCCCTTCCCAACACACCCGTCTGCAGTGCCCCCCTCACCATCGGTACTGTGTCACTGCAACTGGCACATGTTGGTTTGCTCGTTCATCTCCCCAGCGAGCCTGGCATGCGCCTTCCACTGCTGGAGTCCCTGTGCCCAGTAAAGTTCCTGGTGCATAGCAGGTACTCAAAGACTTTGAAAATGAAATAATTCTTTATCCTACCCTAACATGGCTAACATTTTGTCCAAGTGACTGAACATGTGGAATTAGGATTTTGGATCCTTCATGGATCAGAGAAGAGAGGCGGTTTTGCTCTGAAACAGTAAAACTCTGCATGTTTGTAACTCCACAGGAAAACACTGATGATTTATTATTTCTTCTTTGTATATAGATAGAGTATCTCACCCTTTTGGGGAAAAAAAAGTCTTTTTGATGTGTTGAAAATTGTTTTAATCTTAGGTGTCTTCTGTTTATGAAGCAAGATGTACAGGAGAGAGAGATTCTGGAGCAAAGTCAGATGGCTTCCGCGGAAAGATGTGCTCCAGCGCCAGCTCCACCTCGGAAGAGACAGGCTCAGAAGGCGGAGGCGAGTGGGTGGGCCCTAGTGAAGAGGAGCTCTTTTCTCGAACTCATCTCTAAACCTGCAAAATAGTACAAATTATTGTTTAAAAATGATATGTGATGGAAAATTACTCTTCAGTGAGACCTGTTAATCTAAAACAACAACTTAGGTTTCCTCTTCAATTAACTGATTCAGATTGGTAATAATTATCTTTCTCTTCTTGCTTATTTTAGAGTTGAGGACAGCTATCCTGTTAAAGATTTTTTTTCCCAGCTGTTAAATTCTTGGCTATTTGAAATAGACTAGATTGTGTTGTCAAATCAAGAATGGGTGTGCATGTGCTTGTCTTAGAAGTATCACTGCTTTTTGCATCTTAACTGCAGTTAATTTTCCTTCCGACTGCGGTTATATCACTATGACCTTACTAGCATTGCAGTGTCAACAACCACTTCTGCTCTTCAGAGACTTCAGCTTTGGAGCATTTAGGCTTTGTTCTCCAAGAACTGGGATATCCATTCTTACCCTACAGTGGCTTGATGCCTTTCTGAAGGCGAGAGGGAAGCCTGGGTGACTCAGCGGTGGTCTCCATTCAGCAAAATCTCATGTACATTTCCAGTAGGAACCGCAGAGGTGTGCTTTTCAAGACTCACCAAATACTGTGTTTTCTCTCTTAGGATTTCTTTTCCCCTAAAGTATCACGGAAGATACTATGGTTCGTGACTTTCTTGCTAACTGAAGAAGCCAAGGATTTGGGGTGTGGGGTCGTATGCGAGACACAGTGGGGTAAGGGTGCATACCCCACCCCTTACCTGCTCTCATACTGCAGTTACATTTACACCAAAACCCCATGCAGGGTTCTTTGTGGTGAGTGTTCCATACGTGCTAAGGACCTTAGTTACAGATTGTTACTTTCTGGTGACCTATGTTGAATTGAAACCCCCAAAACTTGAAATTGTGAACATTTGACATGCAGTAAAGGCCACCTCATCACCCAGAGAAATCTTTGGCTGCTGCAGCTAGCCGCTTCTTGGCTGTGATGTAGTATAGCTTCGATCTCATTTTGTGTTTGAGAGAATGTTCTGGGCAAGTTCTGTGTGTGGTGGGTTGGGGCGGGTAGAGTCATGAGTTTTCCACATCCCTGTGTGGTGGTTTTGCTGACTGTCGCTCCGTGGGACTGGCTCCCGTTTCTCCTTGGTGAGCCCGGGGAGCCGGCGCATCTTGTGAGTCGCGTCTGTGCATGGCGATCCGCTCCTCCGGCTCTCATGGCATTGTGCCACAGGCAGAGGCCAGGAGGAGCAGTATGTGCACAGCCGAAACATTTTACATTTTTTACATTGTTTTTCTTTTTTAACCAACTCATTGTTTAAAAAACAAAAACAAAAAAAACCTAATCTGTGAAATCAGCGTAGCATGCCTGGAGCATCAGGAATGGCAGAAAAGTCTGATGCGCTCTAGACAGCTTCACCACTCATTTGGGCAGGCAGTAAACACACATATAATTTATTAGCTGGGAGCTGAACTGGCTGTGAAATCTATGATTTGCTTTGAACATTTGGGTTTTGTTGCCTTTTTCTTAATTGATAACACAGAAAAGAAAGTACCATCAAAGACTGTGGAGTCATTGAGGGTCTGTGTGTCCTCACCGAGAGGGACCTGGTGTGCCCGCCGGGTCGATCTTCCCACGTGTTAGGGTTTATTTTTATACAACACATTTTTTGACACTTTAAGGTGGGTGGGTGTGTGTGTGTGTGTGTGTGTGCGCGCGTGCGCGCGCGCATGTGTAAGGTTTTATGTTGCTGTTATTTATTTACGAACTTCAGATACGTTTTTATGTATTTTTCATTCTTCTGGAGCTTCCTAAAAATTGATAAGCATCTGCACTGAAATATAATTTAACAGCAAAAGTAAAAAAGGATTGAAAGTTGTAAATTCCTCATATCACTACAGTGACGATTATTCTAGAAATCGTTGCTTGTGTAGCAAAGACCAAATAAATAGATTTCAGACACAACCTTGAGCACAGTTGATTTTGGACAGCTGCTGTTTATTAGGAAAGGGCTCCAGGTGGCAAAGGTGCACACTTCCTCAGACACAGGTGAGAAGATGCAGCACCTTCCACAGGTGAATGGGACGGATTCGAAGTGAGCAAAGGGATTCACAAATTATGTATTTATTTGTTTTCATAGTTAAGTAGCTGAAGCTCAGAGGCTTTCAGCAACAGAGATGAAAGTGTGGCTTTTTAGTTTTGTGAATGGATGATCACAAAGAAAAAGCATTTTTAAAAAGTTGGCAAACGCTGAAACGCACTGTGGTATGAAGCGCATTGCATTTCCATAGCACTGAAGTACCAGTTTCCATTCCTGGGCTGAGATTGTTTTTCCCGTGGTTGTATTGTTCTGATTTCACGTACACCAGAGTAACTGATTTTTTTTTGTTTGTTTTCTTGTGGAGTTAACACCAAATAAAAATTGTAAAAAACAGTTTGTTGTTTTTATTTCTCATAGCAAAGCTTCTTTTGTAAAGAACTCCAGCTTCCTTTTACTCATGAGCATCCGTGGAAGAGCAAGTGCCCAGGTTACATTTGTTCTAGATGGAGGTCATTTAGCTCTCATTGCAGACACTGCTGAAAACATTGTGCAGCTTTGCTAGGGAAGAAAGTGGTGTGGCCTGCTGAGAAATCAGCGGCTCCTCCCCATCTCACCCCCAGCACACGCAGGGACTACTACCTGAGTCTGCAAAACACATAGCATTTTTGTCCGTGGATGGTACACAAAGCTCAATCTTTTTGTTTTCTTCTGGGGAAAAAATTAAATCTTTATATGTTAATATGATTGATATTCATTGTGCAAAAAAAATCAGTGTGTTTTTAAAGAAGTATAAGGGAAAAGGAAAACTCATATGTCCTTCTGTCACTCTGAGACATACACTGGTAACATCTGTGCAAGCCCCTTTCCAGGATTCTGAATGTACAGTATATATGAATGCATACACAGAGAAATTTACATTCAAGAGTGTACTATACTTGTTCTTCTATAACATCAGAAATAGGTTTTTACTCAGATGTCTTCATGTCGGTAATTATAGAACTACATAATTATTTTTATAGCTGTATTATGTAGATTTAACAGGTTCCTCATTGATAAAACAATGTTTTTTTGGTTGTTTATTCAGTATCTGAATAACGTTTCTATGGACATCTGTAAACATGTATGAGGGGACTTTTAAAAGTTCATGGAAAATGGAATTAAAAGAAAAATAAAAAAATATAAACTTTATTTCTCAACATAAGTTCCATCAAGTTCAAGATACTACTATAAGACATAATACCAACCATTCAGTCTATCCCTAAAGAACTGAGGCTCCTGGAAATTTCACCTTGTCAGTGTAGTCTCTGCATTGTGAACTGAAGAGAAATGGGTGCCCTTTACAGCTTTTTAAGATTAGGAAACAAAAAGTCAGAAGAAGCCCAATCAGGACTGCAAAGTGGATGCCTGATGATTTCCCATCAAAACTCTTGGAAAATGGCTCTCGTTTGCTGAGAGGAATGAGCAGGAGGAGCACTGTCATGGTGGAAAAGGGCTCTGGTGAAACTTTCCTAGGCATTGTTCTGCCACAGCTTTGGCTAACTTTCTCAAAACACTCGTCATAAGCAGATGTTAACATTCTTTGGGCATCTGGAAAGTCAGCACATACACAGTGCTTTGAGCATCCCAGAAAATGGTTGCCTGGCCTCTGCTTTTGACCAGTCTGCATTTGCTATGAGGAGACCCCTCCCACCTCTCGGTAGCCAGTGCTGTGATCACAATCACATTGTCTTCAGGATTGTGCTGGTAAAGCCATGTTCCATCTCCTGTTACAGTTCTCAGAGGAAATGCTTTAGGATGTTGATTCCTCTTGTTGAAAGTTTCCCCTGAAAGCTCTGCTGCTGTCTCCAGCTGATCTGAGTGCAGTGGTTTGGTAGCCATTGAGTGGCAAGTTTGCTCAACGTTAATTTTTCAGTCAGATCGTGTAAGCTGAACCATCTGAGGTGTCTGTGGTGTTGGGTGTTGTTTCTGCTGTTAATCATTGGTCCTCTTTGATTCAGGCATGAATAAGATTAATTTTTTCCTCACAAATTGATGAGGAGGTCTTCACCATTGTCTCATCCCTTCTTAAAACAAGTTACCCATTGGCAAACCTCTGATTTTGGCTGGGGGCGGGGCATTGTCCCCATAAGCTTTTTTGTAAAAAAATCATTGATTTTGGGCCAGGTGTGGTGGCTCACGCTTGTATTCCTAGCACTTTGGGAGGCTGAGGTGGGTGGATCACGAGGTCAGGAGATCGAGACCATCCTGGCCAACATGGTGAAACCCTGTCTTTATTAAAAATACAAAAAAATTAGCCAGGCGTGGTGGCATGTGCCTGTAGTCCCAGCTACTCAGGAGGCTGAGGCAAGAGAATTGCTTGAACCTGAGAGGCGGAAGCTGCAGTGAGCCGAGATCACGCCACTGCACTCCAGCCTGGGCAACAGAGCGAGACTCTGTCTCAGGAAAAAAAAAAAAAAAAATCACTGATCTCACCATTCTTCCACCCAAGCATCACCATAAATTTGATGTCCTTGCTTCCATTTTTAGCAGAATTCATGTTGCTCTGATAGGTGCTCTTTTCAAACAGTCATACCCTTCTTAGTGCCTCAAAGTAGATCTTAAGACATGTTATAACAAGTTAGTACAAGTTTATTTTGGTGCAAAAAATTTTTGAAATCTGTGCATAGCTCCTTTTTGGAGACAGTCTCACTGTGTCACCTAGGCTGGAGTGCAGTGGCATGATCACTGTCATCTCAAACTCCTGGGCCTAGTGATCCTCCTGCCTCAGCCTCCCTAATAGCTGGGACTATAAGCACACCTCACCATGCCCAGCTCATTTTTTAATTTTTTGTAGGAACAGGGTTGCCCAGGCTGGTCTCAATTACTTGGCCTCAATCCATCCTCCTCACCTCAGCCTCCCAAAGTGCTGGGATTACAGGCCTGAGCCATTGCACCTGGCAATAGCACAGGCCCTAAAGGATGTAGTTGGCCCACCCCCCAACACCATTTTTAAAGTCCTTACCCCACCGATTTGCAGGAGTGCAGTGATGTCATCTCGGTTCACTGCAGCCTCCACCTCCCGGAGCTCAGGCAGTCCTCCCCTCTCGGGCCAGGAATTCTGACACCACAGCTAAGTATTTTTAGAACAGCCCGGGGTGGAGTGTAAAGGCTTCTGCCTTTTTCACTGAAAGTGCTCTGGCCACTGCCCTGTGTGCCTGCTGCTGCTGCCACTACAGATGCCACTCTGGCCATGAGTGGCTGTGGCAGTGCCCAGGAGGCCTGCATCTACCAGCAGTCCAGGAACAGAAAGGAAGCCCCTGCCCCTGGTTCCTCTTGAAAGCAGCCAGTCGGATGGCGTCACAAGCTGGCCACTGTTGTGAACGCAGAGATTAGGAAATGAGCTGTCGTTTCAGAGCCCGCTGCTAGCCTTGTGCCACTGGTGTGGTTAATTAATAGCATGTTCAGGGACGGTTGCCTCAATTATCAAGCTGGTAATGATGCTGCCACCTAACGTTTGGTTGGCGTTGCTATTGTCTGTGCTAGTCATAGTCAACAGCTGACACTGAGGGCTTACTGGCTGCCACGCATTCTAAGCGCTCTTGAGTGTTAACTAGCAACCCTATGAGGGAGCTACAGCTGCTCTGTTTTACAGATGAGTAAACTGAGGCACAATGGGGCATTAGGCACTTGCAGTCTCACACTTGGTGGATGCTGGAGCCCGAATTCACCTTGGGCACTGACTGCAGAGTCCATTTAACACTGAAACCTCCATCTCACAAAATCCCACTCATTAAGTTACGTATTGTCTCTGGGCACGGTGGCTCATGCCTGTTAACCCAGCACTTTGGGAGGCCAAGGTGGGCGGATCACCTGAGGTCAGGAGTTCCGAGACCAACCTGGCCAACATGGTGAAACCCCGTCTCTACTAAAACTACAAAAATTAGCCAGGCATAATGACAGGCGCCTGTAATCCCAGCTACTCCGGAGGCTGAGGCAGGAGAATCACTTGAACCCGGGAGGCAGAGGTTGTGGTGATCTGAGATCGCGCCACTGCACTCCAGCCTGGGTGACAGCAAGACTCCGTCTCAAAAAAAAAAGTTATGTATTGTCTGCGTACTTGCAGGGAGTCCTGCTGTGTCAGCCCCGGCTGTGTGTCCTTGGGCGAGTTACTCAGTCTCACACGTTGGTATCTTTAGATGTAAATGGAGATCATAACTGGACCTCTCTCCTAAGGGTTGGTTATAAACATAAAATAGTCCATCTGCATAAATACTAGAGTGCAAACTAAAAAGTACCTGAGACAGACCTCAATTAATTTAGAAGTGTATTTTGCCAAGACTCAGGACACACCTGAGAGAGAGAGGTCTGTGCCTTTCTCCAAAGATGATTTTGAGAGCTTCTGTATTTAAAGGGGAAAAGTGGGCTGGAGGGGGAAGGGGGAGGGTGTGGTCACACGACTGAATCCACAGGTTGCGAGAGAAAAGGAGCAGGTAGGGGAGTAGTCAATTAGGTATTTGACTTGTACGCACTAAATCCTCACTTTACGTAAGATACAGTGAACACAGAGTAGCTACCTGTGGAGATAGCTGGCCTTTTTGTTTTGTTTTGTTTTTTGGACAGGATCTCACGCTTACCCAGGATGGAGTGCAGTGGCGTGATCTCGATCTTGGCTCACTGCAGCCTCAGCCTCCCGAGTAGCTGGAACCACAGGTGTGCGCCACCACACCCAGCTAATTTTTGTATTTTTTGTAGACAGAGGTTTCACCATGCTGCCCAGGCTGGCCGTGAATTCTTGGGCTCAAGCAATGCTTCCACCTCGGCCTTTCAAAGTGCTGGGATTACAGTCGTGAAGCCACCGTGCCTGGCCTGTCTGGCCCTTTCGCTGTAGCTATCTGCTTAAGAACATAAGGAAACGCAGCTTCTTGCATGAGTCTATTCTCATCTTAAGTATTTCCTTTTAGCACAGTGAATTACGGTCCCACGTTTTTATTTTCCTTTCACACTGGACTCAAAAAAAGCAAAAACGGAAATGCAAAAGAGAAGTTGCAGCACTGAGTCCAGTAACTAAGGAGACAGTTGCCTCTTTGCAGGCGGTCTCTCACTCCCTGCCCTCCCCCCTGTGCTAGCAGAGCCCTTTAAGGGCCCTTGTTGGATCTGCAGCTCCAGGCCTGCCTAGTCAGCGGGGGTCAGCAGGGGTCAGCCCCACAGAGGCCATTCATCCTTGAGTGCTGACCACAGTGCTGTCACCATGATCTCGCCCTGAAGGGAGGTCACGCTATCCCTTCGACACAGGAGACCAACTCCTTTGGCTGTCCTTGGCTCCCAGTGGTGGCTGAACCAGAGGGCAGGGGCCAGGGCAGCAGCAGAGCCAAGTGTGCCCACTGGGGCCGAGGGCTCTGGCCACCACGTCCGTTGGGGAGGATGGTGGGGAGGGCCCTGGCCTTGCAGCGAGGGGGCAGGCACACGGTCTCCCACTTCCTATCACAGTCCAGGGGTGGGGAGGACCCCACCCTCTGGCCCTGTCACAGGTGGGGACAGTGACCCTCCCCTTCCAGGTGAGGCTACATTTTGAGGCTGAGGAGCACACGAAATGCTGGTCCTCAGCAGCGCTAAGGCCAGGAGCCCCTGATGTGTGAGTTTGTGTGGGGATGTTGCCCCTGAGGAGGGGTGATAGGAAGAGCCCCCTCCTCGTGAGCTGTGACCCTGAGCCAGTGGCTCTCTCAACTGTGAGATGGGGACCCTTCTCCCTCCCAGGGCTAGGGGAGGAGAACTGGCAGGCAAAGTGTCCGCTCATTTCCCTGAATAGAATACAGGCTCCCTCCTGAGGGTTTCTTGCCGTCCCCACGTGGTCCCTCCCAGCCCTCACAGTGGGCACCAGCAGTGCTGTCCCTCCTGCCCGGGGCCCTAGAGGGAGGAGGAAGACGTGAGTCCTGGGACTGGGCAGGGAGACAGGTCAGTCCCCGCTCCACGAGTTCCTGGAGCCCTCGGGTCTACCCTGCTCTGACCGAGCTGCTATGGGTAGAGCAGATCTACCTACGGCCCATCATCTCTGCGTCTTTCCCAGCAGTCTCAGGGTGTCTGTCACCGAGGCTGAGAACCCAAAGTTCTGGCCCAGGAGCACCCGGCAGAGGTGTGAGCCGGGGTCTGCCGATGGCTCATCTGATTCCCAAGTGCAGTGCTGCTTTCCCACTACCGTGGCCTCCACAAACCAGCGCTGTGCCCCCGCTACCGCCGCCACTCCCAGGGGGCCAAGTCCCACACCTTCAGACCCTCAAGACGGGAGCCGGAAGCCACCGCGGAACTAAAGTCTGGGAACCCCCCTTGGGGCGCTCAGGATTCACCCGCGCATGTGGCTGGGCACAGGCCTGTCCTCCAGGAGACTGCAGGCTGGGGACCCAAGGGTGACACCACAGGCTGCCCGCGCTTTGTGCGCAAAGCCAGGAGCGCTCTTCAGTGAAGTGGAGGCGGCACTGCGAGAACCCCGGACTGGGCGCTGCGACCGCAGACTCAAGGTCGCGGCGCCTCAGGGATCACTGGGGGCTTGAGTGAGCCCTGACCCTCTCCTGGGCCTTCCTATGCAGCGAGGGGCCGGACCCTGTGGTGCCTGAGGGCATTGTTTGTGGCTCTACTCTAGATCCGATTCCTGGTGATCACATATGTCAAACGTAACCACTTCGACCTCCCACAAACTGCCAGCTGCGAGCCCCTGATAACAGAAGTGGCCGCACTCGCCGGAGCTCCCTCCCTGGCCTGCCTGGCACACGCTGGTGGCTTTCCCCGGGCTCTCTGCTCAGGCCTTACCACCACCCTAGACTGAGGGACGGGGGAATTGCTCAGACAGACTAGGGACTCTGCGAGGGTGACAAAACGAACTTGCAGGTCCTGGCTGTTAGCTAGAGCATTGCACTGCATTCCTGCGGGTGGTCGCTGCCCCCATGCCCTCACTGATCTTAGTGCCACACCCCTCGCCTGGAGGTCCTGCTGCAGCCCTTGCTGCCCCATAAGACCTTACCAGGGATACGGGGTGAGCCCGGCCCCTCTCTGCCATGACGCACGGGTGTTCTGCAGACACCTCGAGGGAGCCTTTGCTGCTCACTTCCCTGCCTCTCCTTCCCCAGCCCCACCACCCACCTGCCGCTGCCTCTTCCCAAGCTGGGGAGGAAGTGGAGAACCTGGGCCTCTGAGTGACTGACTTCCTCCTACAGAACTCAATTCCTCCACCTGCAGACGGTTTCCCGCCTCTTCCCAGGGTTGGTGGCATCACCCACTGGAGCAGGAGGCCTCGTTTTCCTACTGACCTGTGCCCTGACCTTCCAGAGTCAACACAGTGGGAATGGAGACAGCTTGGGGTTGTTTGTGATATGGTTTGACTCTGTGTCCCCACCCAAATCTCATGTTGAATTGTGATCCCCAGCGTTGGATGTGGGGCCGGTGGGAGGTGATTGGGCCTTGGGGGTGGTCTCTAATGGTTTAGCACCATCCAGCACCCTAGTGCTGTTTTGTGATAGAGTTCTCAGGAGATCTGGTTGTTTGAAAGTGTGTAGCACCTCCCCCTTCACTGTCTCTCCTGCTGGCCATGTGAAGATGTACCTGCTTCCCCTTCACCTTCTGCCATGACTGTAAGTTTCCTGAGGCCTTCCCAGCCATGCTTCCCGTACAGCCTGCAGAACTGTGAGTCAATTAAGCCTCTTTTTTTTTTCATAAATTACCCAGTCTCAGTTATATCTTTATAGCAGTGTGAAATGGACTAATACAGGGTGTCTTCATGTTGGCATTAACCTGCTAATTAGGAAGAAAAAGAAGTCTCTGGGTCTTGGTCTCCCCAACTGCAAAATTTGTGGATGGGCCACTGCCATTTCAGAGAGGCCTCCCTCAGCAAGGACAGAGTGAAAGTTTGTGGGGTGGTTTCTGGGCTGGGGCACTGGGCCTGTCAACTGGTGGCATCCAGCGTTTATGGAACAAATGATGCTGGTACCCAGGGATGCCCTGGGACTCCTCCCACCTGGGGTGAAAGTCATTCAAACAATGAGGGGATGCCCCCCAAATTCAACAGAGTGCCACCCTGTATTAGGCCATTCTCACACTGCTACAAAAAAAATACCTGAGACTGGGTAATTTATAAAGAAAAAAAGGCTTAACTGGCTCATAGTTCCACAGGCTCTACAGGAAGCATGATGCCGGCATCTGCTCGGCTTTTGGGGAGGCCTCAGGAAGCTTCCAATCATGGCAGAAGGGGAAGGGGAAGCAGGCATGTCTTTTTTTTCGAGACAGAGTTTCGCTCTTGTCACCCAGGCTGGAGTACAGTGGCATGATCTCAGCTCACCGCAACCTCCGCCTCCTGGGTTCAAGCGATTCTTCTGCCTCAGCCTCCTGAGTAGCCGGAATTGCAGGCATGTGCCACCACGCCTGGCTAATTTTTGTATTTTTAGTAGAGATGGGGTTTCTCCATATTGGTCAGGCTGGTCTCAAACTCCCGACCTCAGGTGACCCGCCTGCCTCGGCCTCCCAAAGTGCTAGGATTACAGGCATGAGCCACCGTGCCCAGCCTAAAGCAGGCATGTCTTACGTGGCCGGAGCAGGAGGAAGTGGGGGCAGGGGATGTGCCACACACTTTTCAACAACCGGCTGGCACTAGAACTCACTATTGCAGAGATGGCACCAAGCCACGAGGGATCCACCTCCATGACCCAAACGCCTCCCATCAGGCCCCACCTGCAAGATTGGGGATTACAATTCAACAAGAGATTTGGGCAGGAACAAAATGTCCAAACTCTATCATAGTCCAAGGGTTGTGTTACTAAGGTTTACTTTCAGCTTGTTGACTAGGCAGCAAGGAGTTCCATGGCCCAGTTTGAAAGTATTTAGAAGAATGAGGTAGTCACCGTAGCCCCTCTCCAGGGTTAGGCCCCAAGCTGTTACATACAGGGTTTGGAAACTTTTATTCAATAACATATATCAAGGACCTACTACGTACTAGGCCCTAACCCTGATGCTGGTAATACATTTTATTTTTCTGAATCAGTCACCCTCCCTCAGCTCTAGTTCTCTGGCAATGATAGCATCACAACTTCCTCTTTAACCTCTCCTAGATAAACTCCAGAGGGCCTCCCCAGCCTGCCTGCTGCACCCTCTTTCTCCACTTTTCAGGAGTTTGAGGGATTTGGGCTGAAGCCCCACTCTCTGCATGAGAAGATGTGTCATTATCTTGCCCCCAAATTCCCCAGCCTGGTGGCCCCCCAGGAGCCTCATGAAGTCAGCAGGCCGCTCCCGGCTCTGTCCTGACCAGCAGCGTGGGGCAGGGTGGGCAAGGAGGGAGGCACAGTCAGGGTTTATACACTCAGGGTGCAGCCCTTCCTGCAGAATAAGTGACGCGTTTCATCTGGAGGAGACACAGAAGGGTCCGTTTCCACCCCATGACTCTGCAGATGCGCCACTGACAGTGTGTGGTTTCCTTCTTGGCAGCGTCCAGCTCTCCGGCAAGTGGCTGCAGATCAAAGAAAGCAGCGGAAACCTCTAGGGGACACAGCCTCCCAGGGACTGTGAAGCTGAACAGGGCGTGGCGGGAGGAGCCCTGGCTGACAGAAATGCACCCCCTCCCCTTTTCCAGGGTCAAGCCCCACTCCCAGCCCTGTGGGAGGAGGGAGCAGGAAGAACCCAGTGTGTGGCGCCAGAGTGCCTGGCTCGAAATTAATCCTGGTTCCCACTGTGTGGCCTTCGGCAGGTCATTCGCCCTCTGCAAGCCACCCTTTTCTCCTCTGTAAAACTGGAGTTTTAGCACCCGGGACTGAGGGGCCTGGCACACATGGGTGCTCCACAGGTGCCAGTTTCTTCCTCGGTGCCCCCTAAAATCAGCTGCTCAAGCCATACCAGAAGTATGGTCTATCAGAATGTGAACTTCAGTGTCACAGCTGGGTTTGGCTGGGATGGGTATGGCGATGTGGGAAGAAACGAGAATAGAGGGATGGCTGGGGCACCTTGAATGCTTCCTGGCGGCATCTGGATTTCACCCTGGAGGCAGCAGGGGGCACAAAAACGTTGTAAGCAGGGGCACCATTTGTGTCCTGGGCAAGCAGTGGTCTCCGAGGTGAGGGATTTCAGAATCTGCTGGTGCATTCTGGGTACCACGGCTCACACCTGTAATCCCAGCACTTTGGGAGGCTGAGGCAGGAAGATCGCTTGAGCCCGCAAGTTGGAGAGCAGCCTGGGCAACATGGCAAAATCCCATCTCTACAAAAAATACAAAAAAATTTAGCTGAGCACGGTGGCACATGCCTGTAGTCCCAGCTACTTGGGAGGCTGAGGTACGAGGATCACCTGAGCCCAGAAAGTCAAGGCTGCAGTGAGCCGTGACAGACTCTGCACCCCAGCCTGGGGGACAGAGTGAGACCCTGTCTCTAAATAAATAAAAACAAAAAAACAAATCATGATAAAAAAAAAATACTGCCTGTTGAACAGGTCTGGGAAAAAAAATCCACTGATGCATAGCAGAGAATCTGCTAGAAATTCTGTAGCTTTTCAAAGAAGATCACCATGGTATTTTCTTCCTTCTCACAGTTGGATGAGCTCACTGTACAAATGTGAATGGAGCACTGGGCTGCTGACTGGGCATGGGTTTGGCCTGGTGCAGGGATGGCTGAGCTGGGGTCCTGTGCAGGCCACTGCCCTCCTCTGCCCTGAGTGTCCTTGTCTGGAGAAAATGGAGATCACCCACCCCAGCTCCAGCGTGGCAGTGAGTTTGGTTACTCATTCATGGAAGGGAAGGCCCTTTGTAACTGTACACGAGGAATTAGCAAAGTCATCGTTGCAATACACTGAAAAAAAAACCAGGTCTCACCACTGTGCAACCCTAACATAAACCACGTGCGGTATGTGGCCTTTGGACCCAGATTTAACAAACTGTAAAAAGACACTGTTAGAGAAACACTGGGCTAGCGGGAGATACTGAGGAATTGTCAGTGTTATTAGATATGCTGGCAGTATTATGACTACACTTCCAAAAAAGTCTTTCTTCTAGAGACATGTACAGAAGAAGCTGAAGTATCTTCATGTGAACTGACGTATCTGAGATATACTCTAAAGGAATCCAGGGAAATTTACAATAGGAAGAATATGGGGAGGAGGTGAGAAGAGCAGAATATTGATCACTGTTAGGGTAGGCCTCAGGGGTTCATTATACTGTTCTCTCTACTATGTATGTATTTGACATTTTCCATAATAAAACTTGTTTGAAAATATTTTTTTAAATGGCTTTCGAAGTCTAAGGCTGGAAGATCTCTTGAGGCTAGGAATTCGAGACCAGCCTGGGCAACATAGTGAGACTCCTATCTCTACAAAAGAAAACATTAGGCAGACATGGTGGCTCAGAAGGCTGAGGCAGGAAGATCGCTTGAGCCCAGGAGTTCAAGGCTTCAGTGAGCTATGATTGCACCACTGGACTCCAGTCTGGGTGACAGAGCAAGACCTTGTCTTAAAAAAAAAAAGAAAAAAGATTTTTAAAATGTTAGAGATGGAAATAGGTTTTCTGGCCAGCAATGGGGCATAATTCTAGAGACCCCAGGTAGAATCAGCAGGAAAAGTTGCAGCAGATGCTTGGATCTCATTCTCACCCCTCACAGCCTGGTGGCCGTCTAGGGGAGGGAGGAGGAGACAGGGACGTTGCTGGTACCCACTGCCTGGGAACCCCTGGTGAGTTCTCCAGGATCCCACAGCAATCCCCAGGCTGCGGGGTGCTGAGCACGCAAGGCAACCCCTCTCCCAGAGGCAGATGGACCGGGGAGGGTTCTCCATCAGTGCTTCCCAATAAAAGGCCTCCCGCTTCAGAGGGAGTGTAAACTCAGCATCCACGCCCCTCCCAGGGTTGCCGGACACCTTGCTGAACTTAACTTACCAGCTGGGCAGGTGTGGTAGAGGCACCTCTCCCACCGTTTCAGAGCTTGGGCCTCCCACCAGCCCCTGAGCTCCTGCGGAGAAGCAGCTGAGGGCTCCACGGATCTGCACGGGCCTCCTCTTGCCACCAGAGTCTCACTTCCCTGCGCCATCCTGTATCCGTTGGGGTGCAGCTTAGCACCTTTATGGATGACTTCCTCCTTGCCTGTCAAATTTGAAAATAAATGCCCGCCATCCATTTCTGATTGAGCCCCAACCTCAGTTAGCAATACCAGATCGTCTCATTAAAAAAAGAATTGGCTGGGTGTGGTGGCTCACGCCTGTAATCCCACCACTTTGGGACGCCGGGGCAGGCGGATTACTTAAGGTCAGGAGTACGAGACCAGCCTGGCCAACATGGTGAAATCCCATCTCCACTAAAAATACAAAAATTAGCTTGGCGTGGCGTACGCCTGTAGTCCCAGCTATGCGGGAGGCGAGGCAGGCGAATCACTTGCACCTAGAAGGCAGAGGTTGCACTGAGCCGAGATTGTACCATTGCACTCCAGCCTGGGCAACAGAGCAAGACTCTTAAAAAAAAGAAAAAAAAAGATAAAGAAAGGAAAAAGAAAAGAAAGGCCAGGCGCAGTGGCACATGCCTGTAATCTCAGCACTTTGGGAAGCCAAGACTGGCAGATCATCTGAGGTCAGGAGTTTGAGACCAGCCTGGCCAACATGGTGAAACCCCATCTCTACTAAAAATACAATAAAATTAGCTGGGCATGGTGGCGGGCGCCTGTAATCCCAGCTACTCGGGAGGCTGTGGCAGGAGAATCGTTTGAACCAGGGAGGTGGAGGTTGCAGTGAACCAAGACCGCGACATTGCACTCCAGCCTGGGCAACAAGAGCAAGACTCCATCTCAAAAAAAAAAGAATCATGAGGTTTCCCTTGAAGGCTTTTCCTTGCTGTGGTATTCAAGAACATTCCAGGAGGCAGACACTCTCCTTCCTCTAAAGATGCCTCATTGAGAAGCTAGACAGTTACTTGCTTGGTACAGCGGACAACCCTGCTGCAGGCTGAGCCCCCACTGCTGCCACTCACAGGAGCTCTGGGCATTTGGAAACTGGAATTCCCGAGTTTTCAAGGCGCTCAGCCGTTCTCTGCCCTGCAGTCAGGATGATCTTTGCAAAATGCAAATCTGATCTCATCCCCTCACATCTACCTCCATCTCAGCTCCAAGCAGATAGCTCCTCCTTTATTGCTCCCTGCTGCTATGGCCTAAATGTCTAATCCACTCCCCGCCGCCGCCACCAAATTTATATGTTGAAATCCTAACCCTCACTGTGCTAGTGTTAGGAGGTTGGGCTTTGGGGTGGTGATGAGGTCATGAGGGTGGAGCCCTCATAGACGGGATTAGTGTCCTTATAAAAGAGACTCCAGATGGGCCCCTCACCCTGTCCACCGTGTGAGGACACAATTGAGAAGGCACCATCTAGGAACCAGGAAGTGAGTCCTCACCAGACACCCAATCTGCTGCTACTTTGATCTTGGACTTCCAGGCTCCAGAACAGTGAGAAATAAATTGTGGTTGTTGATAAGCTCTCCAGTGCACAGTATTGTGTCATGGTAGCCCGCATGGACTAGGACACACCAGCACCACAGGGCACCCTGTTTTTGCTGCCAAGGGTGTCTTTTCTTTTCAATCCCCCTGACTAACGCCAACCAGCCTTCAGGTATCAGCTTCCCTTATGGTGCCAATATAGTATAGTCTGCTGTCACACTGCTAATAGAGACATACCTGAGGCTGGGTAATTTATAAAGGAAAGAGGTTTAATTGACTCATAGTTCAGCATGGCTTGGGAGGCCTCAGGAAACTTACAATCATGGCAGAAGGGGAAGCAAACACATCCTTCTTCACATGGCAGCAGCAAGGAGAAGTAGAACAAACAAAAGGGAGAAAGCCCCTTATAAAACCATCAGATCTCATGAGAACTCACTATCATGAGGACAGCATGAGGGTAACCACCCCCATGACTCTATTACCTCCCACCGGGTCCCTCCCATGACACATGGGGATTATGGGAGCTACAATTCAAGATGAGACTTGGGTGGAGACACAGCCAACCAATCATCTCCTGTGCCCCCAGTGTATTTTTTTTGTTTTTTTGTTTTTTTGAGACGGAGTCTCGCTCTGTTGCCCAGGCTGGAGTGCAGTGGCGCAATCTCGGCTCACTGCAAGCTCCACCTCCTGGGTTCACGCCATTCTCCTGCCTCAGCCTCCTGCGTAGCTGGGACTACAGGCGCCTGCCACCACACCCGGCAATTTTTTGTATTTTTAGTAGAGACGGGGTTTCACTGTGTTAGCCAGGATGGTCTCGATCTCCTGACCTCGTGATCCGCCCATCTCGGCCTCCCAACATTCTGGGATTACCGGCATGAGCCACCGTACCCAGCCCCCAGTGTATGTTTTTATAACATTTGCCACAGTTGCAGTATCTTTCTGATTCATGTGAATATTTGATCAGCATCTCCCTTTCCCGCTAAGACCACAGATTTCCACAAGGGTGGGACTCCACCTGCATTTTTTTGTGTTTTTTTTTTTTTTGAGACGAAGTCTCACTCTGTCACGTAGGCTGCAATGTGGTGGCGTGATCTCAGCTCACAGCAGCCTCCACCTCCCGGGTTCAAGCAATTCTCTGCTTCAGCCTCCTGAGTAGCTAGGATTACAGGTGCCCTCCACCTGCATTTGCTCTCCTTGTGCCTGGCTCTGAGAACTTGTGAATGGGTGAACATGTTCTCCCTGCAAACCTGGTATTCTGTTCTCCTGAACTACCTTGTTTTAATGAAATTGTTTGATTGTAAAGGATATAATAAGATGATAGAAAATTTCAAAATTAATAAAAAGTGTAAAGTACACATGCTAAAAACTCTACTACAGGCTGTTTTCTGTGGACATTTTTCACAATTGACAGCATTCCTTAGGTCTAATTTTACATCTTACTCTGTGAGCGAGAAGGTCACAGAGTTAAACAACTCATGCCATTCATGCCATTAAGATATTCTAAAATCTTGGCCGGGTGCAGTGGCTCACGCCTATAATCCTAGCACTTTGGGAGGCCGAGGCGGGTGGATCACCTGAGGTCAGGAGTTTGAGACCAGCCTGCCCAACATGGAGAAACTCCACCTCTACTAAAAATACAGAAATTGGCTAGGTGTGGTGGCACACACCTGTAATCCCAGCTATTTGGGAGGCTGAGGCAAGAGAATTGCTTGAACCTGGAAGGCAGAGGTTGCAGTGAACTGAGATAGAGCCACTGCAGTCCAGCCTGGGCAACAGAGTGAGACTCCCTCTCAAACAAATTAAAAAATTAGGCTGGGCATGGTGGCTCACACCTATAATCCCAGCACTTTGGGAGGCCAAGGTGGGTGGATCACCCGAGGTCAGGAGTTCAAGACCAGCCTGCCCAACATGGTGAAACCCCATCTATACTAAAAATACAAAAAATTAGCTGGGTGTGGTGGCGGACGCCTGTAATCCCAGCTACTCAGGAGGCCGAGGCAGGAGAATCACTTGAACCCGGGAGGCAGAGGTTGCAATGAGCCAAGATCGTGCCACTGCACTCCAGCCTGGGTGACAGAGCTAGACTCCATCTCAAAAAAAAAAAAAAAAAATTGAAAAATTAAAATAGGCCAGGCATGGTGGCTCACGCCTGTAATCTCAGCACTTTGGGAGGCTGAGGAAGGTGGATCACGAGGTCAGGAGATCGAGACCATCCTGGCTAACACGGTGAAACCCCGTCTCTACTAAAAATACAAAAAATTAGCCGGGTGTTGTGGCGGGCGCCTGTAGTCCCAGCTACTCGGGAGGCTGAGTCAGGAGAATGGCGTGAACCCAGGAGGCGGAGCTTGCAGTGAGCTGAGATCGCACCACTGCACTCCGGCCTGGGCAACAGAAAGAGACTCTGTCTCCAAAAAAAAAAAAAAAAAATTAAAATTAGTAAAAAATAAAATCTCTCACCTAAAGGATGCTTCACATCATGAGGCAGGGCTGACACTTGGCCACACCTTTACTGGACATTCCAGCTGTTTCCCACTGAAACTCAATAACCACAATCATTTATGCATAAACAAATGCTTTGCAAACCGTCTCAGCCAGATGAGGCGGCTTCCTGGAAGAAACAGGCACATTCGAGAACCTTTACTGTTTGCTACAGCACAGAACAGGCTGTAGGAGAGGTTCCCAGTGGGTCCTGGGTGGGAGACAATAAAGGTGGGTTCTTGGCCTTGGTCTTCCTTCACTCTGTAACTTTTTCTTCCCTGGGCCTCAGTTTCTCCATCTGGAAAATGAGGAGTTGGCCGTGTGATAGATGTAAATTAATAAACCTACACTCTACTCATCATCACAAAGCAGCCACTACCTGTCCTGGTTGGCTACTAACACTCCAAATTATTCTGTCTCATATAACTTCCACTTAGTCTGTGAGCATTCTTTTTTTTTTTTTTTTTTTGAGACAGGATCTGGCTCTGTCGCCCAGGCTGGAGTGCAGTGGCACAATCACAGCTCACTGCAGCCTTGAACTCTGGGGCTCACACAGTCCTCCCACCTCAGCCTCACTAGTAGCTGAGACAACAGGCATGTGCCACCATGCCTGGTTACTGGTTAATTTTTTTTTTTTTTTTTAGAGATGGGGTCTCCCTTTGTTGTCCAGGCTGGTCTCAAACTCCTGAGCTAAAGCCATTTTCCCATCTCAGCCTCCCAGAGTGCTGGGATTACAGGCGTGAGCCACCGTGCCTGGCCTAGGGAATGTTTTTTAAGCTCCTTTTCAGAGGTGAGAAAACTGAAGCTCAGAGACGTTGCTTGCACCACTTGTAAGCCACAGATCAGGAAGCTCTAAAGCTCCAACTCATAACATTTAGAAAAGAATGACTGAAAGGAAATGTACCCATATTTCAGTGGTTACCTCTAGAAAGCAGTATTACAAGTACAACGTATTTTCTTCTTTGAACACATCTGAATTTTCCATTTTTGTTGTTGTTTTTGAGACGGGGTCTTGCTCTGTTGCTCAGGCCGGAGTGCAGTGGTGTGATCTCGGCTCACTGCAACCTCTGCGTCCTGGGGCTCAAGTGATCCTCCCACCTCAGCCTCCCAAGTAGCTGGGACTACAGGCGCGCAACACCATACCCGGCTAATTTTTTGTATTTTGGGGAGCTGAGGTGAGGGGTTTAGCCGTCCATTAAAAAAATGCTGTGGGCCAGGCATGATGATTCAGACCTGTAATTCCAGCACTTTGAGAGACAGAGGTAGGAGGACTGCTTGAGCCTAGCAGTTTGAGACCAGCTTGGGCAACATAGTGAGATCCTGTCTCTAAAAAAAACCAAAAATGTAGCTGGGCATGGTGGCATGCACCTGTGGTCCCAGCTACCTGGGAGGCTGAGGTGGGAGGATCACTTGAGCTTGGAGGTTGAGGCTGCAGTGAGCCGTGATGGCACCACTGCACTCCAGCCTGGACAACAGAAAAAAAATGCTGTGAGAAAGGGTGGGAGGCAGTGTAGACCGGTGTGTGTAGACCACTCTTTCTGGAAGCTTGACCATGTGGGGTTGGAGAGAAGTGGGTGCAGCTGGCAGGCCACGAGGAATAAGCCTTGGAAGGGTTTCTCCTTCAGGCAGGGGCAGCTGAGTCTGAGTCTAGGCTGAAGGCAGGTGCTGGTGATGAGGAGAGGCCTGAGCTCCGGGGGCGGAGGCTGGAGGCTGGGTTGGCTGTGGGTGTGAGGAGCCTGCTGTTCCTGGGCCTCCAGGGAAGGTGCTTGGTGGACCCTCAGGGAGGCGAGGTGAGTGGCTCCTTCCTTCCCTGCCCTGAACCCCAGCCCCCGCTGTGTTTCCAACCCCAGGCCCACCTGTTCTGGGTTTCTACCTTGCGGGGAGGATGATTCTGTGTTTGTTGGGTGAAGCTCGGATCTTCCAGGAGGTCCAGGCTCCCCGGGACTGGGAATGTCTGGAGATGAGATCCTATAACCTGGACCCACCAGCCTCCAACTGTCCTGAGCTCCTGTGTGCCAGGGTGGGCTCACAGTCTAATGGGGGACGCAGAGGGTCAGACAGTGCTAGAGGCCATGGAGTGGGACCGGGACAGGCAAATGTCTAGGAGAGGCGAATGTCTAAGGGCTGGGAGAGGGACACTCACGGAAAAGACTGGAGACCACAGGGCCAGGCCCCGGCCCCACCCACACCTCCAGACGGCACCCTTCATGGTGTGCTCCTTGGCAAATCTCTTGGCCAGTTTTGGAGTTCAAAGGCAGTCCCACCCGCTCCCTGTTGTGTGGGAGGAGGAGGACTGGTCATTCAGCAGACATTTACTACCAAGACCTTCCCCGGCTGTGCGGCGCGGGGCTGGGAGCCCTGAACTCTGCTGCTGCCTCCAGCCACAGAGGGGCCTTGGAGGCCCCTCTGGAGGGAGTAGCCAGGCTCTGCCAGGCATGGGCAGTCAGGGGAGGGGTGGGGAGGTACGTGGCAGGAGCACGGTTGTGATGGCCGGAGAAGGTAAGAGGGAGGTCCGGGCAGGGGAACAGGACAGGGGAAGCTTGGACTGGTGCATCCAAGACTGGTGTGCTTAGAAACTGCACATCAGACGGGGTGGGAGAGTGAAGGATGGGGTTGCAAGTTTAGGCTGGAGCCAGGTTTGGGAGGAGGTACAGGAAGGATCGGGGCTGATGGCCCCACAGAGCATCTTGGTGGCCTTGGTGGGTAGAAATGAAGCGGCATTGGAGGTGGATGTGTTTCTGTCTACTGTGTCGCCCCAGCCTGCCCCAGAAATATGAGGTCCCTCCTCCTGGGACACTGGGTGGCCCCTGCCTTGCTCCTCTCTGGCCAACTCACCCTCACCCTTCCAGGCCCATCTCAGGCATCCCCTCCCCTTTACGTCCCCTCCCACCACCATTAAAACAAGAACAGATCCTACCCTGCAACCACTCTGTGCACAATGCCTGGCACGGGGGAGGCTTAGAACATCTGTGGGCAGATGGGCAGCTGCGGGGGCGTCTCCTGGCAGGTGGTCGTGGCTGAGAAGGAGGTCCCCGGGCCTGGGGCTCCAGTGAAGCCCCTGGGGCAGGGATGGGGAAGCTGAGGCCCGCTCCCGCCCTGAAGAGGAAGGGCAGCGGCTCTGGAGGGAGACAGGCAAGAAGGCACCCAAGAGTGTTTCCATGAGATCTGAGAACAGCCAGCTGCAGTGGGGAGGAAGGACAGGCCGCCGTGGGGCTGCGGGCAGGGAGGTTTCCGTGTGTGAGCCTAAGTGTCCTTTCTGTCCCTGCGGGTGTGAAGGTGAAGAGAGCGGACGCACACACCGTGCGGGGCTCAGCAAGCCTTGGCTGCTGTTCCCTCCTGTGGGGGCCCTGGGCTGGGTGCCAGGGTCCAGGAACACGAAGGCATTCAAGAACGCGGGGAGGGGCTGCGGGAGCCCAGGGGCAGCCGGGGGGTGGGGAGGCGGATGAGAGTCAGGAATGATTTCCTGAGGGTCAGAGCACCTGGGGGAACCGGCCAAGCACCGAAGGAAGTAGGGATGAGAGGAGGATGGGGGTCGCGCTGGGGGTGCAGGTCAGGGCACAGTGGGTGCAAAGGCAGGGATTCCAGAGAGTTTCGGGAACTTCTGGGGATGCCCGGGTGGTTCTGTGGGCCTGGGGAGACCTCAGGCCTGGTGACAAGGGACCTCACGTGTGGCGGGGCGGGGGTTCCCGCAGAGGACCCACGGGAGTGGGAAGGAGCTGGGCCTGCATCCCCTGCCCGCCTCTTCTCTTCAGCCCCCACGCAGCTCCACGTGAGCCCTGACTCCTGCCTGCTTCTAAATCGGGCTTTTCTTTGTGATGGTGGTGGCAGCAGGCAGCTGGGTGACGCCTTTAAAGATAAGGCTATTTGGAAAATTCCACTTTGGTGTGCTGTCACCTGGAGCCCCGTCCCCAAGCGCTTTCTGTTTTCTTAGCACCTAGAGCCTCATGGCCTCCAGCACTGGGCCTCTTAGGAATCACTGAGCCAGGGCCACTCGGGATCCCCCAAGTCTCCTCCCCCAACCTCAGGCCATGGGCTCCAGTCCTTGGAGGACCCGTTGTTTCATTACAACTTCTTTCTGGCCAGGCACGGTGGCTCACGCCTGTAATCCCAGCGCTTTGGGAGGTGGAGGCGGGCGGATCACCTGAGGTCGGGAGTTCGAGACCAGCCTGACCAACATGGAGAAACCCAGTCTCTACTAAAAATACAAAATTAGCCGGGCGTGATGTCGAATGCCTATAATCCCAGCTACTCGGGAGGCTGAGGTAGGAGACTCACTTGAACCTGGGAGGTGGCACAGGTTGCGATGAGCCGAGATCGCACCACTGCACTCCAGCCTGGGCAACAAGAGCGAAACTCTGTCTCATAAAAACAAAACAAACAAACCCTGATTTCTTCCAATCAATTACTTGGGATGCTGTGGGAATGAGTGACCTTAGGTTTTGAGCCAGATCTACCTGGATTCAAGTGCCCCCAGTACAATGGAGGCATTGGGGCTGAGATGCTGTGGAAGAGGGCAGGTCACACAGCCCAGCAGACACACAACTCTACTAGCCTCGCTCCCAGTAATGGCAAAGATTGTTTGGCCTGGTGTTGATTCCTTAACCTCCTGGAGCTTGAGTTTTCCCATTCATAAAATGGAAGCCGTACTTGTCTTGCTTCTCTCGGCCTTGGGGAGACGGCTGGGAACCCTTGCCTGATGGCCCCAGGTTCCTGTGCTTCTCTAGGCCTGCTGTTTACCCATCAGTGAGCGCAGCATATAGCATAAATACAGCATATGTTTGTTGCGAGCAAATTTAAAAGTCAAAAAATATAAGCAGGCCAGCCGCAGTGACTATTGCCTGTAATCCTAGCACTTTGGGAGGCCAAGGTGGGTGGATCACTTAAGCTCAGGAGTTTGAAGTTAGCCTGAGCAACATAGCAAAACCCTGTCTCTACCAAAAAAAAAAAAAAAAAACCCACAAAAAATAGGCCTGGCTCGGTGGCTCAC
This sequence comes from Homo sapiens, assembly GCF_000001405.40. Classification (NCBI taxonomy): domain Eukaryota; kingdom Metazoa; phylum Chordata; class Mammalia; order Primates; family Hominidae; genus Homo; species Homo sapiens. The sequence goes on from NC_000004.12 coordinate 6,903,848, forward strand.
GCCTGTTATCCAAATACTTTGGGAGGCCGAAGCAGGTGGATCACCTGAAGTCAGGAGTTCAAGACCAGCCTGGTCAGCATGGCGAAACCCTGTCTCTACTAAAAATATAAAAATTAGCCAGGCGTCTGTAATCCCACCTACTTGGGAGGCTGAGGCAGGAGAATCGCTTGAACCTGGGAGAGCGGAGGTTGCAGTGAGCTGAGATTGCACCATTGAAATCCAGCCTGGGTGACAGAGTAAGACTCCATCTGAAAAAAAAAAATAATTAGCCAGGTGTGGTGGGGCATACCTGTAGTCCCAGCTACTTGGGAGGCTGAGGTGGGAGGATCACTTGAGTCTGGGAGGCAGAGGTTGCAGTGAGCACTGCACTCCAGCCCGGGCGACAGAGCAAGACCCTGTCTCAAAAACAACAATAACAAAAATGGCAAATTCAGATGTGTCCAAAGAAGAAAATACGTTGTACTTGTAATACTGCTTTCTAGAGGTAACCACTGAAATATGTGTACATTTCCTTTCAGTCATTCATTTCCACATGTTATGCATATCTTGAGTTGGAGCTTTAGAGCTTCCTGATCTGCGGCCTATGAGTGGGGCAAACAACCTCTCTGAGTTTCAGTTTTCTCATCTCTGAAAAGGAGCTTAAAAAACATTCCCTAGGCCAGGCACGGTGGCTCACGCCTGTAATCCCAGGACTCTGGGAGGCCGAGGTGGGAGAATTGCTTTGGCTCAGGAGTCTGAGACCAGCCTGGGCAACAAAGGGAGGCCCGATCTCTACAAAAAATAAAAGATTAACCAGGCATGGTGGTGTGCCTCTGTAGTCTCAGCCACTGGCGAGGCTGAGGTGGGAGGATTGTGTGAGCCCTGGAGTTCAAGGCTGCAATGAGCTGTGATTGTGCCACCACACTCCAGCCTGGGCGACAGAGCCAGACCCTGTCTCAAAAACAACAACAGAAAAAGCCCGCAGGCAGCAGATACTTGCCTGAGCTGGGATGCCCATGTTGGTGTTTCTTCCCATCTTCTTTGATTGCTGTGAATGGAGTGCATTCACATACTTTGATTACACTTGGGGAGCTTCCACATTTCCTCTGTGCTGTCAATTCTTTTTTTTCTTTTTTTTTTTTTTGAGGTGGAGTCTCACTCTGTCACCCAGGCTGGAGTGCAGTGGTGCGATCTCGGCTCACTGCAGGCTCTGCCTCCTAGGATCATGCCATTCTCCTGCCTCAGCCTCCCTAGTAGCTGGGACTGGGACTACAGGCGGCCGCCACCACGTTGGCTATTTTTTTGTGTGTTTTTAGTAAAAGCGGGGTTTCACCGTGTTAGCCAGGATGGTCTTGATCTCCTGACCTCGTGATCCGCCCGCCTCAGCTTCCCAAAGTGCTGGGATTACAGGCGTGAGCCACCGCGCCCAGCCCAATTCTTTAAAGATTTTTCTGATGGCTCCTTTTGAGTTACTCCATTCCCGTCCCTCATTGCTGGACGTGTACATTATGTCTATGTTACCTTTGTAACATGTGACTGCTGCCACTTTATGAATGGTAAAACTGTGGTGAACATTTTTTGATGACAGTCTGCCTCAACTTGGGGGTCATTTTATAAAAGGATGGCTCCCTTCGGTTGTGTCATGAGACCAAAGGGATTCTGTGTGTTAGAAAGTTTTCGTTAGTGCCACCTTTGGCTGCACCCATACCTTTACCCTTTGGTGAATGCGCGGCTACTAGGAGTTCTGCCTCCCTGAATTTGCTGCTCTGAATGGACTGCAAGCTAGGACACAGGTAAGTGCCTTTGTTAACCGTGAGATGCCAGCGGCTGGGCTCTGGCGTGCGGGCCTGAGTGCTGCTGCTTGCCGCCAAGTGCAGAGGTTCTCGGAGGCTCCGCTGGCTATTTGGCACTTTTCCATTTCGGTGTCTCTTGCTGCCTTCTGTGTGCCTGAGGTTGCTGATCTGCAGCCATCTGGGCTATTCCTGCCTTTGTTTTTTTCCTCATACTGCTCAATTTCCAGAACCAACAAGAGAAACCTCAATTCCAGGCATTGTGTCCTAAAAATGAGAAGTCCTGTCTCCATGGTGAAGGAGATGACACTCCAAGTTATGGAGGCAGAAAGGATCTGCTTCTTCATGGACTGCTGACAGTCTTTGGGCCAAAGGGAAGCTCTTTTGAAAGAAATTAATGCTTCTCAAGCTGCCCCTAACCCATAGGGATGGGCCCATTGCCCAGTTGAGCTCCTTGTGTGGCATCACAGCTGCTGTTAGTTTTATTCATGCTGTTGCCCTTGGTGGCTCTGAGCTGGGGCAAGGGGATTGGGAGGGAGGATGGAGACTGGGCAGCAGCTTCTGGACGCGGGGGGCAGAGCTGGGAGCCCTGGGCTGAGTGGCCTCACCACCTGGTGCCTGTGTCCTTGCCTGGAAAATGAGAGTCCAGGTGCCAGCTTGGCAGCTTGTGTGGATCAACTGTGGTAATAGAGGTGAATCAGCCAGCACAGCCCAGGGCACCTGGGATGGTTCCAGGTAGAGACACAGGTACCAGCAAAATTCATGCACCCTCCACAATGGAGCTCACATCTAGGGGCTGAGAAAAGGCTGGGGCAAAATGCGTGTTGGGGAAACTAGATAGATCCCCATATCTCCTGAGATGCGGGGGTGCTCGGCAGGGCAGGAAGCCCCTGGCTTCACTGTGTGTGCACCTCCCACCCCCCTGAGCTTGGGCCATTCCTCACACCTCTCTGTGGCCTCAGTTCTCCCTCTGAATAGTCAGAGGGGACTTGATGCCAAGGGTCCTGCCAGCTCTCACGCCTGCTGATGACTCTCCTGGGGCGTGCATCTGGTCAGATAACCATTTTCCTTGCAGGGGAACAAGGCTGCATTTTTCTTTTCTTTTCTTTTTTTTTTTTTTTTGAGACAGGGTCTCGCTCTGTCACCCAAGCTGGAGTGCAGTGGTGTGATCTTGGCTCCCTGCAACCTCTGCCTCCCCAGCTCAAGCGATCCTCCTGCCTCAGCCTCCCAAGTAGCTGCAACTACAGGTGTGTGCCACCAAGCCCGGCTAATTTTTGTATTTTTTTGTAGACAGGCGGCTTTGCCATGTCACCCAGGCTGGTCTTGAACTCCTGGACTCAAGACATCTGCCCACCCTGGCCTCCCAAAGTGCTGGGATTACAGGCATGAGCCACGGTGCAGGGCCAAGGCTGCATTTTCAAGATGCCACCTCTGTCCGTCCTGGAAGCCCTGAAAGAGCAGGAGTTGTGGGCTGTGGGTCACCCTGGGGTCCCTAGCACCCAGCCCGAGCGGGCAACGAGCGGGTGCTCAGGGCTGGCTTCCATGGACACTGAACACCCTGGGAAAGGCACTCCCCTCCCCAACTGCAAGCTGAGCTGGCTCCTTCCTGCCTAGCAAGCTTCGGAAGGCTCCGAGGTCAGGCTGGAAAAGGTCCCTCAATGGGGTGTCCGAGGAGAAGGGGGGCGTGCCAAGAGTTCTCCAACCATGCTAGGAACTTTCATTTCATTTAGACTTGTTTAATCCTCACTACAACTCAACTTGGGAGGTGGAGACGCCATGTTTCTTGTACAGGTGGGAAGGTTGGGGAGGAGCAGGGAAGCCTTCCGGGAGACCTGAGGAGTTAGCCAGCCCAGCGGCTCCCATGCGTAGGTCCTTTGCCTGGAACTGATGAGAGGGAGCTAAGAGGCCTGGATCTTGTCCACACTAAGCGATGGCTTTACTGCGGGGAGATAATCCTTCTGGAAACCTCAGGTAGAGTCTGCATGGGGAATGAGATGGCTTCATCTAGCCAGTTATGATGGGGGTCTACGCCTCAGGACCAGCAGAGCTGAGATCCAGGGCTGACCGCCCTGATCCCGGGATTATCTGCACATCAGAGATGGGGGTGAGGGAGGTGCCGAAAGGTGAAGTGACCGCACACAGCCACACGGCTAAATCCTGCTCGCCGTGCTAATTTTGTCAGACTCAAGTTGCAATGAAGATTTGTCTAGAACACGTCTGGGCGCTGAGGGCAACAGGTAAGGCGTGGGTCAAATCACGCTGCGGATGCAGGTGACGACAGGCTCCGGGAGAGACGGAGTGGGCGCAGCAGGATGGCGAGTGAGGAAAAGGCAGGCAGAGGGCGCCAGGTGCAAATCTGCAGGACCACAGACTTCGGTTCTGGATACAGAACAATGGTTCCTTGTCATTGTAGGGTTTTAGACCCTAAGACTCGGAATTAGGGCTGGAAGGGATTTGGGAGCCCCAAGCAGATCTATTAATCCAACGCATTAAATTGCTAATTAAGTCACGACTGAAGCAGTCTGTACTTTTCCACTAGGGTTTACTTAGAAAAAGCTGGGGAGGCCTTGTTTTAAGAGGTATGAAGGAGGCCTCGTATTATTTTTACTTAAAACCCCCAGAAATTTAAGCATTTATAAAGTTTCTGTGATGCAGCACTGCGAGGGATGTTAATGTTTTTGCTTTCAAGAGATCGCCTTTAAAAATCTCTCTTGCTTCTGCGTCATATCTCATAGATGCTCAGGGTTTTTACAGCCATGAGCTGGAGAGGAGACCCAAGTTCGGGGTTCCCTAGCCCATCCCTAACGACCGCAGTAGAGACAAATCTTCCATTTCATGCTTCCAGATGCTTCCTGTAATGCGGAAACTCCTCCTGCCCCTGACCTTTCTGAGTGGCTGAGTCTTCCCTTAGATTGGGCTGCAGTCAGTCTCTCCCGGGTTTCCTCTCTGGTAATTTATCTGCCAGTGACAACCCTCAGGGCTCCTGGTTGGCAGGAGCCAAAGCCAAGTGGAAATCCAGGACTTCTGGCTCCCAGCGCTGGGTCTCTCCTCTTGCCCTCAAGTCCCCAGAGTCTAACGACAACCCAATAACGTCAAATACCAACTATTTGCCAGGCCCAGGGAAAATAGCAGTAAACAAGATAAGCCCGGCTTTCCTCATGGAACCCACAGCCTAGAAGGGGAATGGAGACCCACTGCCCGTCAACAGGGGCTCCTCACATACTCTCTACCAGCTCATGGAGGGCTCTGGGGCAGGGAACCTGGCTTCTGCCCCTCTCAGCTACTGACCCACCCGGGTCCTTGGGCGGAGGGCTTCATCTCTGAGCCCGTTTCCCGCTTTGTACAATGGCTCTGATCATAGATCCCGTCTCTGGAGTTTGTGCAATGTTGAGGCCAAATATGCAGATAACGCCAGGCCAGTGGCTTCCAAACCCGCGTGCACATTACACAGCTTCCCAAACTGATGATGCTTCCATCTCATCTTCAGAGACTGTGACTTAATCGGCCTGGGCTTCAGAATATTAAAAGCTCCGCAGGCAATACTAAAGTGCAGACCAGTTTGGGAACTACAGCGCCAGGCACCGTGTCACAGCGCGATAAGAGAGAACGTTCGGAAAAGCCCTTTATAGATTAAGAGACTGAGGCTGGCTGGGAGGACGCCACGGCGCCGCTCCCAAGACCACCGCGGCGGGGCCTGAGCTCCGGTGTCACGCAAAGCTTCCCTTCCGCGGCGGGGCCCGGGCCGTCTCCCGCACACCGGCCGGGGCAGGGGAGCCCCATCGATGCGCTCCGCCGCTCGGCTCCCTACGCCTGAGCCCTGCCCGCTCGAGCCCCTTCCCCCTCCCGGCCGCTTCCCACTTCCAAGATGGCTGCGGGTGGAGCCGACCAGGTAAGGGGCCCCCTGTCGGATGTCCGTGGGGGCCCTGCGGGCACAAAGGCCCGCTCAAGGCAGCTCCTCGCCACTCCGGTTGGTTCTCCGGCAAAAAAAAAGGGCCGGCGACGCCGCTCCGGAGGCCCGCGGCGGGCGGCCCCCGGAAGAGGGACAGCCGGGCGAGCGCCGAGCTCCAGACGCGGCGGCACGGGCGGAAGAACGGGCGCGGGCCGGCAGGGGGCGGGGCGCAAGTGCGTGGGGGCGTGCCCAGGGGGCGGGCGAGGGGGCGGGGCGAAGCGAGGGTGCGCGCCGCTGTTCGCCGCGGGCTGCTCGCGCGCACCTGCGGGTCGGACCCGCTGCCTACCGCGTGCCCGGCGTCCTCGTCGCGCGAGTTGCCGGTCCCGCGGGGCCTGGGCTGCGGGCCCACGGGTCCCGGGGATGGCGTCGGAGCCGCGCTAACTCCGGTACTGAGAGCCTCCCGCGAGGGCCGGGCCGCGGGCCGCGAGGGAGGGCAGGGCGCGCGGGGCCGCCACCTGCTGCAGCGCCGGCCGAGGCGGGGAGCGGCCGGGGCGAGGCAGGTCGCCGGGCGCGGGTCCTGCTGGGTGTCCCTCGCCGCGCGGCCGCGGCTCCTGCACGCCAGGGCAGCGCGTGCGTGGCGCCCGGGGTGCCGTTACGGGGCCTCCGGGGCGGGGGCGACTCTCGGGACTCGGCGGCCCTCGCGGAGGCGCGCGCTGTGTCCCGCTCCTTTACGGAACTTGACGAAAAGTTTTCCTACTCCGACGCGAGGCTCCCGGCCTGAGAAGAGGCGCCTCGGTGCGCCAGACCCCGACCCCGGAGCCCCCTTCCACCTCGGACCCTCAGTCCCCAGGCAGCGGACCCTCCTCCTTGGAGCCCCTGACCCCGCTTTCATCTCTGACCCCTCTACCCCTGGAGCCCCTGACCCGCGAAACCCCCTTTCATCTCGGAGCCCTGACCTCCTTGGACCTCCACCCACGCGAACCGTCTGTCCCTGGGCTAGGGAATCTCTCTGCCTCCGCCTTGGAGCCTCCCATTACCGGGCCGCGAAGACCCTGGCCCGGGGACTGTCTCGGGGCCGGGGTAGCTGCCTTGAGGAGTAAGTCCGGGGACTCCTGGTCTCCCTCCCGCCAGGAGTCTCTCTAGGCTGTGGGTTGCGGTCCTGATGGGAACAGCTGGTCAGGAGGATAGGAGAATGACCCTGTGGACTCCAGAGCCAGCCTCTGCGAGCCCCGGGGTGACCGCGCCTGACCAGGCCACGTGAAGTCGTTTCTGTCCTAAAGTTGCATAGGACGCCGTTTTCTCTAGCGTGGAATTGGAAGCTTTGCTTGGGAAGGTTTTATAGGCACCGGTGCGTTTTGCCCCTACTGGAGGTCCCTGGGCATCACCTTGGTTATTTCACGCACTGAGGCTAGATGAGGAGGGTAGTCGTGGTGGTGTCTTGGGGACAAAATGCTCACTGTCTTGTCCCCAGTATTGTAGGATGTTGGCACCTAGTTGCTGTCTTGCCTAGCTTTTATAGCGGTGGGTTGCCTGTTGGAAACTGGTGGTTGCTTTGTCTGGACCGGGCTAGTCCTTACAGCAGTCTTAGAACACTTCCTGTTGCCCAGTTTATCTGGCCAGTACCAACCCATATCTCAGTTTGGGTATGGCTTCCCCCCTCCGACCAACCCTCTTACTGCTTCTTTGCTGTGTGTTTGACCCCTTGAGATTGTGGGCTCCGCAATCCTAATGAGATCCCCAGTCCTAATGAGAGCCTGGCATGAACTTGGTGCTCAGGGTCATTGGGCGAAAACACCTTTTGGGAAACATCAAGGGTGTCAGCTGGTACTAAGGGAGACAGAGTAACTGGCTGGGAGCCACCCACATGGGGAGAGTCAGAGATGGGATTCAAACTGAGGCAGGCTACTGGGCCAGGCTCTGCTCACCTCGGTATCCTCCGCTGTTCCAGCACTTTGCACCGAGCTGGGCCTGATTCCTGTTTGTGCAACTGAGTTTTCACCGTCTGCCCCCAGCCTACCCTCTCACATTCAGCTTGGGCTTTGCCTCTCCTGGCTTCTGCTGTTCCCCTGTGTTCCTTTAGCCCCTGCAGTTCCTCTGCATTGGGTCCGCTGTCTCCACCCCACTCCCCGTTTAGTGGGTGAATTCCTGTCTTTCATGCCTCCACCTTCCCTCCTCTACTCTGGGTTGATTGCTTAGCTGGTGCGCTATAGAAGGCCTCTCTCAAAGTGGGGACACAGCTAGTCAGAGCAGCTTGTTTGAATCTCTCTCTCCCGTTGGTCAGAGCTTCTAACCTTGAGTCCCAGCCTCAGCACAGGGGATGCCTGCCGTGCAGGTCGGGGGTTGCTTGGGGAGTCTTTGAGACCTTGGAAAAGATTTGTTGTCAGTATAAACATTAATACATAACGCAACAGGATTTTAGGAAAGTGAGTATGTGTTTGTTAACTTTAAAAAAATTTTTTTTTAGAGATGGGGTCATGGTATATTGTCCAGACTGGATCTGAACTCCTCGGCTCAAGCGATTCTCCCGAGTAGCTGCAGTTACAGGAACGCACCACCATGGCCAGCTTAACATTTGTTTTAGGACCACGTATAAATAAAGTTTCAGCTGGGCGCAGTGGCTCATGCCTGTAAACCCAGCACTTTGGGAGGCTGAGGTGGGTGGATCACAAGGTCAGGAGATTGAGACCATCCTGGCCAACATGGTGAAACCCTGTCTATACTAAAAATACAAAAATTAGCTGGTTGTGGTGGTGCGTGCCAGCTACTTGGGAGGCCGAGGCAGGAGAATCGCTTGAACCCGGGAGGTGGAGGTTGCAGTGAGCCGAGATCTCACCACTGCACTCCATCCTGGTGACAGAGCTAGACTCCGTCTCAAAAAATAAAAATAAAATAAAAAAAATAAAAAAATAAAAAATAAATTTTCTTGGGCCCGGGTGGTTTAGAATTCTTGATTGTCCATCTGGAAGGCTCTCAGGGACTGATCTGCTTGGCTAGTCACTTGGTTTTATAGATGGGGAAGTTGAGGCCCAGAGCTCCATCAGTATCACACGGCAGGTGTGAGGAGAGAGACTGGTGACAGGAAGAAGCTGTACATTGTGGCCTTGTAGACACAGACTGGCTGTGTCTGGCCTTGCTTATGCAACTGGTTGCTAAAATAGTGGGACTGAGTTGGCTGGCCCGATCCGTGTCCAGGAAAGAGTAACACCAGCCAACATTTTCCAGGGCTTTCCCTGTGCCAGGCACGATTTTAAGGGCTTTATGTGGATTTCTTCCCCTAATCTTGTCAACTGCCTAACAAGATAGGGTCTCTTACTGTCTTCATTTTGCTGCAAGGAAACCAAGGCTCGGGGAAGTTAAGAAATGAGTCCAAGCTTACACAGCTGGTGAGCGAAGGAGCTGGGACTTGAACCCAGGCAGCCTGCTGCTGGAACCTGCATTATTTTTTCCCTCCTGTTGATTTTGTTTTGTTTTTTGTTTTGTTCTGTTCTATTCTATTCTATTTTTTGAGACAGCGTTTCGCTCTTGTTGCCCAGGCTGGAGTGCAATGGTGTGAGATCTCGGCTCACTGCAACCTTTGTCTCCCAGGTTCAAGCGATTCTCCTGCCTCAGCCTCTCCAGTAGCTGGGATTACAGGCATGTGCCACCATGCCTGGCTAATTTTGTATTTTTAGTGGAGACAGGGTTTTGCTATATTGGCCAGGCTGGTTTTGAACCCCTGACTTCAGGTGATCCACCTGCCTGGGCCTCCCAAAGTGCTGGGATTACAGGCGTGAGCCACCACGCCTGGCCTATTTTATTTTTAAAACTTCATTTGCAGCCTAACAAACATACATAGAAGTGTAAGAATGGTTAAGTGTTCAGCTTATCGATGATCAGGGTTATTGGGTGAATATACCTTTTGGGCAACATTAAGGGAGCTGAGAGGAAGGGGGATAAAGTTTAGGGACTGCATTCATAAGTACGCCAGCAGGCCATGTATGAGCTTTGATGTCAGATCTGGTTTGAACTCAGTTTCTGTTGCTGTGTGACCTTGGGTGCGTGACTTAGCCTCTCTGAATCTCATAGTTTCCTCAGTGCCCTTGGCAGGCTTGTGATTATTAGAGCATGTGATGGCATCCCGCATGCTTGGTGCATGCTAAATGCTCAGTAAATTATTTCTCTTATGAATAATTAAGATTATAAACTATACCGGTTTTAAGTAGTCTAAATATCTTCCTAATGTATCATTTGCCTCCCAGTCACTTCACAGCTACTTAGGAAAATTAGTTAATTAGTAATTTACCAAATCACTAAGTGAAGCTGAAACATTTTGCATTGAAAGTCTTTAATTTAAAATGTCCTGGCCAGGCGCTGTGGCTCATGCCTCTAATCCCAGCAGTTTGGGAGGTTGAGGAGGGTGGATCACTTGAGCTCAGGAGTTCAAGACCAGCCTGGGCAACATGGTGAAACCCTACCAAAACAACAACAACAACAACAAAAAATTAGCTGGGTGGACGTGGTGGCGGGCACCTGTGGTCCCAGCTACTCAGGATGCTGAGGTGGGAGGCTCACTTGAGCCTGGGAGGTGGAGGTTGCAGTGAACCAAGATCATACATCTGTACTGCAGCCTGGGTGACAGAGACCCCATCTCAAAAAAAAAAAAAAAGTTCCACCTGTGCCTTTAATCATAACCAGTGGTCAGTATAAGTTAAGTGTCCGCTTCTTCGGGTTGTGAAGGAGCCTTTGAGGACCCTGAACAATAACCGCAGTTTCTGCCTGGTTTGCCGAAACATACATGGGCTGAAACTTACTTAAACAGCATTGTGTTAAGTTCCAGGTGTCTGAAAGTTGCCACTCACCCTCTGGAGGAATATGTGAGCTTCTAGGAAATTTTTTTCAGGACTATTTTTATCCTAAAGAATCACCCATTTAAAAGCCAAACTACTTTTATAATGGCCTTTTCCATTTTACATAATGCAGATCAATCCACTGTTTTAGGCTGTGTGTGTAGCAGTGGAAACAGTGAGTGCCTCGGCTACTCAGGCTAGCCCGGCACAGCTCTGTTACTACGCACCACCCTTTAGACCGCAGTCTTCTTTCAGCTCTTTGGGTGGTTGTGGAGGTGACAGAACTAGTGCATATAGACATGGAATGCAGTGCCTGATGTGTCATCTGCGCTTGGGGAGCGGAGGCAGCTAGCTGGTCATGTTCGTGAGCCTGGAGCGTCCAGTCCTTTCTGCCTGAGCCAGGACTTGAATTAAAAAAGAGAAAGAGGCTGGGCTCAATGGCTCACATCTGTAATCCCAGCACTTTGGGAGGCTGAGGCAGGCGATCACTTGAGGTCAGGAGTTTGAGACTAGCCTGGCCAACAGGGTGAAACCCTGTCTCTACTAAAAATACAAAAATTAGCCGGGCGTGGTGGTGGGCGGCTGTAATCCCAGCTACTCAGGAGGCTGAGGCAGGAGAATCGCTTGAACCCGGGAGGCGGAGGTTGTGGTGAGCCCAGATCATGCCACTGCACTCCAGCCTGGGCGACAGAGTGAGACTCTGTCTCAGAAACAAAACAAAAAGAGAAAGAGATGCAGGGGTTGGTGCTTGTGGAGCCCTCTACCAGGCAGGCCAGTTCACAGGGAGGTGCCCCATTGCCCAGTGGGTTCTCCTTGGCATTAGAGGCTCGACTGGGCTGTTTCTCTTGAACCGTGCTGCCCTCCAGGGCAGGACGCTCATAAGAGCAGCTGCTTTTATGAGGAGGCTCTTAGTCTCCCCAGAATCCTCACCAGGAAACATGGGGGACCCTGAGAGGCCTTGCGGAGAATGCTGTGGGTGCTGGGGACAGATGCCTCAGGTCAACCCCCTGCGACCGGGGTAGGGGGTTGGGGGTCACTGCACCTGCTCAGCCCAGTTTTGTTATTCCCATCTGGAAACGGTAGAACTCAGCATGCTGTTTACAGGGTGAGGTGAGCAGAGGTGCTTATGTCTGTGACATGCCTTTGTGAGCAGCAAAGCTTACTGAGGGGCCTTGGAGTCACAGACTTGAGTTCAAGCCCAGCTCCGCCACAGTGGAGACCTTGGGCAGGCTGCATGCCTCGGTTTCCTCCTCTGGGTAATGGGCATACTACCTGGCTCACAGGGCTGCTGAGGGGCTGTGAGGCAGAACGGTGTATTTAGAGTTCAGGACGGTACCTGGTACTCATTAAATTGCCATCCTGCGGTGCTGCTGTGGTGGTGCTGTTAGGTGCTGCAGGCTGGTCTGCCCTCTGGAAATGTTGGCTCTGGGATCTGTATACCCTCAGGCCATCGTGGAGTAGGAATGAGCTGTGTGGGCCTGACCCTTAGGATAAGAACCCAGGCCTGGCATGGTGGCTCACGCCTGTAGTCCCAGCACTTTGGCAGGCCGAGGTGGGCAGATCACCTGAGGTCAGGGGTTCAAAACCAGTCTGGCCAACATGGTGAAATCCCACCTCTACTAAAAAAAAAAAAAAATGCAAAAAATTAGCCAGACGTGGTGGCGGGCGCCTGTAATCCCAGCTACTCGGGAGGCTAAGGCAGGAGAATTGCTTGAACCCAGGAGGCAGAGGTTGCAGTGAGCCGAGATTGTGCCACTGCGCTCCAGCCTGGGCAACAAGAGCAAAGCTCCATCTCAGGAAAAAAAAAAAAAAGGGATAAGAATCCGGAAGTCAGTGGCCAGAGCTGGGTTGATGGCAGGCTTGGCAGTGAAGGTGAGCGCACCACCCTTTGAGGATCAGATAGGACAGTGGTGCCCCCTTGCCATTGGGGTTTGAAGAGGCAGCTGTCCTGTGGAGCGTCCAGAGAGGAGCCGGGACAGGGAGTGCTTCGTGCTCCAGCCCTGCGAAGAGGCTTCCGGTGGATATCTACACAGACGGCAGCATGACTTCTCCCTGAAGCCACTAAGCGGATTTTTTTCCCCTGTGGGAACACACCTAGATCTCTTGGTTTGGCCTTGTAAACAGTTTCTTTTATGTATGAAGACTTTGGTTAAGACAGTTCCCACTGCTTTTTAAGGAGGAGAAAATCAAGCAGTTGCTTCTAGATGGAATTGTTTTCCAAAGCCCCACGCAGAGTCACTAGCAGAGCCACCCTCCGCTTTCTGACTTGTATTGAAGTGAAGATTGTGGCTCTGGTGGCGTGACAGTTGATTGAATCCCTCGGGGGCAGCTGTCCTCTTTGCTTCCTGCAGAACTGAGTCTTGTGACAGGTAAATACAATTCAGATGGCCTTGTTGCATGGAATGGAAACAGTCTTCCTCTTATCCGTACTTCACATCTTGTCTTTCTCTTGGCCGGAAGGTGATGACTCATCACCATTTGACTTGTGTTCAGTGCCTCCCGTGGCAGGGTGCTGGGTCAGGTGCTGGGGCGTTCCTCCTGTGCCTTGGGCACCTACGGATGCGTACTGCAGTGGTCACTGCTGCAGGGAGATGCTGTCACTAGGACGTTAGTGATTGGGACTTTGGAAAACACCTGTCAAGGCAGGAATTTTCACTTTCCTGACCATCATGTGTTGACAGCGTTCCTCACCATCTGGTCTAGCCCCTAACCAGTGTGTAGGCTGGTCACTGCTCAGCTGCTGGTGTGCACTCTCCGGGAACTTGATGGTAGGGGATTTCTTCCTCGTAGTCTCACCTCCAGCTCTCACCGAGTTCTTGGAACATAATCCAGCTCTCAGCAGATGTTTCTTGGCTGGGACTGTCCCTGGAAGCTGCCCACTTAAGAACTCAGTTGTTGGTAGTAATTAATTCAGCGAGTAGATTTTTGAAACCTTAATCCATGCCAGGCATTTAACCAGAGAATAGTTCCCAGAAATGATGAGAGCTGTGTCTGCCTGCAGCATAGAATGCAGTGGGGAGAGAGACAGGAGAACAGTTGTAAAATAGCTGTTTCAGGTGGGGTGTAGCCAAAAGGAGCCCAGGAGGAAGGAGGCCTGGGAGCTTTCTGGGAGAGGCAGGGAAGGCTTTTCAGAGGAGGTGGCCTTTGAAAGCACCAATTGAGTGTCTCCTTGTGCCACACCCTACTGGGACTCTGAGGCCCCGATGGCCTACCTGGGAGAGCACCTCAGGTGGTGGTGCAGTAGGGCTGAGTGGGCTGGTGGTGGGGGCGGGTAATGGCTGGGGGTGACTGCACAAGGCTGGAGAGGCAGGCAGAGACGGATCAGGAGGGCCCTGTGTGTCGGCTTGGGGAATTCAGGCTTAGTTTGTCTTTTATAAACGTGGACTTGGAGGCAGGCCATCTGCAGTTGGTCGGTCTCCTGGCTGGCGTCCAGAGTCCACCCATTAGCTTTGTCTCAGAAGCACACACCTTGTTTGTACAACTTCCCCTATAAAGGGTATTATCACGCGGTAGGTGGCCTGGAGTGCGGCTTCTGCCCTAGTGGCACGAGGCGGAAGTGCTTGAGGACAGGTCGCCTTGGCCCTTGCAGAGTTTGGTTTTACGGTATGTTGCAAGCGGAAGTACTTTTTCCTTTTTAGGTTTATTTCCCTGAAAACTGACGCCCTGTTCTGAGGTTTAAGGAACTTAACTGGAATTGGGATCAACAAAGACCTCAAAGGTCACTCAACTTCTCCATAGGAGAGGCCACTGGGCTGCTGTCCCTGGCCCCCCACCGCAGAGGAGAGGAGTAGAAAAAGGTTTTCTTTCTCTACTTAAAGCCAGATGGCTTTGGGCTCTGCCAGACCTCACTTCCTTCTTCCTGTGCTTTCTTCTTGGCGGCAATTCAGGGAAGGGTCCTTGGATTGCCATGAATGAAATCCTATAGTTTCACCAAAATGGTTTCCAATTCCAGGCGTGAGTGATGCCTTCTGTTTGCCCAGGCACTGATTTTCCTAGGAAGGATAGAGTTTTTTGTGTTCCTGTTTACTCTGTCATCAGCATTTGCGTTCTAACCCGCATCTCTTTTGTGGCTTACATTCGTGTTTTGCTGTACTAGGAAGTAAAGGGAAGCACACGTTCATTGGGCACCTGCTGTGTGTCAGTCAGGGGCTGGGTTTGCCAATGCCTTCAGCAGACCTTCTCATTTCTTTTGTCCTCAGACCAGCCTGTGAGCTATAGGGTATTGTCCCATCTTACTGCCGAGGAAGAGGGAAGTTGAGGCTCAGAAGGGTTAAGCACCTCATTTGAGGTCGCCTTACTTGGCAAGTGGCAGAGCCAGAATTTCAGCTGGGCCTGCGAGAGGCCCTCAGCTCTGTTTAGCATAGGATTTCCTCTTACATGTGTGGCTTTTTGCTAGTTTGATCTGCTGGAGTGTTGATGATGTTTTGATAATTCTAATGACCTTGACATTGTCAAAGATTAGCTCTTAACTGTGTGCTAAAAATGTTTCTTACTCTATTTTCCTTTTAATTAAAGTGTATGTAGAACTTCCAAATTTGTATATATTTGAATCATCCTGGATTATATCTTACTTTTGTGAATTCTCTTAGAATTCTGTTAGAAACTTGGATTCTTCCCAAGCAGGGGACACACAGAGGGTCTGCAGTAGCCCTGCCTTGGAGGGCTCACGGCTCTGGGGAAGAGCAGCGAGGGCTGTGAAACACTGAAAACGTGTTCACGCGTAGGGAGGCGATGTCCGGATTCTTTCAGATCTTGACCTGAGTTTTTGCTCTATAGGTTGGAGAAACATTTTATTTTTTGCAGCACCTGGGTAATTTCACCTTTTTTTTTTTTTAGACGGAGTTTTCTCTTGTTGGGCAGGCTGGAGTGCAGTGGCATCATTTCAGCTCACTGCAACCTCCACCTCCCGGGTTCAAGCTATTCTCCTGCCTCAGCTTCCCAAGTAGCTGGGATTACAGGCATGCACCACCATGCCCGGCTAATTTTGTATTTTTAGTAGAGATGGGGTTTCACCATGTTGGTCAGGCTGGTCTTGAACTCCTGACCTCAGGTGATCCGCCCGTCTCGGCCTCCCAAAGTGTTGGGATTACTGGCGTGAGCCACCATGCTGGCCTATAATTTCACTTTTGTATTAAATTCTACTTTTGTCTGTATTTTTGCCTTAGTGTAGTACAGTGTGGTTCTAATTTCTAAGAAAAATTGATTATCAATTACTATAACATTGTGATTAAATAATCCTCCTTTACTCACTGGGTCGTATTTCAAGTTTTTATTTTTTATATTTCTTTATATTTATTTATTTATTTTGAGATGGAGTCTCCCTCTGTCACCCAGCCTGGAGTGCAGTGGTGCTATCTCGGCTCACTGCAACCTCCGCCTCCTGGGTTCAAGCGATTCTCCTGCCTCAGCCTCCTGAGTAGCTAGGATTACAGGCGTGCGCCACCATGCCCAGCTAATTTTTGTATTTTTAGTAGAGAGGGGGTTTCACCATGTTGGTCAGGCTGGTCTCAAACTCCTGACTTCGTGATCTGCCCGCCTTGGCCTCCCAAAGTACTGGGATTACAGGCGTGAGCCACCGTGCCCGGCCTATTTATTTATTTTGAAATAGCGTCTCGCTGTGTTGCCCAGGCTGGAGTGCCGTGGCGCTGTCACAGCTTACTACTGTCTTGAACTCCTGGGCTCAAGAGATCTCCCTGCCTCAGCCTTCTCAGTAGCCGGGACTACAGGTGTGCACTACCATGCCTGGCTAATTTTTACTTTTGGTAGAGATGGGGGTCTCACTGTGTTGCCCAGGCTGAATCAAATATTTATATATAGTTGAGTCTATTTCTGAATTCTGCATTTCATTTAATTCCTTCACATTTCTATTTTTGACTCAGCGCTGCACTCTTACTGGCTCCTTCAATCTCTGGGAAGGAGGGAGATTAGTCCCCTCCCTTTCTCTCCTTTGTTTTTCTGGAGACAGGATTGTGCCCTGTTGCCCAGGCTGGAGTGCAGTGGTGATCATAGCTCATTGCTATGAGTCCTTGAACTCCTGGGCTCAAGTGGTCCTCCTGCCCCAGCCTCTTGAGTAACTGGGACTACAGGCATGAGCCACTGCACCTGGCTCCCCTTTTTCTGCTTTTAATGAATTTGCTTTTGCTGTGTTGACACTGAGGCAGGCCAGGCTTCCTAAAGTAGGAGCGTGCAGGCTCCTTACAAAAGCTGACGCCCAAGCAGGAGTGGTTATCATTCTTTCTTCTGTGCTTGAAAACCTTCAGCTCCTCTCTGTTTGATGATAGCAGCTACCAACAAAGTGCCTGTTGGGGGTCAGGTGCCTATTAAATGCTTTTCTTGTGGTACTTGATTTAATTCTCCCAAGGCAATATAGAGCCCAGGAGCGTGTGAGTCCAAAGCCCTGTTCTTTCTGTTGTTCTCTTGTATGGACCAGATTTGAATGCACCACCTGATTTCTTTTTTACTTTGAGACAGAGTTTTGCTCTTGTTGCCCAGGCTGGAGTGCAGTGGCGCGATCTCCGCTCACTGCAACCTCCACCTCCCGAGTTCAAGCAATTCTCCTTCCTCAGCCTCCTGAGTAGCTGGGGTTACAGGCATCTGCCACCACGTGCAGCTAATTTTTTGTATTTTTAGTAGAGATGAGGTTTCACCATGTTGGCCAGGCTGGTCTGGAACTCCTGACCTCAGGTGATCCACCTGCTTCGGCCTCCCAGTGTGCTGGGATTACAGGCGTGAGCCACTGCACCCGGCCATTTTAAAGAAAAATAAAAGATAGCAGTTGATGCCAGTGTTCTCAGTGTGCTGGGGCTGTGCTCTCCGGGCTGGTGTGCCACATACCCTCCCTTCCTCATTTGTCTTAGGCCAGAGAACTTTATTTTTTATTTATTTATTTTTGAGACAGGGTCTCTTTCTGTCATTCAGGCTGGAGTGCAGTGGTGTTATCAGGGTTCACTGCAGTCTTGACCTCCTGGGCGGGCTCAAGTGATCCTCCCACCTCAGCCTTTCAAGTAGCTAGGACCACAGACGTGCCACCACACCCAGCTAATTTAAAATTTTTTTTAAAGACAGAGTCTCCCATTGTTGCCGAGGCTTGCTTTTGAATTCCTAGGCCGAAGCGATCCTCCTGCCTCTACCTCCCAAAATGCTGGGATCACAGGCATGAGCCACCATGCCTGGTTAGGCCAGAGAACTTTATTTTTTATTTTTTTATTTTTTGAAATGGAGCCTCGCCCTGTCGCCCAGGCTGGAGTGCAGTGGCATGATCTTGGCCCACTGCAACCTCCACCTCCTGGGTTCAAGTGATTTTCCTGCCTCAGCCTCCATGAGTAGCTGGGATTGTAGGCATGCACCACCACACCTGGCTAATTTTTTTTTTTTTTTTTTTTTGAGACAGAGTCTTGCTCTGTTGCCCAGGCTGGAGTGCAGTGGCATGATCTCGGCTCACTGCAACCTCCACCTCCTGGGTTCAAGCAATTCTCCTGCCTCAGCTTCCCTAGTAGCTGAGATTACAGGCGCACACCACCACGCCTGGCTAATTTTTGTATTTTTAGTAGAGATGGGGTTTCACCATGTTGGCCAGGCTGCTCACAAACTGCTGACCTCTCGACCTGCCCGCCTCAGCCTCTCAAAGTGTTGGGATTACAGGTGTGAGCCACTGCGCCCGGCCATGCCAGAGAACTTTAGACATGCCCTTAGATGTGTGCGTGTGATTAATGGATTTTGTTTGTTTGTTTGTTTTTTTAGAGATAGTGTCTTTCTCTGTTACCCAGGCCAGAGTGCGGTGGTGTAATCATGGCTCACCACAGCCTTAAACCTCCCAGGCTCAAGTGATCCTCCCACCTCAGTCTTCAGAGTACCTGGGACTGCAGGCATGTGCCACCACCCCCAGTTGATTTTTTTTAGTCTTCTGTAGAGACAGGGTCTTGTTACGTTGCCCACGCCGCACTGACGGTTTTGACTCTACTCACTCAAACCTCGGAGGTTGTGGTCTTTACTCTTCCTTTATTGATTATCTTCACTGAGCTGGCCTTCTGACCTGGGTTTGTGTAATCCTAAACCAAGCCTTTCTAACCTACGTGTGGTCTCCTTTGGGGTCCCGTAGATCCCAGCTCTGCTGTTAAACAGCAGTGTGATCTTAGACCCGTTTCTTAGTCTTGCCGAGCCTTGGTTTCTTCCGTGGTAAAGGGGATACTACACCCAGCCTCGTAGATGTGAGTAAGCGTGACTGAAACATTTGTGGAGAGGCCTGGCTGCTGCAGATGGCATACATAATTTATTTTGTTGTTGTTTTCCGTCTTAATGAAGATATCTTAGGATTTTAATGCTGTCTCAGAACAAGTAGATCCTTGACTTATGTATGGGTTATGGATTCACATACTTTTGACAGATTATCATTTCACCACTCCCCCAAAAGAAAAAACCCAACCGCCGCCCCCCAAGCCCAGTCCTCACGCTCCTGGTGCTGCCCTGGGGATGGAGATGTGACTGGTAGGGAGCGTGATGATTATTTTTACTTCGGGTGCATCCTTTGTTTGGGTTATCTTCCTGCTATGTTATATCATGACAGTGTATGTTAAAACTCTAGCTTCTGGGCCAGGCGTGGTGGCTCATGCCCAAAATCCCAGCATTTTGGGAGGCCGAGGTGGGTGGATTGCTTGAGGTCAGGAGTTTGAGACCAGCCTGGCCAACATAGGGAAACGCTGTCTCTACTAAAAATACAAAAATTAGCTGGGCGTGGAAGCGCATGCCTGTAATCCCAGCTACCTGGGAGGCTGAGGCACAAGAATCGCTTGAACCCAGGAGGCAGAGGTTTGCAGTAAGCCCAGATGGCGCCACTGCCCTCCAGCCTGGGCGACAGAGCGAGAGTCTGTGTCAAAAAACAAAAACCACTTCTAGCTTCTGGACTTGAATCAAAACTTGGGTATGTGGAACCTTTTCAAGGCTTTCTCCCTTAAGTGAGATCAGACCATTTCAGCTGTGTGTCAGAGGTGTGGCATCTTTGAATTTTATATCCACTTTAATTTCCATGTTTGTGTTTTTTCTAGTTTCTCCTTGGACCAAGATGACTGATGGAAAACTCTCCACCTCTACAAATGGCGTAGCCTTCATGGGTATTCTGGATGGTCGACCAGGAAACCCCCTTCAGAACCTGCAACACGTCAATCTCAAGGCGCCCCGACTCCTCTCCGCGCCTGAGTACGGGCCCAAGCTGAAACTCAGGGCTTTAGAAGACCGGCACAGCCTCCAGTCCGTGGACTCGGGGATTCCTACCCTGGAGATCGGGAACCCGGAGCCTGTACCCTGCAGCGCGGTCCACGTGAGGAGGAAGCAGTCCGACTCCGACCTCATCCCCGAGCGGGCCTTCCAGAGCGCCTGCGCGCTGCCATCCTGTGCGCCACCAGCTCCTAGCAGCACCGAGCGGGAACAGAGCGTGCGCAAATCCTCCACGTTTCCCAGGACAGGCTATGACTCGGTAAAGCTCTATAGCCCGACCTCCAAAGCCCTGACCCGCAGCGATGATGTCTCCGTCTGCAGCGTGTCCAGTCTTGGGACAGAGCTGTCCACCACGCTGTCCGTCAGCAATGAGGACATCTTGGACCTTGTGGTCACGAGCAGCTCCAGTGCCATTGTGACCCTGGAGAATGACGATGACCCACAGTTTACCAACGTCACCTTGAGCTCTATCAAGGAAACCCGTGGCTTACACCAGCAGGACTGTGTTCATGAAGCTGAGGAGGGGAGTAAATTGAAAATATTGGGGCCATTTAGTAACTTCTTTGCAAGGTAATGCCATCTTTGCCCTCTAGAAGATCGTGGTGGTTGAGTCCAGACCAGTCTCCTTGTTCCTGTCTCAAATGTGTTGTGTGTTCTCTGTGGTGTTAGGCAGGCACTGTCTCACACAGATAATTGGGTCTTTTCCCAGAAGCCCGGAATCCTGTGGGATTGTGAGAACTGGTCTGTTGGGGATTCTGTTCTTCGGTGTCCCTGGCTCATTTGCAGTCTGTTGTCACATCTCTGCCTCTGACCTGCTGTGGCTGTCCCACAGGTGGCCAGTGTTACCAAATCAGCAGCCTGAGCCTCTGCGGGGCCCTGTGCACTCATAACTTAACGTTTCTTGGGCCAAGCAGAGGGCACTGGTGAGGGTGACGCCAGTGAGTAACTCTCATTTCTACTGCCAGCCCCTGCTGGCATAGTGCAGTGCTGGCATGCCGGGTGTTCCAGCCGTGTCCCCGTGCCCCTGGATGGCTGTGCTCTCGTGTGCCTGTCCTGGCCCTGCCTCTGCTGTGGAGGTGTGTGCTCTGCTGCACTGCAGCCCCATGCATTCCCAACGTGCTGGGCCTGGCCATGCACTCCGTCCCCATGGGGCCTTGTCACCTGAGTGCTGGAGTTCCTGTGTCTCCCTGAAGCCCTGGGGGGGCCGCGCCTTCAGCTTCTGCCTCTCGTTTGTGCTCTCATGCTTTTGTTCAACAAGTGCCTATTTCCTAGGCCCTGTTCTAGGCTGGTCATGTGGGGTAATACGGTGAGAGAAACGATGTTGGGTCATGACTTAGGGTGGGCTTGTGGCCTGGGGGTGGTGGGAGTGGACACCTTCGTCACACAAGCAAATGTGAACTCCCGAACGGTGGCGTGCTGGGAGGAAGGGCACAGGGGCTGTGGAGAGTACGTGTAGAATTGAGATCTGTGGCTGGGTGCAGTGGGTCACTCCTGTAATCTCAACACTTTGGGAGGCTGAGGTGGGTGGAGCACCTGAGGTCCGGAGTTCGAGACCAGTCTGGCCAACATGGCAAAACCCCGTCTCTACTAAAAATACAAAAATTAGCCAGGTATGGTGGTGCACGCCTGTATTCCCAGCTACTTGGGAGGAGGAGGCAGAGGTTGCGGTGAGCCGAGATCGCGCCACCGCACTCCAGCCTGGGCGACAGAATGAGACTCCATCTCAAAAAAACAAACAAACAAAAAAAGAATCGTGATCTGCTCCATAGCTGCTCTTTGGAGGGCTCTGGGGCCGGGGCTTGGCAGGTGGGAACATTTCTGCAGTTGACCCTGGCTGCCCCGTGTGTGTGTCTCTAGCAGAACCCACGTCAGACATTGCAGTACCGGGTGTCCCTTTGAGATGGTGTGGTGTGCCGGCTGGAGTCAGCTGGCGACTCTGACTGTGGCCAACACATTACCACTGCCTTAGTTGCTTCATCAACTAAAGGGGATCATCTCGGACCAGCCTAAGGCCAGTCCTGAGTGAGATGATCTGTGGTGTGGTCTGTGGTTTTGTCGGGAAACTTTCTTCTCGAATGTGCTGACAGATAGGTATCTTGGTACCATGAGCACAGTTCCTGGTCTCAGAATGCAGTAACTCAGCGATTGCCCTCAGTGGGAGGAACCTGGGAACTTTGGGGGAGATCTTGTCACTATCCCTTCTGAGGCTGTAGCCATATCGCGGTGTTGCTGTGGTTAGATTTGTGTGGCGGAACTTCCCCGTGCTCAGACGAGTGTGTTCAACTGTCCCTGCTTATGAACAACACCTGGTACCCGTTCCACGCGGACCTCAGGATCCATCCAGACATACAGAATCAGAAGCTCAGCGAGAAGGGCCTGAGGATGGGTTTTCAGAAATGTGGGAAACCTTGCTTGAAATGGGTTTGGCCGGGAAACAGCATGGTGGAAGGAGTGTGGCTTTGGAATTCAACCGACCTGTGCCATGTCCAGCTCTGTGCCCTTGAACAAGTTCCTTCACCTCCCAGTCAGTTTTCTCACCCCTAGAACCGTGCGCGGAGGAGCGTGGCCCGTGTGCCCATTATGCTGTTGACGAACGCCACACGCTCACCTTTGTCCTCGCACGTTCTGTCTCCGCTGCCTCACCTGAGAAGTGGGGATAATGAGCCCTTCCTTCCGTGGCAGTGGGGATTAAAATGGGTTAGCATGTGAGAAATTTAATGCAGATCCAGACACGTAGTAAACTTTTAAGTATGAGTTGCTTGTGGCGATCATGGCCACGTTGCTCTTTCTGCCGCCGTTGTGATTCAGCTGACTGAGCTGTGTATATTGGATTCTCTTCCCCTTTGAAAGGAAGCATCGTTGGTTATGCAATTTCTAGATCATTTCTAAAGCTACCGTTTCTTGGAAGTCATACTCAGCTTTGTGCTGCAGGAAACAAGTGTCTCTTCTTTTATTCCTTGGTTCCTTATCCTCGTTGTGATGGCTGTGACATTGTTATTGTGAGCCTCTCTGAACTACCTTTGGGAAGATAATGGAATATAATGAAAAATGACTTAAAACAAGTGATGACATGGGCAGAGTCTAGGGTTCTTTTGTCCTAGAGTCTTAAAAATGTTAGAGAAGAGTTTCCATGTAGAGTTCCTTTGAGGGGAAAGGGTTTCTGTGCCAGAATCTTTAGAGCTCACTAAACATTTTACAGGTGAGTAAATGGAGTTACAGTGAATGTTCATCAATTCAGCCCAGGGCCTGGCCCACAGCAGGTACCCAGAGGACTGTGGGCATCGTGAGTCTTTGCTGAGGGCAGGGCTGGGGCTAGAGCTGGTCCTCTGGGGTTCCCAGCCCTGGCTTCTGAGCCATCCTGTTTCCCCACTTTGTCCCCTCACTCTCTTGCCTTCTGGTTTCCTTGTCCTCAGTGAATCAGTCTCTGGGTTATGGAAGGACGTGTGAACAGTGTAGTCTAGGAGAACATGCTCGGAGGGAAGGGTGGAGACGGGCAGGGATGACCTTGGCTGCTTGATGAGGTGGGAGCAGGGGAGTGACAGGAGGGCTGGCCAAGCCTGACCACAGCCTCCCAGAAGCGCAGGCCCGGCTTGCATTTGTCCTTCACCCACACTGTAATGAGCACTTCTGTCCCAGACTCCAGCCTGAGCTTTAGAGAGAGTCCCTCCCCTTATGGCGCTCATAGTCTGATGGGGCAGACAGATAAGGCATTTCACGGGCTATGGGGGCGGGCACAAGTGCTGTTACTGTGGGTGGGGAGGGGGTGGCACCGCAGCCGAGAGTGCTGGTTCAGGAGTTCATGCTGGCTGGGTTTCTCGTGAGTCCTCCTATTTAATCGCTGTGGGCCTTGGGCAAGTTACCTCTCTGAGCCTTAAGTAGGGGATAAAACTACTGTATAAGGTTAGAGATCAAATAGAGCATTTAACTTCTTGGCACTCCGGAAGTAGTAGCTTTCTGTGGTTCTAACAGAAACATTATCATTTCTAAAAAATACTTTTTCTAAAGCTTTCTCTAGTTCTCACTCCCATATTGTGCTTGCTTCAGTCAAGCTCTTGCTGAAGTCAAGAGCAGGGTCTCTCCCACTGGCCGATGTTTTGGGGTAGATGCGTCTTTGTTGTGGGCGGCTGTCCTGTGCATTGGAGGATGCCTTACAGCTTCCCTGGCTCCGACCCACGGGATGCCAGCAGCACTCCCCAAGTTGTGAGAGCCAAAAATGTCTCCAGACATTGCCAGATACCCCAGGGAGGGGCTGACAGAATCACCCAGCCTTTGAGAATAAGTGTTGGGATTTGCTTCTTTGAAGGAAATTTACTAATGTAATTTGAGGACGATTTTCATTTGTGTAGAAGAGTGGGACCATGTTAAGGGATCATATGAGCCCAGTGTAGATTAACAGTATTTATTTAGAAACCCAGACAGCAAGTGTAAGAGAAAGTCAGTAACATGCTTGTGGTGGGTTTATTTTCCACAGAAGATAGGGTTGGGCTTTGTGAAGCCAGGGGTTTAATCTCCTAATCCACATTGGTCTGGAAGTTGAGAATTAGATTTGACCAAGTACATCGTCTCTTGTGTAGCCCCTTTACGGATCTCTCAGATAATCTGAGTGCCCTTTGCTAAGGAGAAGTGTTTGAACTGCATTGAAGGATCAGGAGCTTGCCCAGTGAAGGTGTGGGGCAGAGGGAACAGCTTGTGGCAGGCTGGGAGGTGGGGGCACCTGGCTGTGTTTAAAGAACTGGAATGATGGATTTTTCCGGACCACTTCCCGACCTGGCTGGGAGCTCCTTGGGGGCAGAGCCTGTGTCTGGTTCACCCTGGCACCAAGTGTAATTCACAGGCAGAGAAGAATATTGGTGGTTGAGAGCAGGGGCTGCTCTGACCCAAGTTTGAACCTCAGTTCTGCCATTTTTGTACTGTGTGATCTTGAGGAGGTCACTTAGCCCCTGCGATCGCCAGTGTGTACTTGAGTGACATGGGGTAATGGCACCTCTTGTAAACAGTTAATATGAGGGGGCCGGGTGCGGTGGCTCATGCCTGTAATCCCAGCACTTTGGGAGGCTGAGGTGGGCAGATCACCTGAAGTCAGGAGTTTGAGACCAACCTGGCCAACATGGTGAAACCTCATTTCTACTAAAAATACAAAAATTAGCTGGGTTTCTGTATCCTGCACTGAAAGCTGACTAATTCAAGTAAGTACCGTGAGTTTTCATTTACATGTGAGGAAACTGAGGCAAGGGGTGGTTAAGTGGTTTGTCCAAGGATACAGGGAAATAGGAACAAGTTCATGCTTCTGAGGGTTGTTGGGATTAAATGGGGAGGAAATGTACATACATGGGACGCACTGGGCACATCGCAGCATGTTAATGTCTAGTCTATGTTTTTATGTTGCCTGACTGTAATTTACTCCTGCTTTGGCCATCTTAGAATTAGCTCTAGTGACCTGAGATGGAACATTGTAACTATGCCTTTTCTGTGCAAACAGTTTGTTAATATTGCTGGTGACTTTGCCCTGGCATTATGGATATACAGATGGCACCTGCTATGGACCTGCATTGCTGCTGGTGTGTATGAGCTTGTATGTTGCTGTGATCCTGAGAGGGAGTGCTGGGTGGTGGTCTCTTGATGTCACTGTTTGCTGGTGTGTGGTCCTCGGTAAGGCAGGTGCTCAGTCTCTCTGGGGCTTAGTGTCCTTGTTTGCAGAATGAGCTGAGGGGTACGTACTTTACATTAGAGTTGCGGCGATGAAAGGACCATTCTAATCAAGGTGTTGGGCTGCAGTTGTCAGGGAGTAAGGAAGCAAGAAGATTCGAAGGTGGGCAGACTAGTGCTGGAGGCCACTGGGTCAGTCCCTCTACTGTGTGATGAGGATCTGGAGAGAGATGTGAACAAAGCAGCAAAGCCCGTTGACAGCTCAGAAAGAAGTAACAGGGCTGAGATGCCAGCTGGCCTTCGAAAGTGCTGTCCACCCGCCTGAGGGTGGAGGTGGTGAGGGATCAGCTTGTGCAAAGTCATGGGGGCAGGAGAGAGCCCAGCCTTCCTGGGAAGGTGCCGTAGCATGAGGCGCTCAGGAGGGGCAGGGGTAGGAGGGGAGACCACAGAGATGGTAGACGCCCAGATGGGGCAGGACTTTGAGGACGACATTTAGTCTCAAGACTCAAAGCCTGTCACAGCCAGACTGCATAAGATGAAAGTCTGCACAGGAGCGGATGGGCTGCCTTGATGAGAATGAGTTAAACTGTTAGCTGGATAGAGTTGAGATGAGCAGCTCCCTTTGGAGAATGCAGTTGCCCTGTTCTGAGCTCAGCTTCTGGGCCAGGCACTTCTGTCGCTTTCTAAAGCATTTCACAGCTCACTGGAGACAGACTCAGAAAGGCTAACTGCACAGACTGCAGAGCTGCGATTTGAACATTCACTTGTTAACTCCAAAGTCCATGCTGTTTCTAAAAAAGACAACACCCTGTCTCTTGTAACATGTGTAACGTGATCAGAAAGGGGGAAGTGCGGGGCTGGGAGAGCAAAAGGAGATGAATGAGAAATCAGAGGTGCAATGGTGATTTTGCAGGGCGGTGTTGGAACTGTGATGCTCTGCAAAAGGGAGGAAGCGAGCAGAGCTCTAAGCCGGGTCAGGGTCTAGCTGGGTGGCGTCTGTCCGGGCACTGAAGCTCCTTGGTGGGAAGACGGTTGGAGAATTGCTTCTTGAGCCATCGCGGGCCAGCAGGATGAGAATGCCTTTTCCTCCTCCAGTTACTCCAGGCATTTGAAAGTGTGGGAGTGAGGCTGGAGTCAGCCGTTTGTCACGGGGCCTGCTGCTGGGTTGGTGGCCTTTGTGGGCTGGCCATCGACAGGGGAGGGAGATACAGTAGAATCACTGCAGGTGCCTCCTGGAGGCCTTGAGCCAGAGAGAAGCAGAAAGGACTTTAGCAAGCAAGGAACTCGTAGGATGGTTCCCATTATTCCTCACTAAAAGTCTATGAGGGGGCCAGGCGCAGTGGCTCACGCCTGTAATCCCAGCACTTTGGGAGGCTGAGGCGGGTAGATCACTTGAGGTCGGGAGTTGGAGACCAGCCTGGCTAACATGGCGAAACTCCATCTTTACTAAAAATACAAAAATTAGCTGGGCTTGGTGGTGGGTGCCTGTAATCCTAGCTACTTGGGAGGCTGAGGCAGGAGAATGGCTTGAATCTGAGAGGTAGAGGTTGCAGTGAACTGAGATAGTGCCATTGCACTCCAGGCTGGGCAACAGAGTGAGACTCCATCTCCAAAAAAAAAAAAAACCTGTGAGGGGTCTCAGTGATTTCGGAAACTGGCCTTTGTTTAAGTGTTTGCACAGGCACACACTTACTCTGGGTCTTCTTTTTTATTTATTTTTAAAATGTTTTTGAGATGAAATCTTGCTGTGTTGCCTAGGCTGGAGTGCAGTGGTGTCATCTCGGCTCACTGCAACCTCTGCCTCCCGGGTTCAAACGCTTCTCCTGCCTCAGCCTCCTGAGTAGCTGGGATTACAGGTGCGCACTACCACACCCAGGTAAGTTTTGTATTTTGAATAGAGACAGGGTTTCTCTATGTTAGCCAGGCTGGTCTCGAACTTCTGACTTCGTGATCTGCCCGCCTCAGCCTCCCAAAGTGCTGGGATTACAGGCGTGAGCCACCACGCCCGGCCTCACTCTGGGTCGTCTGACACTGTTTTGATTCCCCCATCCCGAGGGATTAAATTCCCTGGTTGTGTGTTTTTGTACCAGGTGGATTTTCAGCAGATTGATTACCTCTCGATTGCAGAATGTCTGCACTTCTTTTCCAGCCACTGGTTTACACAGCTGGGTTCTTACCAAGCATTGATTCAGCACCTGGGAGGTCACTGGTAACCTTGACCCGAGACGTTTCTTTAAATCTGGGTGAGCTTCAATTTGAGGTTGTGGTTCATGTCTGGAAACATGCAGCTGATGGTGTCACTGCACACATGGTTGAAAGGAGCCATAGGACGCCAGCTGTGTATGTGCTGGACACACACAGGAGGTTGTCTGGTTACTACTGCAGATGCTGTCTGCAGACCTGCCAGTGGTCCAGCCACGTTCAGAAAGAACAGCTGTGCTTGTAAGGGTGTGCTGCTTCCCTGTGCTTTCCTGGGCTTTGTTTTCTTTTGGCAGCAAATCACAACCATAATGATCCATTTTTTGAGTGGCTGCTGTGTACCAAGCACTGTGCTAGGTTCTTAAATATGTTTCTCATCATACATTCTTTAAAAAAAAATTGACTGAGCACCTGCCATATGCCAAGGCACTGTTCTAGGTGCTTGGGATTCATTTGTGAACAAAACAGAGCCCCTGTCCTCGCAGAGCTTAAGTTCTAGCAGAGGGTGCTGATGGTAAACACAGTGAGTAGATGGAGGATATGTGTTGGCAGACTTAAGAGCTACGGAGAAAGCCAGCAAGCAGAGGTGGTACGAGGTCCTGGGAGGAGCGGAGAAGACAAGTTACACAATGAATAGACTGGTCAGGATAGGCCTGAAGGAGAAGAAGAGATTGAAGCAAAGACTTGAAGGTGGCCAGGCGGGTGGCTCACGCCTGTAATCCCAGCACTTCGGGAGACCAAGGTGGGCAGATCACCTGAGGTTGGGAGTTCAAGACCAGCCTGGCCAAGATGGTGAAACCCTGTCTCTACTAAAAATACAAAAATTAGCTGGGTGTGGTGGCATGCACCTGTAATCCCAGCTACTCGAGAGGCTGAGGCAGGAGAATTGCTTGAACCATTCGGGCTTGAACCCTGGCAGAGGTTGCAGCGAGCCAAGATCGCCGCCACTGCACGATCTTGGGCGACAGAGCAAGACTCTGTCTGGAAATTAAAAAAAAAAAAAAAGACTTGAAGATGTCAGTGACAAAGTTAACCAAGCAGGTACTTGGAAGGAGAGTGATCCAGCAAGGGAGAAGGATGCAGGCAGGCCTGATGCATTTGAGCACAGATGCCCTGGGGATGGACAGAGAGAAGGAAGGGATAGGGTCAGTGGGACCAGATTCTGTATGGGCATGTAGGCCACTGTGTGATGTTGGCTTTGACTTAGACTCAGTGGGGAGCCACTGCAGAATTTTTGTCTTTTCGAGATGGGGTCTTGCTGCATTGGCCAGCCAGGAGTCCAGTGGCCATTCACAGGTGCAGCCATAGCGCAGTGTGGCCTTGAACTCCTGGGCTCAAAAGGTCATCCTGCCTCAGCCTCAGAATAGCTGGGCCTACCACACCACTGTGCCTGGCTCTACTGCAGAATTTTGAGCAGAGGAGTTGCCGTGGTGTTTTGCTGCTGCATAACAAATAACCACACATTTGGTGGCTTGAAACAACATGGCTGTCCATCATGGTGTGGCTGGGTTCCCCTCGGGCACTTATCAGGATGAAACAGCATGTTGGCGGCTGTGTCCCCGTCCCAGTCTTGGCTAAGGAATTGTCTGCTTCCAGGCTCACTGAGGCTGTTGGCAGAGCTCGTTGTGGCTATAAACTGAGCTCATCATTTCCCTGATTGCTGTCAGCTGAGGGTCACTTGCAGCTCCTAGAAGTCATCCAAATTCTTTGCTGTGTGGCCCCTCCATATTGAAAACCAGCAACAAGGCTTCTTTTGTGTGGAGTCCATCTCACACTCCAAATCTCTTCCCAGAGAGAACACTGATTGCTTTTAAGGGCTCACTGAAATTGTGTAAGGCTCATTGAGAATTACCTCCCCTCCCCTCCCCTCCCCTCCCCTCCCTTCCCCTCCCCCTTCCCCTTCCCCTTCCCCTTCCCCTTCCCCTTCCCTTTTCTAGAGGCAGAGTCTCGCTTTGTCGCCCAGGCTGGATTTCACTGGTGCCATCATAGCTCACTGCAGACTTGAACTCCCAGGCTCAAGCCATCCTTGCACCTCAGCCTCTGGAACAACTAGGATCACAGACGTGCGCCATCACACACAGCTAACTTTTAAAATTTTTTGTAGAGACATGGTCTCACTTTGTTGCCCAGGCTGGTCTCGAACTCCTAGCCTCAAGTGATCCTCCTGCCTTGGCTTCCCCAAGTGTTGGGATTGAGCCACCATGACCCACTGTGCCTGGCCTACCTCTGTTTCTTAAAGTCATCTGTGCCATTTGATGTAACCTGATCACAAAGTCACTGTCCCATCATATTCATAGTTTATGCCTGTGTTCAAAGGGAAGGGTATGAACATCAGGGAAAGGGAATCTCAGAAGTCTGCCTGCCATAGGAGTAGTGATTTCATTGAGTCCTAAACAGAATGCCCTGAGGTGCTGTACTGAGAGGAGGCTTCCGGGCAGGGGAAGGGCAGAGCAGGGAGTCTGAGGAGGCTGTTGCAAGAGTCCAGACAAGAGGTGATGATGGCTTCACCTGGGTGGCAGCTGTAGGGAGGGTGCGATTTGAAGAATGGATGTGGGTGTGGAGAAAAGAAAGGAGTCAAAGATGACTCTGAGACTTTCGGCCTCAGCCAGTGGAAAATAGAGTTGCCAAGTTGGAGTGAAGATGAGGGGTGGAGTTTGAGACATCTTAGACATTTGCAGGAAGGAGGTGGAGTAGGTGACTAGAGAGGATCCTGGCAGGAGTGGGGCTGGATGGGAGGTATACATTGACTTGTTGGCATTGGAGGTGGTTTGAAACCAGGTGAGGTCTCCTTGGAAACAGGCGGACAGAGAAGAGGACCAAGGAGTGAGCCTGAGGCCTGCCGGCACCAGGAGATCTGGGAGGAGAGGAGGAAGCAGCAAAAGCGAGAAGGCAGGGCTGGTGAGCTGGGAGGGCACGAGTGTGGGGTCTGGAAGCTGGGTGCCGGCCCGGTGAGCATGGGTGTCAACAAGGGGAGGGGCAACTGGGCAGAGGTTGCTGAGAGGGCAGGGCAGATGAGGACTCAGAATTGACTGTTCAAGCACTTTGGGAGACCGAGGCAAGTCAGGAGTTCGAGACCAGCCTGGCCAACATGGTGAAACCCCATCACTACTAAAAATACAAAAATTATCTGGTGTGGTGGCGGGTGCCTGTAATACCAGCTACTTGGGAGGCTTAGGCATGAGAATCTCTTGAACCTGGGAGGCAGAGCTTGCAGTGGGCTGAGATTGCACCACTACACTCCAGCATGGGCGACAGAGCGAGACTCTGTCTCAAAAAAACAAAAAAGGAAAAAATGAAAAGAATTGACTGTTTAGCAATGAGGAGGCCATCAGTGACCTTTGAGCAGAGCTGTTTTCGTGAAGTGGTGCAGGCAAAAGCGAAACTGGAGTAAATATTTAAGAGAGAATGGGGCCGGCATGGTGGCCTCACACCTGTAATCCCAGCACTTTGGGAGGCCAGGGTGGGTGGATCACTTTAAACTGGGAGCTTGAGATTGGCCTGGGCAAAATAGTGAGACCCCATCTCTACAAAAAAATAGAAAAAATTATCTGGGTGTGGTGGTGTGCACCTATAATCCCAGCTACTTGGGAGGCTGAGGTGGGAGGATCACTTGACCCAGGAGGTCGAGGCTGCAGTGAGCTGCACATTGTTATCACCAGGGGTCTGCTGCACTGGTCCACTGCAGTGATCGCGCCACTGCATTCCAGCCTGGGTGACAGAGTAAGTCCCAAAGAGACTGGGAGAAGAGAAGTTGGAAGCAGTGAGCAGATGATTCTTTTGGTGGCTTTGCTACAGAGTGGAGCAGAGAATGGGGTGATAGCTGGAGGCAGAAGTGGTGTGATTTTTTTTTTTCCTTTTTTAAGATTGGAGAAATACAGGGTTTTGTTTGTTTGTTTGTTTGTTTTTAATTTGAAAACAACCTAGTAAGAGAATAAGAGGTGAACATATCCGGGAGAAGAGAGAATCACTGGAGCTTTGTCCTTGAGTTGCATCTGAAGGAGTGGGATCTAGAGTTCAACAGAGAAGTGGCTTCAGCTGGGGAGAGTCCAGCGTAGCAGGCGCCTGGGAGAGGATGGGGCACAGGTAGATGGGGAGGAGGGTGCTTGCTCTTGCAGGCACTCTCGTGCGTGCTCTCTCCCTCTCCTTCCCTCTATCTCTCCCTTTTCCTCTTCCTCCTCTCCCTTTCCCTCTCCCTCTCTCCCCCTTCCATGCTTGTAGTCTATTGTTTGTAGTGTTGCTTCATTGTTTGTGTGTGAGTGTACTTTTTTTTTTTTTGAGACAGAGTCTCACTGTATTGCCCAGGCTGGAGTGCAGTGGTGTGATCTCGGCTCAATGCAGTCTCTGCCTCCCAGGTTCGAGCGATTCTCCTGCCACAGCCTCCTGAGTAGCTGGGATTACAGGCATGTGCCACCACACCCAGCTAATTTTTGTATTTTTAGTAGAAATGGGGTTTCACTGTGTTGGCCAGGCTGGTCTTGAATTCCTGACCTCAAGTGATTCACCCACCTCGGCCTCCCAAAGTGCTGGGATTACAGGCATGAGCCACCGTGCCCGGCCTGAATATAGATTTTTAATTTCAACATATTTACTTTTTAAAAAATAGACTTTATTTTTTAGAGCAGTTGTAGGTTTACAGCAAAATTAAGCAGAAAGGATAGAATTCCATGTATCTCCTTTTTACCCTCATGTGCACAGCCTCCCCTCTCATCAGCAGCCCACACTGGAGGAGTCCATTTGTTACTGTCGATGAGTGCACACTGGCTGACACATCATTATCACCAGGAGTCCAGAGTCTACATCAGGGGCCACCCTGGGTGCTGTGCACTCTGTGGGTTTGGACAGGTGTATAATGACATGTATCTGCCGTGGCCGTATCACACTGAGGAGTTTCACTGCCCCCAAATCCTCTGTGATCCACCTGTCCGTCTCTCTTTTTCTCCTTACCCCTGGAAACTACTGATCTTTTTACTGTCTCCATATTTTTGCCTTTTCCAGAATGCCATACAGGTGGAAATCATTTTCAGACTGGCTTCTTTTACTTAGTAATGTAAATCCGAGTCTCTTCATGTCTTGATAGCTCATTTCTTTTTAGCACTCAATGATGTTTCACTGCATGTATGTACCGTAGTTTATCCATTCACTGCTGAAGGACATCTTAGTTGCTTCCAAGTGTTGGCAATTATGAATGAAACTGCCATAATCATCTGTGTGAAGATTTTTGTGTGGACATAAGTTTTCAGCTCCTTTGGGTAAATACCAAGGCGTGCAGTGGCTAGATTATATGGTAAAGTATGTTTAGTTTTGTAAGAAACCAGCAAACTGTCTTCCAAAGGGGCGATACCATTTGACTCCCCCTAGCAATGAATGAGAGTTTCTGTTGTTCCACATCCTCCCCAGCGTTTGCTGTTGTCAGTGGAAGTTCTTGTTCGATTGCTCTGGGTTTTTGTTTTGTTTTGTTTTTGGTGAAGTAGGAAGCAGGGTCTCGAGGATGGGTGTCTTAGTCCGTTTGAGCTTTTTTTTTTTATTTTTACTTACTTATTTATTTTTTGAGACAGAGTTTTGCTCTTGTTTCCCAGGCAAGAGTGCAATGGCACGATCTCGGCTCACCGCAACCTCCGCCTTCCGGGTTCAAGCGATTCTCCTGCCTCAGCCTCCCTAGTAGCTGGGATTACAGGCATGTGCCACTGCGCCCGGCTAATTTTGTATTTTTAGTAGAGATGGGATTTCTCTGTATTGGTCAGGCTGGTCTGGAACTCCCGACCTCAGGTGATCTGCCCGCCACAACCTCCCAAAGTGTTGGGATTACAGGCGTGAGCCACCACGCTGGGCCTTTTTAAAAATTTTAAACATAATATTGTAGACGAGGTGGCTTGTAAACAACAGAAATTTGTTTCCCACAGTTCTGGAGGTTGGGAGGCGTAAGATCAAGGTGCCAGCACGTTCAGTGTCTGGTGAGCTGTTGAACATGTTTTTTTATAAGGGCACTAATCCCACTGGGGAGGGCTCCACCCTCATGACCTAGTCACCTCCCAAAGGCTTCATTTCCTAATACTGTCAACCTGAGGGTTAGGATTTCAACATGTGAATTGGGTGGGGGCACAAACCCTGGGGTTGTAGCAGTGGGGATGGTGTGCTGGGTTGGAAGCTGTGTGAAAGCCATCAAGGCGTGTGGGAGAATGGATAGAGAGGGAAGGAAGCGTTGCTGGGGGGCAGCAAGGGCCCTGCCAGGTGATCAGGGACCAGTCAGCGTGCTGCGCGTCTTTCTCCAGCCATGTTTTTTGCACAGGTACACGTGCAGGGCAGGCTTGTCTTTGAGCTAAGTGTGTACAGGGAAGGGAGAGAGAGGCAGGGCTCAGGGACGTGTGAGGGTGATTACATTGGGGCATGGATTCTCCGGGCGGTGGAAGGAGGGTGGATTAGAGAAGCAGGATGGAGACCCTGAAGCCTGGAGGGTAGTGGGGGGTCGTCACCGTGTGGGCGGGGAGGCTCCAGTCACACAGCCGGCTGGGAGTGGAACCTGCAGGGTCAGTTTCCACCACGTCTGACGTAGGCTCCCCCCGGGGCCGTTGCATTGCTGATTGAGCCGCATCTGGTGAGCCTGGTCCAGGAGTGTTGGAGAAAGGAAGTGGAGGTCTTCATTCCACTCCTCCCGGGTGCTGGGTGGGGAGAGGGAGGCAGCAGTGCCGTCCCGGGCGTTGTGGTGGTGGGCGCTACTTTGCTGGGCTGGCCTTGCCGAGACACAGCTTCTTCCCATGGTGTAAGAGCCTCCCCATTTGTGAACAGCACCCCATCCTCAGGGAGAGCTTGTCTGGGGGAGGACCGTGGGGATCAGCCCTGACTGTTGGCTGTGCAGATCCCTCTTCTGGGGGCTGCCTGGTGGCCCCAGTGCTAGGAGCTGCATGAGACAGTGGTGCCATGCTCGGCCACCCTGCCCTTGGGTGGACATAACCTCACATGCTCCTCTGGAGAGGGCCAGGCCAGGATAGCAAGGGGGGAAGTCAATGCCAAGAGGAAACATCTGGGAGGAACAGGGATCGTGGTCACACGAGCGTGAGGCGCCACTTCCTCTTCTTCAGTCCTTGGCCCTCTCCAGGGGATCCCAGCCTCACTCCCAGCTGGCTGCCCACAGCAGGTGTCCCCTTGGCCTTCCCACCAGGCACCAGCCTGGCAGCTCCCCCTCCCCAGGACCAGGTCTGCAGAGAGGTGGGGCTCGCTCATTCAGGGACGCCTTCTCACTGCTTCTCTGAGGATCCACATCCCTAGATCATTTCTGCAGATGTTTAGCCACTGCCAGGAAGCCCTCTCCAGCCTCCATGAGAGGACCAGCCTTGCCTCGCGGGCCTTCTGTGTGCCTCGTGGATCCCGCATTCACCCAGGGGGCACAGGAGAGATGCCGGGGTGAGCATGTCTGTCACCACAGCTGTGCAGGGGCTGTGGCTCGGGCTGGCCTCCCAGGGGCCCAGTGTTCCATTGTTTCAGGTCATTGGGTTCCTCCCCTGCAGCCGCACTCTGAAGAGTATCCGTCCCGGCTGCAGGAGTGGAGATCTGGTTGTGCAGTAGTGCAGCAGCGGCGCCATCCCCCAGGCTCTGTGGGCTGGCCTGAGTGCTGCATGGGAAAGCACCGTGGACACCATGGGGAAGAGATGCTAGTGAAACCCTCTCCGGCTCAGCCGGTGGCCTCTTCCTCATCAGCAGTGGACGGCATCCTGGCTCTGCCACCCACTCCCTCTGCATCTGGGGCAAGTCGCTTTGCAGACACAGCTTTCCCACGTGTGAAATGCAGAGTTGCGTCAGGCGGTCTCGGCATCTTCCAGCAGGAAGAACCTTCTGGAATCAGCAGTAGTCCCTGCTGTCCTCCTGCAGGCCTGGAGACCCCTCCTGGAATGGTTTTCCTGCCTGCCTCTTCCTGCTGCATAAATGAGAAGAATCCACAGGAGCCCCCCCCAGGAAGAATGGCCCCCTTTGCTGTGTGTCGACTCCCAGCTCTGTGGCTGGGGCACCTCTCATGCGCAATGCCACCCGACCAGGTCCCCCCCAGAAGCATGCGCACCCCTCGAGGGACTGCCTCTCACTTATTGTACGCTGGTGCTCATTAGAACTCAGCAAGTGCTTGCCAGATGGTTGAATTCAGACGTCATCCCTTTTCTTAGAGATTATCTGCCCGAGGACCCGGTCCTGGGGATGTAGTGGTCAGCATACCTGCGTCAGTCTTGGGGATGTAACGGTCAACACACCCACTTCTCCCAAATCAAAGCACCCAACGGCAAGATAGTCGACTGAGACCACACTGCAGAGACTGATAAGGGATGCTCAGTGCCAGGCTGTGAGTCCTGTGGCAGAGTTCCTGAGGAGAGGGGTGGGGGTGGGGTGGTGGTGTGGAGGTGGCATGGGAAAGCTGGGAGAGGCTCCACTTTACACAGGGGGGTCAGGGAGGGCTTTGGTGGGAAAGCAGCATTTGAGCAAAGATGTGAGTGGTGTGCGGGTGAAGCGTGTTCTTCCGAAGGACACAGTGGAGACGAAGGCCCTGAGGCCGGCGGGGACTGGCCTTGCTTTTCAGGCGTCACGACCTACACCAGGCTCCTTGAGAAATGGGCACCAGCGGCCTGTGCCCCTGGCTCCCGCGGCACCTCACGCATGCTCAGCAGAGTCATCCCTTTTGGCTGCCTGGAGTCGTATATTGGGGCGCAGCTGGTGCTTTAGTTACTAGAATATCAAACTGCCGTCCAGTGTGTTAGCCACTAGCCCCATGTAGCTATTTAAATTGAGTTAAAATTACCCGAAATGGAAAATTCAGTTTCTTAGTCACTCTGGCCAGTCAGGCGCTCAGTAGCCACATGTGGCTTGTGGCCACCCCGTTGGGCGGCTCAGATTAGTACATTTCCACCATGCAGGAAGTTCTGTTGTTCAGCCCTGGTCTGTGGGACAATCTGTGACTTGAACCTTTGTTGTTCTTGATGTGTAACAGCAGCACACAGTGGGTGTGAAACGAGCAAATCCATAATGGAATGTGTGTAGCCCAGAGAGGTCTACAGAAAGAACCGCCCTCAGGGCTCCGGGGAAGGGGAAGGAAACCCAGGCCAGGTGGCAGGTGGGGGTGCTGGTCAGATAGGTATAGCGGGGAGGGCCCTGCCTGGAGTCAGCCTTGCTGGGGTTGAGGTTCTTGCCTGAGGGTGTGTTTGACCCTCCCTGTGACCTCTAGTGCACATTTAAATATGGGAGATGACGGGGGTGGGGGAGGAGCCTACACCCCTCAGAGATGTATTCTGAAGGTGCCTGTTGTGCCTTCCAGTGAGGGGACAAAGAACCTGGTGGAGATTGAGAGAGTGCAGTCATAGAGCCAAAGATCTGAAAGTCTGCTCTGCCTGGCCGGCTGGGCGGCTGGACACAGTGCTCTATGTTCTTGTGTCTTACCTGTCTCCGAGCTGGCAGCCAGGAGGCTGTGCTTGGGAAGTGCCTGTTACAGCAGTCCATGCAGCACTTACTAGGAGGTGTTAGGGATCACCGCGTCCCGGCTTATGGCATGAATGAACGAATGAATGAACAAATGAATGGTAATGAGGACTTGCCTAAGGGAGGCACTGCAGGAAAGGGAAAATGGAGAAAAAGGATTGAATCAGTTCTTGAGGGTAAACACGAGCGATTTATCTTGGCTATTAATGACTTGATGAAAGCAGGTTGGCTGTTCCGTGATCAACCAGTGCTCGAGATGTTTGTTCTGAATCCCACCTGGGTTTGATGGTCCATTTCCTTCTGTTGGTGGGCTGGGAAACTTGCCTGTATCTGAGGAAAGCAGCTTTTTTTTTTTTTTTTTTTTTTTGAGATGCGGTCTCACTCTGTGGCCCAGGCTGGAGTGCAATGGCATGATCTTGGCTCACTGCAACCTCTGCCTCCCAGGTTCTCGCGATTCTCCTGCCTCAGCCTCCCGGGTAGCTGGGACTACAGGCGTCCGCCACCACGCCTGGCTAATTTTTGTATTTTTAGTAAAGACAGGGTTTCACCATGTTAGCCAGGCTGGTCTCAAACTCCGGAGCTCAGGTGATTTGCCGTCTTGGCCACCCAAAGTGCTGGGATTCCTGGCATGAGCCACTGCGCCCGGCCAAAAGCAGCTCTTTAAGTTCTTACCACTTTATGTTGCTCCTGACATCGTCTTCCTGTGGGGAAGGCAGACACTTGCTGTGAAGCTGTGGAGTGTCAGTAACATTCAGGAATGGCGTGAACTGAACCAAAAAAGACCTTCCTCAGCTTGCACATCTGTTCCTGTGACTTGTCCCACAGACAAGGCAGTGTTTCTGCCCTGGTTTCTGGAAGGTGTTGATGTCCTTAGAAAATGCACAGAGGGCAAGGTTGTTTTGTGGGATGGGGTAAAAGGAGAATGAATTTGCTCCAGATACGTCAGACCTCCTGTGTTCATGGAACTTCCTCAGGCTTGCAGGCAGCCTCAGGAAACAGTACGCCCATCTTCCTGGAGGCTCCAGGTGTGTGTTTAGGTCCTTTGCCAGCCCACCTTCCTTCTGCCCTAGGTGAGGTTAGGTTCAGCCTGGGAGGTGGCGATTCAGTATGAAATGCAGGAGAACTGGTGTGGGACCACAGGAATACACGGGCTTTGAGAAACCCATGGGCAAGCCCATTCCTGCAAAGCAGTTCTTCAGCCATCAGCCACTTGCTACTCATAAATTAACTTCCCTTTGCCCAGATAGGGATAGAATCTGTTCTGCTTTTCAGATGTTAGTGGAAAATATCATAGAATAATGCAGTAATTAAAACGGTTTCCTCCTATTTCCTATCTTAAATAGGAGATTATTTAAAATATTTACACATCTTTTTTATTTTTAGAATATTCAGTACAAGTAACACTGAATTATTTCATGCCTTCTGTATTTTTCATGTGCACACATCTTACTAGATTGCCACATCAAATCAGTTCCTGTTTATGTTGAGCGAGCTGGGTTTGTAACTGCGAGCTGTTTCAACTCCAGTTTTGCTGATTCTTTGTTGTGAATAGCTGTGGTTTATCTCAAGAATCCTGTAAGATTCTGTATATGGAAGAATGGTGAGTCATCTAGAGTTGCAGAATAGCCCTTTTGGGCCCCACAGCAGTCCAGTTTCAGTCCAGTTTTCCTGTTCATTCCCCCTTGCCTCTAGCAAGAGGCTTTTACAACCCAGGCTCTGGGTACCAAGTGTTACAGGTACATGTTTATAGGCGTTTGAAAGTTAGAGGTTAGCTTTAAGCTCTGACCTCCTTTTAGGTTTCAGATCTGGGTGTTAAACACATTTTCTGTGGTGGGAGGAGTGAGGCGGGGAAGGCGGGTCAAAAGGAGTGGGCTCTGCCTTCCCCGCCCCCACATCCTGCAGAACCAGGCACGAGGAAGAAGGAAGGTGAGGGGCCAGTGGGTGGGATGAGGAACCATATCTCCTGGGTCACCCTTACCCTAATACCTGGCTGTTCATTCACTGTAAGTTTTTTGCCTGGGATAGATTTTATCCCTTTTAGAGGTTCGTTTGAGAGCAGTTATTTTTAAAGCAGAAGAAATTGAGTGGCAGGCAAAATTCCTGGGACAAATACATTAATATCTAGTTAGGTGGATGAATGTTCGCTGCTGTAACAAACTTGAAATATACATAAAGCTTCAAACACAACGGAGGTTGATTTCCAGGCCATGCTCCCCTAGGTTCCTTCCGTCCTGTGGCCCCATCGTTTTCAGCAGAAGCTTGCTGGGTTGTTCGGTATTACACCAAAGCAGGGGAGAGCGTGTGTAGGGACCAGTGTGGGAGTTCTGAGAGCCAGCCGTGCCTGAAGCGGCACACACAACTCCACTCAGAGTTAATTGGCTGGAATGCTGCCCCTACCTGTGAGGGAAGCCAGGAAAGAGGACTGCGCCCAGGACAACGAGGAAATGGGTTTGGTGAATAACTGGGAGCCTCGGCTGTGATGTCTTTTCCTTCCTCCCTCTGCCCCTCTCCCTTCTTCTTGAGAATTAAATGCCTGAAACCGATTAGTTGAATACCCCTCTCATTCTCTTGCCCAAGTGATAGTTCCCACCACCTGGAGGATGAAGTCCAGACCAGTTGGTGTGGCCTACGGGGCGTGCAGGATCTGGCTGCTGCCTGCATCTCTGGCCACCAGTGGTGCCAGTGCTCAGAGCCAGTGACGCCCTGCCTCTGCACCTTGCCTGTTCTGCTGCCTCTCCCGGGCAAATTCTTGTTTGTCCCTTAGGATTCAGCTTAAGTGACACCTCCTCTAGGAAGCCTTCTTTGATCACCCCAACCTCTCCCAGACCTCTAATGTGGACCCCACAGTCCCTGGACTTCTTTGAGACCACACTAGCCCACTCCCCGCCCCCTCCTGGAACCTTGAGCTTCTGGAGAGCTGGGGCCACACCGTCCTCCTGTGGTTTTCCGAGCCGGTGCAGGTGGTCAGCAGATAACCTTGAGTGAATGTGAATCTAAAAAAAGTAATAAAGGGATCTGGCACACTTAACTTTTAAATCTAAATATGTTTCTTTTAAATTCTATGATTGTTCTGGGTCTTGAGAGCAGACCTCCCCAACAATTCGGTCTCCCATATGGGGTCACAGCCGTTTGGGTTTCCGATCGCGGGCACGGCACCCATCTGCGGTGTCTGTGAAGCCGGCGCGTTCTGCCGGGGGTTTGGGTTTTTTTGTGTGTGTGATAGATCTTTTTAGCTTAGATACGTTTCTTAAAGCTTCTCTTTGTTTAAAAATGCGCAGGAAAACTTCGGCGTCGTTCTATTTTTGTCCTTTTTAACACCTACCCCTGATTTTTCCTTCTTTTTTTATTTCCTTGCAGACTTTGAATTTTAAACAGATAAAAATGGATGCTGTTTCCATCGTTTGGTGTCCTGCTTTTCTACGTAGAGGAAACATTTCTCAGCACAATTAAAACGTGTTCGTATGCTTATTAATGTCTTTGTAGGATTTCATCCTGTGAATCATTTGCTTGTCCAGCAATAAGGAAATGGCTTTTTGCGTCTGCGTTTTGATGATGGAATTCCCCATGGGCTTCAGAGTGCGGTGCCTGCCTTTCAGATGATTTCCTTAGGACCGAGTTCCTGGGACTTGCTGCTTCATGACCAGCGTCTCGGGCCCCTGTCAGCTCTGGCCTGTCCTCCCTGGGGTGATGGCCCTGCCGGGAGCCGTCTGTCCTTGGCAGATGGAGTTCACTGTTAGTGAGAGCCCAGCCTCTGTTTTACAAACGAGCATGCTCCAAGCAGTGGCTGATGGGCGGTTGGAATTCACCATGGCTCTGGCCTCTGGTTCCTGTAAATTGAGGCGTAGGAAAATTAGTCCTCCCCGGGTCCTCTGGTTTACAGAATGCGGGGATGTCCAGGTTTCTCCTGTCCTCCTCATCCCTGCACTGGTTCCACGGGACTGGCTGGACACAGCGTCACTGGTTCCCAGCACAGCTGACACCCCTTCCAGGAACCTTCTCACTATCCCCGGGGCAGAGGTGGCCTTCCGGGCATGCGTGCTCCTCTCCCGTCTCCTCTGCAGCTTCCTTTTAGTCCAGTGGTGTTTCAGGTGTCTTGCTCTTACTGGAGCTCCTTAAGGACAGGGCCTAGATCTCAGTCATCCCCAATCCCCAGCTAACCCCAGCTCATGTTCCTGATTGGCCCTGGGACACTAGCAGAACGTGACTTGGTTCTGTTCACTAGTGCCATATAGAGTCAGGTTCCTGGAGCTGGTGTGAGAGTGGGAGGTTTGAATCTTCATGGGCAGGGGCTACATTGTGTCAGGCTCTGAGCTTGGCATTTTCCATGTGAAAGGAGACAAGGGCTCCAGGAGAAATGGCCTGTATTTGCTGGGGTGTAGGGGCGGGCCACATGCCACTGAGCTTTAGAAGCCTGCTGGGTTAGGAATCAGCACACAGCCTGGATCAGTGAAAATACAGGAACAAGAAGATAATAGGAGAGTTTGTGCTGTAAGGCAGGTGTTTACAGTTTGATTTTTCTTGAGTGAGTAGAAATGTTGGCGTAGCTTGAAAAAAAATCTGAAATAATTCACTGTCCACGGAAAGGGCTGGAAAGGAGTTATCTTAAATTCACATAGATTAAAGAAAGCATAGCTGGTCGTGGTGGCTCACGCCTGTAATCCCAGCACTTTGGGAGGCTGAGGTGGGCGGATCACCTGAGGTTTGGAGTTCGAGACCAGCCTGACCAACATGGAGAAACCCCGTCTCTACTAAAAATGCAAAATTAGCCGAGCGTGGTGGCAACGCGCCTGTAATCCCAGCTACTCAGGAGGCTGAGGCAGGAGAATCGCTTGAACCCGGGAGGCGGAGGTTGCGGTGAGCCGAGATCGCGCCATTGCGCTCCAGCCTGGGCAACTAGAGCAAAACTGCGTCTCAAAAAAAAAAAAAAAAAAAAAAAAAAAAAAAAAAGATGAAAGAAAGCATTAAAGAAATGAGATAGCATGGGAGGGGAAAGACTTATTAAGGAGCGAAGTTCTCAGTCCTAGCTGCACAGTAGGATTACCTGGCAAACTTAACAAAGAAAAATTAATATATGCATTCTCCCCTCAGAGATTGATTTTCATTGGTTTGGGGTGAAACCTGCGCCTCAGGATGCTTGAAAACTCCCCGGGTGACTCTAGCACGCAGAGGGTTCAGAGCCACCAGTAGAAAGAATGGACTTTCAATTCAGACTTCAGCTCAAATATAGGCACTTTATCGCACGATCTGAGGCAAGGTTCTGTCTCTGAATTTTCTCTTCTTCAAGACAAGCCCCGTGAGGATGGGTACCTACATTTCCGGTCATCAGGAACTATATTCCCAGTACATGGCATAGCACCTAGAACATAGTTGGTTCTCAATATGTATTTGTTGAATGAAAAAAATGACATGGATGAATAAGGTTAGGATTAAATGAGAGGAGATGCTTGGGCCTATATAATTAACAGACTGCTCTTAGTGTTATTTATTTATTTTACTTGTATTATTATTATTTTTGAGACAGAGTCTTGCTCTGTCACCCAGGCTGGAGTGCAATGGTGCAATCTTGGCTCACTGTAACCTCTGCTTCCCGGGTTCAAGCGATTCTCCTGAGTAGCTGGGATTACAGGTGCGTGCCACCAGGCCCAGCTAATTTTTGTATTATTTTTGGTAGAGACGGGGTATCATCATGTTGGTCATGCTGGTCTCGAACTCCTAACCTTGTGATCCACCTGCCTCGGCCTTCCAAAGTGCTGGGATTACAGGCGTGAACCACCACATCCGGCCCCTTAGTGTTATTTATTAATAAGCAGAGTTAACAGACACAAACTCTGATGGTAACTGATTGATGATATCTCCATTCTACAGATGGTAAAACTGAGGCTAGAGAGGTTCATTTCTTGCCTAACATCAGGCAGCTTGTTACGAAGCTGGGATTTGAGCTCCTGACCTGCCTGAGTCTAAATCCCACGTATATCCCCTCCCACCTTAAGTCAGATCTTACTCCTTAAGATTTCTAATATGGAAGGAACATAGTAATGTCATTCCTTCCCTGAAATGCAATCCCTAGACCCCTCATAATTTGTGCTACTTACAAACTTATTGTTAAGTCCTCCTCTCCTCTTTTCCTTACTATTAGGTGGAGATTAAGAATAAATTAGTATTTTTCTTAGTACTGTTTTGTACTAAGTTACATGGGCATTTTTGCTCTGCCATCTCTCTCTCTCCTTGTAAAAATCTAAGTTAGGCCGGCGCAGTGGCTCACGCCTGTAATCCCAGCACTTTGGGAGGCCGAGGCGGGCGGATCACTTGAGTTCAGGAGTTCAAGACCAGCCTGGCCAACGTGGTGAGACCCCTGTCGCTACTAAAAATAAAAAAATTAGGGCAGGCGCGGTGGCTCAAGCCTGTAATCCCAGCACTTTGGGAGGCCGAGGCAGGCAGATCACGAGGTCAGGAGATCGAGACCATCCTGACTACCACGGTGAAACCCCGTCTCCACTAAAAATACAAAAAAATTAGCCGGCTGTGGTGGCGGGTGCCTGTAGTCCCAGCTACTTGGGAGGCTAAGGCAGGAGAGTGGCGTGAACCCGGGAGGTGGAGCTTGCAGTGAGCCGAGATCGTGCCACTGCACTCCAGCCTGGGCAACAGAGCAAGACCCTGTCTCAAAAAAAAAAAAAAATTAGCTGCCCCTGGTGGCGGGTGCCTGTAATCCCACCTACTCAGGAGGCTGAGGCAGGAGAATCCCTTGAACCCGGGAGGCGGAGGTTGTAGTGAGCTGAGATTGCGCCACGGCACTCCCGCCTGGGCAGCAGAGTGAGATTCCGTCTCAAAAAAAAAAAAAAAAAATCTAAGCTGATGTTAGAGAGTGGATCCCTGTTTACTTTTCCCCTCCTGTATTTAAATATTAGAGAGTGTTTGAAGGAGATTTCAAGGAGAGTATGACTTCAGGGAGAACACTAGATCTTGCTTTGGACTCAGTGACTTCATCAGTGGAGACGTTCGTGGCAGAGTCATTTCAGGGTTAGTTAATGAATACCTTTTAATGCAGTTCTATCTGGCAGGTTTTATGTCAGACCTTGGGGATACAAAGACCAAGTAGGAAGCCCGCCTGCCCTACAAATGCAGGGGGAGGTGAGGTGCAAATAACAAAAATGCAATACTCCCAG
The DNA here is from genome assembly GCF_000001405.40 of Homo sapiens. Classification (NCBI taxonomy): domain Eukaryota; kingdom Metazoa; phylum Chordata; class Mammalia; order Primates; family Hominidae; genus Homo; species Homo sapiens. The sequence continues at coordinate 6,948,000 of NC_000004.12, forward strand.
CTCTGTGTCAGAGATAAATGTGGACGTGCTTTGGGAGCACAGAGGAGGGACTGCGTGGGGAGGGGGCACATGAGCCCAGGAAGGCTGCACGGGAGAGTGGTTTGAGCTGAGTTAGCATGTATTGAAATTTTATGTAAAGGAGAGCAAAGCCTGCAGAACTTAAGTACATGAAGTGAACACACTCGTGTGTCTGCCACCTCAGTCAGTACAGAGACTATGACTAGAACCCCCAGAAGTCTCCTTTGGGTTCCTTCCCTGTCAGCATTTCGCTCCCCATGGGTAACCACTGTTCTGACTCTGTCACCACACATGAGCTCTGCCTTCTTTAGGTAAATGGACTCATCCATTATGCCCTCTCATGTCTGGCTTTCTTTGCTCAACACTGGCAAACTGACCCTGGGAGGTTTTGCATAGCAGTAGCATCCATTTATTGTTGTCTAGTTTTCGGCTGTATGGGTATCCCACTCTTTGTTCTCCCATGTGTGGAGGTTTGATTTGTTCAGGGTCCAATGGTTACAAATAATGCCCACCATGGTGTTCTCACGGATGTCACTGGCGTGTGCGTGCCTGGGGGGTGGGACAGGTGGGTCTCCCGTGGGTCCCACTCGCGGTGTGTGGTGATGCCGGCTGCTCTTGATCCTTCCGAAAGGTGATATTGTCAGTTTATTTTTCTTTTTGTCATTCCGGTGACAAGGTAGGGGTACTTGGTTTTTTTTTTTTTTTTGAGACAGAGTCTGTCACCCAGGCTGGAGTGCAGTAGTGAGATCTCAGCTCACTGCAACCTCCGCCTCCCAGATTCAAGCGATTCTTCTGCCTCAGCGTCCCAAGTAGCTGGGATTACAGGCGTGAGCCACCACGCCTGGCTAATTTTTGTATTTTTAGTAGAGATGGGGTTTCACCATGTTGGCCATCTCCTGGCCGGGCGTGGTGGCTTACATCTGTAATCCCTGCACTTTGGGAGGCCGAGGCGGGTGGATCACCTGGCCAACATGGTGAAACCCTGTCTCTAGTAAAAATACAAAAAATTAGCCAGGCGTGGTGGCGCACACCTGTAATCCAAGCTATTTGGGAGGCTGAGGCAGGAAAATCACTTGAACCTGGGAGGTGGTGGTTGCAGTGAGCTGAGATCTTGGCACTGCACTCCAGCCAGGGCAACAGAGTGAGAATCTGTCTCAAAAAAAAAGGCTGGGCGCAGCGGCTCACGCCTGTAATCCCAGCACTTGGGAGGGAGCCCTTCTATTTTGTTCTGGAAGGTTGTCTTGGCTAGTCTTGGTCTTTTTCATTTCTATATAGATTTTAGAATCAGTTTGGCAGATTGTACAAATAAATTTGCAAGGGTTTGGTTTGGGATTGCATTGAATTTATAGATCAGTGTTTATTACATGAAGACTTCTAATTCGTGGCCGGGCACAGTGGCTCACGCCTATAATCCCAGCACTTTGGGAAGCCGAGGCAGGTGTATCACCTGAGGTCAAGAGTTGGAGACCAGCCTGACCAACATGGCAAAACTCCATCTCTATTAAAAATACAGAAATTAGCCGGGTGTAGTAGCAGGTGCCTGTAATCCCAGCTACTTGGGAGACTGAGGGAGGAGAATCGCTTGAACCCGCGAGGCAGAGTTTGCAGTGAGCTGAGATCGTGCCACTGCACTCCGACCTGGGCGACAGAGCAAGACTCCGTCTCAAAAAAAAAAAAAAATTGAATCCTTGAACCTCTATTTAGGTTTTCTTTCATTTCTCCACATTTCGTAGTTTTGTTTTTGTTTTTTTTTTTAATGTAAAGGTCTTATGTTTCTTTCATTAAATTTATTCCTGGATACTGTTTGGGATGGTTTTACAAATGTCAAGAAATGTAGAGTTGACTCGTTGGGTAGTGTTTGTTGTAAATGCAGTGAATTTTTTTATTTTTTATTTTACTTTAAGTTCTGGGATACATGTGCAGAACATGCAGGTTTGTTACATAGGTATACATGTGTTGTGGTTGTTTGTTGCACCCATCAACCTGTTATCTGGGTTTCAAGCCCCACATGCATTAGGCATTTGTCCTAATGCTCCCTCTCCCCGTGCTCCCCACCTCCAACAGGCCCTGTTGTGTGATGTTCGCTCCCTGTGTCCATGCGTACTCATTGTTCAACTCCCCCTTATGAGTGAGAACATGCGGTGTTTGGTTTTCTGTTCCCGTGTTAGTTTGCTGAGAATGATGGCTTCCAGCTTCATCCGTGTCCCTGCAAAGGACGTGAACTCATTATTTTTTATGGCTAATGCAGTGAGTTTTTGTGTATAGGCCTTGCTAACTTCGGTTACTAATTCTAATAGCTTATCCATAGTTCATTTGGATCCTCTCTGTAGAAAATCGTCCTGTCTGTGAATGAGTTTCTTTCTTTCAACTCTTACACCTTTCATTTTGTTTTCTTGTCTTATTGTATGGCCAGGCTCTCCCATTTAGTGCTGAATTGAAGTGGGACTGGCAGAAATCCTAGTCTGGGTCTTGGGCTCTGGGAAAGCTTTCATTATTTCCTCGTTAAGTGTGATGTTTGCCATAGGATACCTTTTATCAGATACCTTACTCTTTATTAGATACCTTTATTAGATAAGGAAGTCTCCTTTTAGTCCTAGTAAAGGTGTTTTAAAAAAATTATGACTGTTGTATTTTATTAAATGCTTTTTTCCTGCATCTATTGATAACTTATGTTTTCTCCTTTACATGGTAAAGAACGTATTTTTCTAATGTAAAATTAACTTCGCATTCTTAGAATAATCCCAACTTGTTCATAATATATTATACTTTACATTTATCATTGATTTGATTTGCATATTTTGTTTGGGACTTTACTGTCTATATTTATAAGGGTATGGGCTGTAATTTTCCTTTTGGTTTTGATATCAAAATTATGCTGGCCTTATAAAATGGGTTGGGAGAGTTCTACTTTCTGTTTTCTCAAAGAGTTTCTATAAGATTTTTCTCTGGTGATTACATGAACCTACCAGTGTGTTAAAACTCGTAGAACTGAGTGGGCGCAGTGGCTCATGCCTGGAATCCCAGCACTTTGGGAAACCAAGGCGGGCAGATCAACTGAGGTCTGGAGTTTGAGACCAGCCTGGCCAACATGGTGAAACACCCTGTCTCTACTAAAAATACAAAAATTAGCCGCGTGTAGTGGCAGGCACCTATAATCCCAGCTACTCAGGAGGCTGAGGCAGGAGAATCGCTTGAACCCAAGAGATGGAGGTTGCAGTGAGCCAGGATGGCACCATTGCACTCCAGCCTGGGCGGCAGAGCAAGACTGCATCTCAAAAAAAATAAACAACAACAACAACAACAACATAAAAAACCCTCATAGAACTGTATTCAAAAAAGTCCATTTTATTGTATATGAATTGAAACAATAATAGCTGGGTGTGGTAGCCTGCAATCCCACCTACTCCAGAGGCTGATGGGGGAGGATTGCTTGAGCCCAGGAATTCGAGTCCAGCCTGGGCAACATAGTGAGACCTTATTTTCATTAACAACAAAAAAATTAAAAAGGTAATAAAACACTTTCACAAGGGAATTTTTAAAAATGTGTTCATGTACTCACCTACACCCCCTCCCTCACAGACTTTGTCAGATGATCCTCAAAGGGACATCAGAAAGTCCTTGTTGAATAAGTCTGTTTCTTATGATTAAATGATGCCAATAAATAATTTGTCGAATGATCTAATACATTTCCCCAGGGGGTGGAATGGTGGAGGAGAGGGCTAGTGAAAGGTCTGTTCTGTGAGTGTATTTCTTCCTTAATGTTTGGAAGACTTCACCAGTAAGGCCATTTGACCTGGAGTTTTCTTTGTGAGTTTCTAAATTATTGACTTAATTTTGTTGTTGTTGTTGTTGAGGTATAATATATAAATTGTGACTGTTGAGTGTTGAGGAAGGATTTGGAGAGGCATGGGAACACGAGGCTGCAGGGTCTGTATTTGGGAAGGAGACTGGCGATGAGGCGGCAGGGCTGGGAAGGCTTTGGCTGATAGGCTGTTGTCGTGGTTATGCCCCTTTGTGGAGTGACTGCTCTGGGCCCCACCCATAGCTGATGTGCTAGACCAGATGTGGTTTGAAACTCCCTGGGTAGTGGGAACCGATGAGAAGTGTTAAGTAGGACAGCAGGAATCACCTTTCTAAGTGCATGCGGCCGTTCAGAACAGTGGTTCTCAGATCCAGGTGTGCATCGGAGCCACTGCAGGGCTCGTTGAACCAGAGATTGCTGGATCCCACCCGGGGTTTATGGTTCCATAGGTCTGGGTGGGACTCAAGAAATTTGTGTTTCTAGCCAGTGCCCAGGCGATGCCGCTGCTGGTCCAGATTCCCCACTTGAGAACCACAGGGTTTGATCGTATTCATTAATTGGCCCCCTCCCCGAATCAAATGTTGGCTGCCCTGGGGCAGGGATTTTGTCAGTTTCATCCCCTCTGGTCCCCTGGGCCAGGCACAGACTAGGTGCTCAGGACCACTCTCTGCCAGGCCAGCTCTTGTACTTGATTGTCCAGGGTTTTTTAAATTGCAAAAGTAATATGTGCTTGTTTGGTTTTTTAAAACACAGTGCAGACATCTATGAAATAAAAGTAAAATTCCCTTTTCTGCTTCTCATCCTGTGCCTCTCAGCAGACTTCTTTGGTGCCTTGCATACATATAAACACACAGACAGGTGTTTTCTTTTTTAAGGGATGATGGAGCTGACTGTTAGAGGATGCTGGCTGGGGCTTGAGGAGGATGATTCTGCAGGGGCTAGTTGACATAACTGAATGGCGTTGGCTCCAAGGGGAACCAACCCATAGTGCATGCTGGTGGTTTAGACTAGTTTTTTTTTGTTGTTGTTGTTTTTGTTTTGTTTTTGAGATGGAGTCTCACTCTGTCGCCCAGGCTGGAGTGCAGTGGTGTGATCTTGGCTCACTGCAATCTCTGCCTCCTGGGTGATTCTCCTGCCTCAGCCTCCCGAGTACCTAGGATTACAGGCACCCACTGTCACGCCTAGCTAACTATTTTTTTCTTTCTTTTTTTTTTTTTTTTTTCTGAGACAGAGCCTCGCTCTGTTGCCCAGGCTGGAGTACAATGGTGCAATCTTGGCCCACTGCACCCTCTGCCTTCCAGCTTCAGGCAGTTCTTTGCCTCAGCCTCCCGAGTAGCTGGGATTACAGGCACCTACCACCATGCCCAGCTAATTTTTGTATTTTTAGTAGAGACGGGGTTTCACCATCTTGGCCAGGCTGGTCTTGAACTCCTGACCTCGTGTTCCACCCACCTCGGCCTCCCAAAGTGCTGGGATTACAGGCGTGAGCCACCACGCCCAGCCATAAGAATAGATCAGTTGGCCGGGCGCGGTGGCTCACGCCTGTAATCCCAGCACTTTGGGAGGCCGAGGCGGGCGGATCACGAGGTCAGGAGATCGAGACCATCCTGGCTAACACGGTGAAACCCCGTCTCTACTAAAAAAAAAAAAAAATACAAAAAATTAGCCGGGCGAGGTGGCGGGCGCCTGTAGTCCCAGCTACTCGGGAGGCTGAGGCAGGAGAATGGCGTGAACCCCAGGGGGCGGAGCCTGCAGTGAGCCGAGATTGCGCCACTGCACTCCAGCCTGGGCGACAGCGAGACTCCGTCTCAAAAAAAAAAAAAAAAAAAAAAGAATAGATCAGTTTTGGGGGACATGAGGTTGTTAGTTAGCTCTGGGTTTTCGTTTTTGTCTTCAACAGCATTTGAAGTGAGTGAGGGGGAATCCAGAGCGATGGTTCTAGTGTAGGTATTTGGATTAATTTCACGGTTCTGTGCTTGTGACTCAACGGCAGACCTGGCCGCTGCTTCACAAGGCACAGTGCCTGGCACACTGCAGACGCTCAGGAAGCGCTGTGTGCTTGGCGCTTTTCCAGGTCCGAGGTCCCGGTGGGTTTTGTGACAGGTAGCCTGGACGTGCTGTGTGCTTGGCGCTTTTCCAGGTCCGAGGTCCCGGTGGGTTTTGTGCCTGGTAGCCTGCCCTGCCACGGCATGTGGTGCGGAGCCGTGTCCCAGGCCCGAGAACCCGTCACTCAGGCTTTGCTTCCCAGACTTTGGGCTCACTCCTCCCTCCCTGTGACTGGGGAGGCCCGCCCTGCCGCCCCCGCCTTTCCGCCGGCCTGCTGGGTCCAGCTTGCCTTCATCTGGCAGACGCGAGGGGCGGGGCTCCGAGTGCACCCATGGAGTTTCCCCGGGACTGTGGCTCTGGCGTGCCAGGAATGCGGCACGGGGAGAGTCCGTGCTTCTGCAGCCGGCCCCTCGGAGCTGCGAGGTCACAGTAGACATGATGGCCATCTCCCCTGCGCTCCTGTTCATGGACAGGTTTGTGGCTGCTTTCTTGCCTTTCTTGCTGTTGGAACTGGAGACTTAACTGGAAGCAGAGTCTTTCCTGCGTGTAGCTTTGACAGCATGTGACCGTCGGCCTTGGTTGGGCTGAGGTGTTTCTGTGGGTCTCCCCCGGTGTGAAATGGAGGTGATCCTTTCTATCTAGGCAGCATCTCTGAGTGCCCGAGCTCCCTGGGCTGGTGTTTGTGCTTATGTGTATCTCATGCCCACTGCACTTCCTTGACTTGGATATTCTGTTTTTAAGGACTGTTTTTTTGAGACGGAGTCTGGTTCTGTCGCCCAGGCTGGAGTGCAGTGGCACGATCTTGGCTCACTGCAGCCTCCGCCTCCCAGGTTCACGCGATTCTCCTGCCTCAGCCTCCCAAGTAGCTGGGACTACAAACGTGTGCCACGACGCCTGGCTAATTTTTGTATTTTTCTTTAGCAGAGATGGGGTTTTGCCATGTTGGCCAGGTTGGTCTTGAAATCCTGGCCTTAAGTGATCCACCCGCCTTGGCCTCCCAAAGTGCTGGGATTACAGGCGTGAGCGGCCGTGCCCGGCCTGGATTAACTTTTTAGCATCAGTTGCTACTTGAGTAGCATTTTCTGAAAGAAGAGTGGCTCCAAGTATTTCCAGCTCTTGGGTACTTTGGATTGTGTGTGGAACTAGGAATTTTGAGCACAGTGATTGATCATGGTAATAGAACCTCACTTTCTTTCTTCGTGTTTCCTGTGGAGGAGGTAGGATTTTCTTACATAGGAGGTTTGCTCTGAAGGAGGCTGCATTGTTTTTCATGTCTCTGTGACAGTTCAGAGGGCTGGCCCTTTTCCCTTGCATTTTCAAAGGAGAGTCAGAGGCCCCTATGAATGTGTGTGGCAATGTCAGTTTTTGGGGGGTGGAGATCTGGAAAGTATACCTCGGAAGTGGGATTTAGAGGAAGCATTTAGGTTTTGCCTTCTCTACCTTTGGTGAATAACAGGATTGCTATGTCCCTTCAGGAGGAAGCGTCTTAGCCTCGCTGGGCCTCGGTGTCCTGTCCGTACGGTGGCGGCTGTAATACCTTTCTTGTAGGGTCATGGGAGGAGGATGTAAAACATAGGTAAAGTGCCTGGTGCAGCACTAGGCAGGCACCTGATAGTGCCCTGCACCAGGTAACTATGCTTCAGAAAGTGGTGGCAAAGATTCCCTCCTGGGCCTGGCACTCTCCATGGGAGCCGAGTGCTGCATTGCTCAGCTGGCTTCTGATTGCTTTGGAATCGGAAGTTGCCAGCAGTTTCTGTTAATGAGACAAAGGAGGGAAAGAGCAAGAAGCCCTGAGTAACTGCTGAAGTGCAAACAGGCGTTGAAGTGTATGGTATCTTGAGGGAGGGGACTTTGGGTTTATTTCTTAAGACTTGAGAGGCTTTGAGAAAGCCCTGATGAGTGTCCGTGGCTTGTGGAACCTGCTCCACCAGGTCAGGGAGGATTGCGTCCTGCCTCTCCAGCTGTCCTCTGCCTTCAGGGACAGGTAGCAGCCTCGGACACGTAAGTCCGAGTCGCAGCTCTGTGTTGTTTAGGTGGACGAGTCTGGGCCCATCTCCCCAGCCTCCTACCTTCCTCTTGGTTAAGTGCAATAATAATTCTCATGTAATCTTTATAAAAATTAATTGAAAAAAGCTTTCATTCAATAATCTGAGTGTTTTACTCAGTGCCAGGAACTGTCGTAGGCACTAGAGACAGAGCGGTAATTAGAAGAGGTGGTACCCACTTCCATGAGCTTGACATTCTGCTGAAGGAGACAGATCATAGCCCCCCGACTTGTACTTTGTTTTCATAATAAAGTTTTGTTCTTAGAGAATTCCCCAAACTGTGTAAGCTCCAAGGCCCTCCAAACCTAGATCTGCGCCTGCGAACAGATGATGCAAGTGCTGAAGTAGCAGGTGTGCTGGAGTGTGGCGGAGTGGAGGGATTGTGCAGGACAGACCACCCCTGGCCAGAGGCTCCTGAGCAGCTCTGGCTCACTGTGGCCACATCTTCTATTCCAAGAGAAGCTGGAAACCCAGGTTTTTCTGTTTAAAAATGTTGAACAAATCAAACTGAAGAACACGGCGTAGACAGAAAACACAGGCTCCCAACACGCCATCCCCGCTGATGGCTCCTGCGCACGCGCCTACACAGACCTGCCATTGAGCGCCTAGAGTGTGTGGGATGACTGACACGCCCGGTCCCCCTTCACTCTCGCCTGGCCCTAGGAGGAAGGTGGCATGATCTCTAATTGCAGATGAAAGGAGGCCCAGGGACCGGGGTTGCTTGCCCGGGGCTGCTTCTCTGTGGAAGGGCAAGGCTGGCATAGCCACTGCTTGGTCTCCTCAAAGCCTCTTGTGCCTCACTTCTCAGCCAATGCAGGTGATACGAGGTTACCTCCCACCTTGTGGCTTTCTAGATGCAGACCTGTGCCTGAGCTGCCTGTGCGGGGAAGGAGCACTGGGTCTGTGGCCGGGCTCAGGTGTGGGGGCCTTCTCACCAAGAGAGCCGCGGTTCCTCACCGCTCCATTTGCTAGAAGCGAACAAAGGTGGCCCCGGGAGTGGGATGGACAGCCAGTAAGCTGCTTCCGGCTACTTGGTTGTCTTTGCCTTTTTACCATTGATTTGGTATCTCCTCCACCACACCCCACAGCTTTGCCTTTCTTAGGAAAAGTCTGGGAGTGGAGCAGGAGCATGGTTGCACCGTGCTGGGAGCCACATCGCTTGCTGTGTGCTCCTCTTGAGGGTGGCGCCGGCCAGCTGTTCTTCATTTGTACTGGGAGGAAAGTGGAGAAACTTGTAGCCTGCACTGGGAAACTAGACTCCATGGGTCCACCGGTACTTGCCTGGGGAGGCCTGGAAGGGCCTGAGTTTGAGTCCCAGATGGGTGACCTTGAGAACTGACCTAATGTCTAGGCTATTTTCCTTGGAACACTATCACCAATCTCACGTTGAAGCAGTGGGTGATGTTTACAGTAAATTCCATGGGAGCAGGCGCTCCATGCCTGGAACAGTGTGTGACTTAGAGTCAACATACATTTGAACAAGTAAATATTTAGGTAAAGAAATACTTGGACAGATGGAGGTGAAAGTTGCTGGCATGGTACGGCGTCTCCTTGCTCTGTAAAGGTGTTTTGTTTCTGTGTTCTGAAGCCGGGGGCACACTTCCTCTCCTTTACCCATATAGCGCTCGCCTCTTGCTTTTGCCTACTGGTCTCCTCTGGTCTTGCCAGGAGAGGAATTTGGGCTGGTGATTGGGCACTTCTTGCTATATTCCTGGGAAGAGAATGTGTCTTTTAGGTTTTATCTTAGAAAGTTAGAGGGAGAAGGCCAAGGCGGGAGCATGGCTTGAGCCCAGGAGTTCGAGACCGGCCTGGGCCACATGGTGAGACCCTGTTTCTACAAAAATTAGCCGAGTGTAGTGGAATAAGCCTGTAGTCCCAGCTGCTTCAGAGGCTGAGGTGGGAGGACTGCTTGAGCCCGAGAGGTTGAGGCTGCAGTGAGCTGTGTTCACACCACTGTACTCCAGCCTGGGTGACAGAGTGAGACTCTCAGGAAAAAATAAATAAATAAATAAAAATAAATAAAAAAGGAGTGCTGGCTTTTTTTTTTTTATGGGCTGTTTTTATCATCCCCTTGTTGGGATATCCTAACCCTCTTGGCGATGTTAAGCCCACAGTGCTGCCTAGAAATATAACTCAGCCCTTTAGCCTGGGCCAGGCTCATCCTGCTCCCAGGTTCTCAGCTCCCCAGGGATGGCACTGCCTACTGTGCTCTGTGTCCCACTCAGCAGCTGAACACAGCGCCAGGTGTGGGTCAGGCATGAGTCAAGTCACTGTCCAGATGACTGCTCCAGGTGGCCAGCCCACAGTTAGAGCCGGAGTCTGCAGTTGCCTGGCCAGCCACCTTTCCAACAGCCTCACCTGCTTCATACTGGGGGTCGAGGGGGTTATGTCCCTTGAGCATCCTGACTTCAGTGAGTCTAGGAGGTGGGTGATAGGGTAAGGGTGATACACGTGATCCCCACATATACACACACACACACACACACACACACAGATATTACTGAACAATCTTTTTATGCTTTATTTATTTTTTTGAGACAGGGTCTCGCTGTGTCACCCAGGCTGGCTGGAGTGCAGGGGCTCAC